>NC_000001.11:47735653-48038683 GCF_000001405.40 Homo sapiens
GATTAGTACTCATGGAGTCTCAGGGGATTCGATTAATACTCTCCTCTTCCCTGCTCAAGACAGGGAAAGTACAAAGCAGACGCCAGCACCAGTTTTATCCACGAGGACTAGTTATTGGAGAATGTGACTCATATCTGTAAGGTAAGGGGATCTTCTAAAACAGACTTACTTACCATGTCATGGGCACTGTGGGATGAGTGTGGATGCTCTCATGTGGTGGAGTGAGTGGCAGCTGCTCCTGTAAGATTCAGGTATGGGGGTGGGTGCAGAGGGGAAGGTGTATTCTCTGTGGGCAGGTCTCTCCCAAAGTAAGGCTCCCAAATACACGAGTCTAAGCCACTCCATTTTCCCTGGAGTGGAGTGAATAAGGGGTGGAGAAAGGCCAGGTGTGTTATTCTGATTGGGCTCCCTCCAAGATGAAGAAAACATCAGAAGTGGAGAAGAAATAGTTCTGCATCCCTGCCTCCTGCAACAAGTAAATTCAGAATAAGCAAAAATAATAGTAGAAGAAGTGGCCATTCTTATCTTTCTCCTGGATTTCAGTGATAGTCCTTTTGTGACATTAAAGCTGATACTGCTTTTCCTTATCCCAAGGAAGATCTACTTAGGAACATCCATCCATTTCCACTCTATTTTGCATTTTGTTTCTTTTTCATCAAGAATTGTTAAGTTCTGTAACATATCTTGTCATTGTCCCTGGGGATCATCATCTGATTTTTCTTCTTTGCTCTTTTAATATGATGAATAATAGTAGATTTCCTAATATTGACCTATCCTTACATTGTGAAATGAATCCCACTTGGAAATAGTAGTATTCTTTTAATGTTCTTCTGTATCCTGATTGTTAATATTTTAATAAAGATTTTGCATCTAAATCTCTAAGTGAGATTACCCTGTAGTTTTCTTTTTGTTTTTGTACAGTATTTATTGTTTTTTTCTAACATTATGGTCCATTTTTGAAAGATGTTTTGAAGATTTCCTTATTTTTTTCTATGCTCTTGAACAATTCAAATAATATCAGCGTCACCCCATCTGGGACCATGTGTCTGTGTGTGTGTTTAATATTCACAATAACTCTACAAGGGAAGCATTATTATTGTCTTCATTATGCAGTTGAGGAAACCAAGGCCCCAAGCAGTTTCTTGCCCAAAGTCACATAATGAATTAGTGGGGATGACACTTGATTCAGGGTCAAGTCAGACTCAAGGTCAGGTCAAACTCAAAGTCAAACTTCTATTTCCCTTATATGCTCCTTCATGCAGCCACTCTCAAGACAGAGAATGTGGGGCTTGCAACAGACAGATCTTGAGACAACATCTCAGTTCTGCCACTTTCCAGAAGTGTGCCCTTGAACAGATCACTTCACCACTTGACATATGTGTTCCGTTCTCTGACAAATAGGTATAATAATGTCCTCTTCCTCATGGGGTTGCTGTGAGGATGCAATGGGGCAGGATACGAGCAAGAACCTAGTGGAGAAGGATTCACATTCAGCAAGTCTTCAATGCTCACCCACCGTATGCCTGGTAATGCCCACAGGGTGTGGAGAGGAGACATGGCCTCAGCCCCTGCTCCTCTGTAATTGCACAGCCACCACACAGGGTGGTCGCTGTGGCATATCTTAAAGTGGTGGGAGTTGGGGAGGAGCAGTCACACCTGCAGTAACAGCTTTCACACAATTGTCCCCAGTGTTTGATTTGCTCCTCTCAGTAGACTGTGATGCTCTGTGGCAGGCCCAGTGGTTGAGATATGTTCCCTAACGCTGGGATCCAATCACATTTCTAAGTACCGAGGAGATGTTGGCTGAGCCCAGGGCAATGGGAAGACATTTGTGATTCCTTCTTGACCTTGAATCTGGTGGGTCTCAGAAGACCTCGAAACTCTCTATCCCCAGAGTAGAAAAAGTCCAAAGACTTCCCAGTTTGATAATGAGCTTTATAGACTATTTGGAGAACCATTTCCCCACTAATGCAATACAATTGTATTAGCTTTAGTTTTCATGTGGTACCTTAGGCCTCTCAACTTGTTCATCCTACATATGTGCTATTATATATGCTTTGACCTGCGTCTCCCATTCTCTCTTCCCTTCTCTACCTGTAGTAACCACTGTTTTATTCTCTGAAAGAACCATCTTAATACAGATTTATTTCATATTTTTAAATATTTCTTTTCTTTCAGATTATTCTAGTATTTTTTAGGTTTATTCTAATTTTTCATTGTAAATGAAACACAAGCTCATTACATTTTCGGGAATAAAGAAAAATAAAAAATGAATTCCGCAGAACAACCATTAAGAATATTTGAGACTATTCTCTCATAATCTTTCCACACATGTATTTTTATTTTACACAATTGAGATAATACTTCCTACACAAGTTGTAAACTGTTTTCCTACCCCCAAATTAGCTCAAAACTAAGTCCTCACGTTATTATACAGCACTTACATGCATTATTTTAGTGGCATACTATTCAAGCAAGTGGATGTGCTATAACTTAGTCTTCTACTGTTGGGCAGGTTGGTTGTTTCTACATGTTTGCCATTACATGCAGTGATGGATTGTGCTTTCTTATTCATGAACCTCTGCCCACATGATGAAATTACCAGACCAGTTTTTGAGGCATTCAGTCCAAACTGCCAGAACAATGCCTGTGGGTTTAGAAAAGCAATAGTAGCTGAGAATAAGAGAAATACTTGTTTCCTTTCACATGCCTTCTCTCATAACTGTAAGTTCCTCTTGATACCTTGCATGGGGTCTTAAATATTGTTGTTACTCATGAAATATTTGCTGTATTGTAATACCAATTGGAATTATTAGCTAAAGTTGAGAAGAGAAAAACAGAACTGGAGAGAAGAAGGGAAAGACAGGTAGATCAAACATTAGAGGGAAATACTTTGAACCACATCTGTCCCTCTCTCTGCCCTGCTGCAGTTTTCTGTTTTAAAGTCTCCACTAGGCACTTAGGGAATTGTAGAAACGGTAATACATTGAATCCAGGAAAATGAAGTGTGAAGACCCAGAGATGTGCTCAGAACATAAGGTGGAGGGGCCAAGGCAGAGTTGGGCCGCACTAGGCTGGACAGCGGTCAAGGGCTCTGGGGTTGGCCCATCTCATAGATGAACTCTAGGTGGCGCTGTGGCCACAAAAGTTTTGGGCTGAGGAATTTTGGCAAAGCTGTTAGGAATCTGTGGGTGGGAGCGAGGAAGGGAGAGAGGTAAAGAAAGAATAGTGGACTGGAGTGAAGGAGACACACACACACACACACACACACACACACACGTAGATGGGTGGGGGGGTGGGGGTGGTGGTGGCAGGAATAAGTGAATGGCTCAGACAGTGCTTGGTCCAGAAGAGAGAAAATAAACTGAGGGATCATCAAATTCATTCATTTACTTAATATAAGCATTGATCAAGCCCCATCTTGTGCCTGTCGCTGGGACAGATGGTGGGGATAAAAGGGCGCTTGAGCAGCCACCTCCCTGAGGTCCTGTGGCTTATGAGAAGTGAGTGTGATGGCCATCCATTAGCCCCCAGTGAATCAGTAGTGGCAGACTTGAGATGGACCCTGAAGAAAGAAAAGGGGGCCTATGAAGGGCTGTGATGAGGAAGTGACCTGGTTTTGTAGAGAAGGAAGGATTGCAGAGATGGTTGCCCAGTGGAAGGTACTAAAGGTGAGATCTGAAGGTAGCCAAGACTGAACCGGGGAGAGAGGATTGCCTGCAGGCTTGGCATGTTCTGCTCTGCTCCTTCTTTCATGTAGGAAGCATGTTGGGGCAGTGTCTGGCCTGCCTTCTAGAGTTTATCCAGAGTTTGTACCCTCTTTGCTCCTATTATTGTAGTTCAGTGGGCATATAGAAGTGATTCTGCAGGAATATGTTTGCTCTGCTGACCCAAATGCTCACCTGGGTGCATCACCCAAAGGACTTGTGTTGGGATAAGTTTTAGGAAGTATGATTGTGGCCATACATCAAAGCAGCCTTTTCAATCTATATTCACCAGTACTGAGGCTGATATTTTTATCTCCTCCTATATGATTCACATATCTGTCTCTCTGTTGGTTTTGAATGGAAGAGATGAGTGTGAATTATTGCCTTAGAGACAGCTAAATGCAGATGTCAGCTAGGTCTGAAACTTGGACAAGAGGTCTCTCTGGACCAGAGAGATAAATGTGAGTCACCAGTGAGAGATGGGAATGGAGGAGAAGAGAAGAGGTCTTAGGCTGAGCCATGGGGAGCTCCAACATTGAAAGGCTGGGAACAGGAAGATGATCTTACCAAGCGATCAAATGAGGGAGAGTAGAAATAAATTCAGGAGGAGGTGTCACTGAAGCCTGTAGAAGAGGGTGTTTCCACATGATTATCTCAATAGGCACAGAATAGGCTTTCAATAAAATCCAACACCGCTTCATGTTTAAAACACTCAATAAACTAGGTATTGAAGGAACATACCTCAAAATATCAAGAGCCATCTATGACAAACCCACAGCCAACATCACACTGAATGGGCAAAAACTGGAAGCATTCCCCTTGAAAACTAGCACAAGACAAGGATGCATTCTCTCACCACTTCTATTCAATATAGTATTGGAAGTCTTAACCAGAACAATCAGGCAAGAGAATGAAATAAGGGACATCCAAATAGGAAGAGAAGAAGTCAAACTATCTGTTTGCAGACAATGTAATTATATGTGTAGAAAACCCCATGGTCTCAGCCCAACAGCTCCTCCAGCGGATAAACAACTTCAGCAAAGTTGCAGGATACAAAATCAATGTACAAAAATCACTAGTATTCCTATATACCAACAATAGCCAAACCGAGAGCCAAATCAGAAAGGCAATCCCATTCACAATTGCCACAAAAAGAATAAAATGCTTAGGGATACAGCTAACCAGTGAGGTGAAAGATTTCTACAATGAGAATTACAAAACACTTCTCAAACAAATCAGAGAAGACACAAACAAATGGAAAAACATCCCAGGCTCATGGATAGGAAAAACCAATATCATTAAAATGGCTACTGCCCAAAGCAATTTACAGATTCGATGCTATTCGTATCGAATTACCAATGACATTCTTCACAGAACTAGAAAAAAAATTTAAAATTCATATAGAACCAAAAAAGAGCCCGAATAGCCAAGGCAATCCTAAGCACAAAGAACAAAGCTGGAGGCATCATGTTACCCAACTGCAAACTATACTATAAGGCTACAGTAACCCAAACAGCATGGTAGGGATACAAAAACAGACAGATAGACCAATGGGACAGAATAGAGAGCCCAGAAATAAGGCCACACATCTATGACCATCTGATCTTCTACAAAGCTGAAAATAACAAGCAATGGAGAAAAGACTCTCTATTCAATAAATGGTACTGAGATAACTGGCTAGCCATATGCAGAAGATTGAAACTGGAACCCTTCCTTATACCTTATACAAAAATCAACTCAAGATGGATTAAAGGCTTAAATGTAAAACCCCAAACTATAAAAAACCTGTAAGACAACTTAGGCAATACCATCCTGGACATAGGAGCAGGCAAAGATTTTATGACAAAGACATCAAAAGCAATCACAACTAAAGCAAAAATTGACAAGTGGGATCTAATTAAACTTAAGACCTCCTGCACAGCAAAAGGAAACTATCAACAGAGTAAACAGACTACTTACAGAATGGGAGAAAACATTTGCAAACTATGCATCTGACCAAGGTCTAATATCCAGCATCTATAAGGAACTTAAACAAATTTTCAAGAGAAAAAAAAACCCATTAAAAAGTGGGCAAAAGACATGAACAGACACTTTTCAAAAGAAGACATACATGTGACCAACAAGCATATGAAAAAAAGTACAATATCACTGATCATTAGAGAAAAGCAAATCAAAACTACAATGAGATACCATCTCACACCAGTCAGAATGGCTATTACTATTTAAAGTAAAAAAAAAAAACAACAGATACTGGGGAGATTGTGGAGAAAAGGGAACACTTATACACTGTTGGTGGGAGTATAAATTAGTTCAACCATTGTGGAAAGCAGTATGATGATTCCTCAAAGAGCTAAAAGCAGAACTACCATTTGACCTAGCAATTCCATTACTGGGTATATACCCAGAGGAATATAAATCATTCTACCATAAAGATACATGCACATGAGTGTTCATTGCAGCAGTATTCACAATAGCAAAGATATGGAATCAACATAAATGCCCATCAATGGCACAAGATAAAGAAAACATGGTACATATACACCATGGAATACTATGCAGCCATAAAAAAGAATGAGATTATGTATTTTGCATGAACATGGATGGAGCTGGAGGCTATTATCCTTAGCAAACTAACTCAGGAACAGAATATCAAATACCACATGGTGTCACTTATAAGTGGGAGCTAAGTTATAAGAACCCGTGGACACAAAGAAGGAAACGATAGACACTGGGGTCTACTTGATGGTGGAGGCTGGAAGGAGGGAGAGGAGCAGGAAAGGTCACTATTGGGTACTGGTCTTAATACCTGGGTAATGAAATAATATGTAAAAACAGACCCCTGTGACGTGTGTTTACCTGTGTAACAAACCTTCACATGTACCCCCAAACCTAAAATAAAAGTTAAAAAAATTCCCATTAACCGATGGGAGCACTTTGGTTTATAAGAAAAGGCACTTGGAGCTTAGGAGAAAAACTAGCATGGTATATGAGCTTTCCCTTACTGCCTCCCTCATACCTTGTAAATTGTCACAGAAGTCTCCCTCACTAGATTCAGTTTTAGAACAGGAACATAGTTTATTTTTGTTAAATCAATCAAATACATTTACCAAATACTGCTTAACAAAAAAAAAGAAGGTGTCTGTTAGGTTAAGAGAAAGGGAGGCCGTTGGTGACCTTAGCAAGCCATGTTTGGGAGAGTGATGGGGGTCGTATAAGCTGGATTGCAGTGGGGAAGAGAATGGGAGATGAAACAGAGGTAGCTAGTGTAGACAATTCTTTTGAGGAGTTTGTGTGAGGTGTAGGAGTAGGCACCTGTCATTCTTTTTGGTTGCCCAGTAACTGCATCATCTCCCTATTTTTGGAGAATTCTCTACCTATGAATCTTGCTGAGAAACAGAGCCTGTCTCACATTACACATGAGGAAGGTACCAGATAAATACAGTACCTGTCTTCCCAGCTGGCCTGGAGTGGGGATGAACATAGGACAAGGCTTATGTATCAGAAGTGTTATCCCAGACTCAAAATCAGGAACAAGTAATGCACAAGAGGAATGTGTTCTGAGAGCACTGCTGGCTGTAAAATGATGAGTTCCTGGGATAGCAGAGCTAGCTACAGTGGTGTAAGCAGGGCTCACCATGGCACCAACAGAAAGGGAAGCGGTGGTAGTGGTAGTGGTGATGGTGTTAGTGGTGGTGATGGTGGTGGTGGCAGTGGTGGTGATGGTGGTGGCGGTGGCAATGGTAGGGGCAGTGGCGATGGCAGGGAGGTGGCAGTGATGGTGATGGTGATGGTGATGGAGGTGATGGTGATGGCCATGTTGGTGGAAGTGATGGTGGTGGTAGTGATGGTGGTGATGGTGATGGTGGTGGTGGTGGTGGTAGTGATGGTGGTGGTGGTGATAATGGTGACGGTGGTGATGGTGGCGGTGGTGGTGGTAGAAGTGGTGGTGGTGGTAGTGATGGTGGTGGTGGTGATAATGGTGATGGTGGTGATGGTGGTGGTGGTGGTGGTAGTGGTGGTGGTGGTGGTGGTGATGGTGATGGTGGTGGCAGTGGTGATAGCGGGAGTTGTGTTGGTGATGGTGGTGGTGGTGGTGGTGGTGATGGTGGTGGTGGTGATGGTGATGGAGGTGGTGATGGTGGTGGCAGTGATTATGGTGATATTGGTGGTGGTGGCCATGACGGGGGTGGTGGCAGTGATGGTGATGGTGATGGAGGTGATGGTGGTGGTCGTGTTGGTGGAAGTGGTGGTGGTGATGGTGGTTTTAGAAGCAGACCCAAACTGGTTTCTCCAGCCTCCTGGCAATTCTGTAAGCCAACCAAGTATGTGCGCACCTGTTAATTATGTATGTATGTATGTATGTATGTATGTATAGCTTTAAAAGTACACTTTATTGAGGTACAAGTCAATGAATTTTGAAAAATGTGTACCCCTATGTGATCACTTTTGTAATCAAGATATGGAGCACTTCCATCACCCCAAAAAGTTGCCTTGTGCCCTTTTGCAGTTCATTTCCCACCGACTTCTGGTCCAAGGGAACTGCTTATTGGTTTCTATATCTATAGTTTTTCCTGTTCTAGAGTTTTATACAAATTCAATCAATATTGTTGTATCTGACTTCTTTCCCTCAGCTTAATGTTCTCGAGAGTCATCCATGTAGGTGTGTGCCTACCTACAGTAAACATGTTTATCTACAGTGGTTAATGCTTTCTTGGTGCTGGATCATATTCTGCACTATTTAATATACTGCATGTGCTTATCCACTCACCTGTTGGTGAATATTAAAGCCATATCCAGTTTTTGGCTACGATGAATAAGGCTGCAATGAACATTTGTGTACAGGTCTTTTTGTGGACATATGTTTCAATATCCTTTTAATCAGTTCCATTTTTGCTTAAATCAGCAAGTGTTGGCTCCTGTTACTTGTAGCTAAGAGATCTGACTGCAATAGAATGAGAGGAGGGAAATTAGCTGGCAGCTGGAAGGGGATGTTAGGTCACAGAGAGGATTTTATTTTTAAGGTGTAAAAGACTTAAGCATGTTTAAATATTGATGCTCATAATCTGGTTGAGAGGGAGCTGTTGAGAAGAGAAAATTGATCTTGTGAACCCCTGCAAAGGTGGGAGGGGAAGAGTTCCAAAGCCGAGGTGGCAGAAATGTCTTTGAAGGGGAGCAGAAGCAGGGCCTCAAGTGGAGCAAAGGGGAATGAGGAGAGGACAGGAAGGTGGGTATGGAGGGAGGGTAGCAGGAAGTTGAGGAAGCTCTCATCTAAGGTCTTCAACTTTTACTGGGAAGTAGCAGGCAAGATTACATACTGAGACTGAGGGAGGAGATGGGTGTCAGAGGTCTGGGGATGGGGCAGCTATGCAATGGTCATTACAAGGAGCTCAAGAGGGAAGTGATTGTGGAAATAAAGCAGCAATGCCAGGCAGCCTTGAAAGCCCAGCTGAGGCTGGTGACTATAACATAGAGTGATACCAACAGCTCCACTGTTGATGTTCCAGCATAGCTGAGGTCCTTGGAGACAAGCCTGGGGAAGGGGGTGAGGGAATGGGAGATTTTTCCAAGAGTTAGGGGCCTGTACTGAAGATCCCTGCCCTACCCCAGGATCTAGCACAGCACCCTGAGTTGTATTCTGTTCTAACATTAGTATTTGTTAAATGGATGAATGAGTTTAGAGGGCACGAAGAATGAGAGCTTAGCATTGGACTGGTAACCCCTCCTGGTCATATAGAGAGAAACCCTGATATACAGAGAGGGGAAAGGACTTGGCCAAGGTCACATGGCAAGCCCATGGCAGGGATGGGATTTACCTTTGGGTCTGTCTGATCTCAAGTCCAGGGCTCTTTTTATGATTGAATGGACAAAGAGGTCTGTGTTCAAATCCTGTCTCCACCAGTGGCTTGCCATAAGACTTCAGGCAAGTCACTTAAATGCTGGAAAGCATTATTCACTCCATTTTGTTGTTGTTGTTGCTTTTTAAAATTTTTTAAAATTTTACTTTAAGTTCTGGGCTACATGTGCAGGTTTGTTGCATAGGTATACATGTGCCATGGTGGTTTGTTGCACCCATCAACCCGTCATCTAGGTTTTAAGTCCCACATGCATCAGACTGCATTTTATAGATGTGGATACTGAGTCTCAGAGACATTGAACAGGAAGCCCTGACTATGTCACTGGAAACAGGTGGAGCAAGATTTCATGCATTCCTTTGTTTAGTCAATATTTATTGGTTGCTGGGGTAGATTAAATTTTGGGTCCCAATTCTTCATTCCATTGTAATAGGATTACACACCCACACTCTTTACCATGTACTTTTGCACTGAGAAAAGTAATTCCTCCTTCCATTGATGTTGGCTTAGCCATATGACTTGATTTGGTCGGTGGTAAATTAGTGGATGAAACACAGCAGAGGATGTAAAGGAGCTGGTGTTTTGGTGATTTCCATAAGAAGAGCGTGCTCTAGAAAGCCACCGCCCCTTCAGCCTGCCCCAGAATGAACACACACGGGCTAGACTTAAGCTCAGCTGCATCCTGGAGCCCATCCAGCTGCTCTTCAGTGTGGACATCATCACCCAACTGAACCCGGATTAGAACAGTCACACTGAAGCTGGCCTGCAGTCAGCTCCTGAGCAGGAGAACAAATGTCTGCTATTGTAAGCCATTCAGCTGGGTGGTTTGTTATGCAGTATTGTTGCAGCAGTTATTGACTGATACAGGACCAGGTCCCATGCTAAGTGTAGACTTGGCTTACAGAGATGAATCAGATACTGTCTCTATTCTCAGGAGTTCACAGTTCAGTGGAGGTGGGGATTTTTTTTTTAACAAATTCTTATTTCTAAAATTCATATCTAAATCTAAGAGGCAAATGCAAATTTGTTCAATGCTTCTTTTAAGGGCAGCCTTAGATTATCCTTGGAAGATGAAACTGACAAATAAAGAAACACTTAATAATTTCTGCAGTTTACAAACATCAGAATTTATTTTGGGATAACAAGAGATGGGTGAGCTGGGAAGCTGCCTTTACTGAATGATGTCATCAAACAGTATATTTGATGAGTCCAAAGACAAACGTCTTTGGCAACAATTTTAATGAATGAGATTAACTTGATACTTTATCCTAGAGTTGTATAAAAACAAGGATGTTAATGATTTGACCATTTTATTACTTTTTTCCCCCAATGTATAATATCATGTCTTTGCATGTTAGTTTGCAAAGTGCTTGAAGCAATTTTCAACCAAACGCGAGTGTTTGGTGAGGGTTGAATCTGCTGGACAAATCCATGGCTGTGTGAGCACCTGCACTCAGGCCACTGTGTGGTCCTGTCAGGGACTTAGTTTCCTCATCTGTAAAGGGGATAATACCACACTGTCTAGGGTCACTGGGGAGATTCACAGAGGTGATCTGAATGTAGCACACAGCACCGGCACAGTCCCACCTCCCCTACACCCACCTCCCATCTCTTCCGTGTGGGACGAGCTTCCCTGCTCTCTGGCTCCATCAATAGCTTGTAAGTCAGTTTCCCTCTCCAAGCCTCAGTTCTCCATCTGTAAACCCACCAACACCACATTGATTTATGGCTCCCTAGACTGCAAAGTCCTTGAGAGCCAGGCCTGTGTTTGACTCACACGCACAGCATCCCTAGGATGTGCCCAGGGCTGAGTGTATGATGGGCTGAGTCAAGGCTACTTTTCATGAATATTATTATTGTTTTGGTAGAGGTTTCTGTCACTACAACCCAGAGTAACACCCTTAGTAGGGCAAGGGTATAACATCCATGGTTTGGAAAGCTTGCTGTTAACTGGTGGCCCACTCATATGGACCAGAAAGAAAGTTCTTTACTTCAGCCTTCAGTCATATCCTGAAGAGCATGTGTTATTTCTCTGTGGGTCCTCATGGTCCAGGCAGGGATTGACACATTGCATACATCTGAGATCTGGCCAATGGGTCAGGCCCCTGAATTGAGGTTTGAAACCAGCCTCAAATTTTCCTATAATTATTTTATTTATTTATTTAGTCTATCTATCTATCATCTATCTATCTATCTATCTATCTATCTATCTATCTATCTATCTATCATCTCTCTATCAATCAGTCAATTATAGGGTCTCACTCTGTTGCCCAGGCTGAAGTACACTGGTGTGATCACGGCTCACTGCAGCCTCAACCTCCTAGGCTCAAGCAATCCTCCCAGCTTACCCTCCCGAGTATCTGGGACTACAGGCACACATTAGCAACACCTGGTTAATTTTTTATTTTTTTTGTAGAGACAGGGTCTTCCCATGTTGCCCAGGCTGGTCTTGAACTCCTGGGCCTGAGCTATCCTCCTGCCATGACCTCCCAAATTGCTAGGATTACAGGCACGAGCCACCATGCCCAGCCTAAATTTACCTATAATTATACACATTTCATAAAAATACGTAACCCTAATTTCATCACAAACAAAACTTTTCAACACTCATAGCACAAATATTTTTTTGAGAGCTGGCTCTGGGCCAGAGAGTGGAGGCACAGCAGTGGAGATGCAGAAAAGGTGTGAGCCACAGGCAGCTCCTGTTCTAGTGGTGGCGGTGAATGCTGACCTCAGGCACAGAGAAATCTGCAGTATGATGTCAGGTGGTGACTGGTGATACAACGAAAACTAATACAGGAAAAAGGATAGAGAAAGTCTTGGGGGCAATATTTTATATGAAATGACCAGGGAGGGCCTCTTTGAGAAGGTGACGTTTAAGCAGAGATATCAGAGGAAGTCAAGAAATGTCTAGGGAAGAAAGTTCTGGGCAGAAGGAACAAGTGCAAAGCCCTAACACCGGAAGATGCTAGGGATGTTTAGGAGTGACAAGGGGACCACTGTGGTTGGCATAGAATAAGCAAGGAGAAGGGGGTAGGGAATAATGTTGGGGGTAGGGAATAATGTCAGAGGAAACTGGATCCTGGCAGGCCATGGAAAGCAATGGTGATTTCATTCTAAGTCTGATGGGAAAGCAAGGGGGGCTCTGAGCAGGGGAATGCCATGATCTGACTTACATTTTAAAGGGTTTGTGACCTTGTCGAGTGTAGACTGGAGTTGGTGGCCACAGTGGCAACGAGGAAACCTGCTGGGAGGCTGGAGAGATGAGGGTGGCTTGCTCAGGGTAGAAGCAGTGGGGGATGAATGTGGCCCGTTTCTGGATGTGTTCTGATAGTAGAAGCAAGAGGATGGAAAGGATGTAGGGGATGAGAGGGGAGAGTGATCAGGGTTGACTCCACCATGTCTTGTCTAAGAGACCAAGTAGACAGTGGCACTATTTACTGAGGTGGGTGCTGGAGATCTGGGGGAAGACGTCACAAGTTTGGTTTTGAATATGCTGCCTGGGAGATGCTTTCTGACCTCCAAGTGCAGAGGTCTCAGTGGCAGCTGAGTGTCAGGGGAGAGGTGGTCTGGAGTGTAAGTTTGGGATTCAGCAGAGTATTTAGAACCATGAAATGGGCTAAGGTCACCGGGGGAGTGAGTGTGGACAGAGAAAAGGACTTAGACCAAGGGAGCCATTAAAAAAAAAAAAAAAAAAAGATCTGGCTACCTGTAAATATCATTACATTAGTCAGACTGCCATGTGCTGTAAGAGAGGGCAGGTATTGTAGTGTGATGGGGGTCGGAGGAGGAGGAAGATTCTTTGAAAGATGGAGTTGGGCTCGGGACTGGGGGTGGTTAAGATCTGGACATGGCAACATTTTAGTTTCCAAAAGTCAGGGCTGGGGCTGGGGCTAGGTCAGCCCCTGGCTTAGGGTAGTTGAGAAAGCACAGGTTTAGAGTCTTATGGGTCTTAATTCCCAACCTTGCAGCCACTTCTTAGGTGCGAGTTCTGGAAGAGGTGACTCACCTTCAAAAGCTCAGTGTCCATGTCTATAAAACAGGGTCAGTAGCACTGACCTCACTGGAGAAGTGCATGAGACAATTTATGTACAGTGCCCTGCATGAGAACACCAGAAAAATGAGGCCCTAAGATAATGGATATTAATGGGTATTAATGGATGTTTCATACCAGCCTTTGCATGGGAAATGTGAACTTGAGTGCCAAGTTTGTGAATCAAGATCTTACTTTAAGTCAGAGATATGTCACTTTTGAGAATCTTTCATGGAGAATCCCTTGATAAAATGTACCACCCCATAGTGGTGGGTGCTGGATGCTGACTTGGTTCTCTCTGGGCTCCAGAATCTGGACTCTGATGATCTACCCAGTTAAGTTATATCCACATAACAAAATTTGCAGGCTAAAAAAAAAAACAACTCAGAACTTTCATCTGGGGAGTGTTTGAGCCATACCCTAGAATGAAAATTATACACAGCTTACTATGTACTTAACACAATCATATTTAATTGCTCTGACGTGCCCCATCAGTGGCTTCTGAGATGGGTCTCCAATACCTCCTTACAAATGAACTGGAAAGAATGATTGCCATGGTACCTGAGGGCAGAATCCCAGTGACGGTCTGGTTTGAATTCCTTTTCTCCTTGCCCCGCCTGGTTGCTACTTGTGTGGCCTACTCCAGTGGCCTGGTTTCCAAATGTAGCCCGCTATTGATCCAGTTGGACTCATTGGGGCACCAAGAGAAAATAACTTTAATTTTTTTCCAACTCCCACTGCCCTTTTGACTGGCTATATGGCAGACCACGTCCCCATCCCTGGAGGGCCTCTCATGTAGATTCAATAGCTTTCCTTGTCACTATCAGGGACACTATCTCCTTTTCATCTACAAAAAACTCTCATCTGATCAAAATCAATCTGAATTTTTCACCAAATTCAAAGTGTTTGTTTCCCCTTAGCTCAGGGAAAGCCCAAGCCTCTTGTCCCCTCTGGAGGCTGCTTCTGGCTCCTGCAAGGATGGGTGGGAGGTGAAATGAAAGGAAAGGAGGACATTGGTGCCCTCTGTGTGGAGACATCCAAATGCCAGCTCTTTCCCTGACTAGGGGCTTATATGTGGGTTTTTTCAGAGCCACTGTGCTCTTCCTTGGTGTGGGCAAAGCTCTCCCTGGCTGGTGTCTTCCAACCCCCTTGCAGCTTCTGCTCTGACAGTCCACTCCTCATACCCTGAGGATGGCTGGCTTCAATCTGGCCCATTGGTTGGCTGGTTGGGGAAAGGTGAGAGGGTGGGGGCATATGAGGTTCCAAATCAGTTTTGCTATCCCTCAGCAAGTCCTGCATGAGTGGACTGGCTGCCTTCTTCTGAATGGGAACATACTATCTTCAGCTTTGGAGCCTCAGATGTGACTTCCAGATACCAGGAAAAGTTCCAAGTAATATTCTGTTATATAACATATTAACTTTCTCAACTCAAATGCTCAACTTTTATCTTCAGCATAGAAGAATGGTTAAGTCTGCAGTTCTGGAGTCTGACATTGGCTGGGTGACCATGAGCAAATCATTTAACCGTTCTGGATCTCAGTTTCCTGATCTGTAAAGCAGAGGCAATGGCCTTCACTCTCAAGTATGTTGTTTAGATTGATTTGTTCTTCAGGTGCCAGGTGGCACATAGCAAGCCCTCAATAAACGGAAGCCCTTATTTGTATGTTTCTGAGGAGTCTTCATTTCCTCCAACCTAGACTGGATGTCAGTGCTTCTTGCTAATCCAGGTACCATTCCCTCCTGCCATTTGCCTGGCCTGCATGGCTGTCTTTGATAATAACACTTAGTGTATCTCGAGCATCACTATCTTATTTGCATCTCACAACAACCTTGCAGGATACATATTATCATCATTCCCATTTACAGATAACAAAACTGAGATTCAGGAGGAGGTTGAGTCACTTGCACAGGGGCAAACAGCTTGTAAATAGCAGAACTGGGGTTTGCCCCCAGACCTGTCTGATCTCAGAACCTGCCTGTTCTACCACTCGTTTTATCTCCTTAATTATCTGTCCTGTCTCTTTGTGCCCTCTGCCAAGAGTAACTCTTCTGCACTCTATGGACATAATAGCGGATCCTTTGAATGAAATCACTTCCTGCTTGGAGCGCACCCTGAAAATGGATCCCTCACTGCCCAGTAAAATGATACTTCCTGTGTTACATAATAACAAATTCCCAAAGCAGATTTGTAGAGGTAATATTGACTCCATCCACTTCCTGTGTATGGTTATTCAAGTTATATAAAGTTGCATTCTCATGAAAAGCATCCGGTTACTGTTGGTTCAGTACCTACCTGGTGTCCAATGCTGGATTAGCCAAGAAGGGAAAGGTGTTTTCTGATCTTAAGCCTAGAATCTATTTTGAGTGTAAGACAGGTAAAAAAAATTACTGCCAGTGCCAAGATGTTTGTAGTAAATACCTGTGAGGGGTCACCAGAAGTAAGTACCATAGGAACTTAAAGGTGGGAAAAATCAAGTGGCTGGGTGGGTGGGGAGGGGTAGGGAGGAAGTCACAAAAGGCTTCCCGGAAGATCTGGAGCTGGGGCTGAGCGTTGAAGGCCAGGTAGAATGTGCAGAGGTGAAGGTGAGAAAGACATGTTTGGTGTGTTTGCAGCAAAGGAGCAGGGGCCCAAAGAGGCAGGAACCCAGCATGGGTGCAGAGACTCATTTTTCCAAAACAGTCTCTCTTTTACAACCATGAGCCTCTTTGCTCCCTGCGTGGAGATTTTTATGACCCCATCCATCTGTTTGCAGTCAGCCTTAGGTTTGCTTTGAAATTCAAAAGCTGAAAGGGAAGTGTTATATTGAAGCCAGAGCAGCAGGCTGGGCAGCTTTCTCAGAGGAGGAGGGAGCGGCCTCATGGAGCATTAACCACTGCAGGCAAACACCTCTTCTTGTTGGCCTGAGTCCCTGTGAAGTATGGGACCAGGAGCGCTCAAAGGGGCGGTGGATGACCAGCCAGGGAGGAGCTTCCAGCACGGGTCTGAGCTGACGGCTTCATGCTCACCAGTAGGCAGGCCGTGAGCGTGCACGGCCAAGCATGGAGATTCAGGAGACCTTCAGCTGGGGCTTCGTGCCCGCTCCGGATCCGTCCGGCCTGTGTTTATTTCTCTTTCCTGCTCTGGCAGACGGGCCTGGGCCCGCTGGGAGAGTTGGCTCAGCCCTCCCTGGCTCCTGAATTCCCTAGCCCAGCTACCACCCCCTGCATTCCTTAGGAGCCTCAGTGTCCCAGAGAGACACGATTTTTTCCATCTTCTTGAATAAAAGACTTTTAGGGACAGTCATTGATCAAATCCAAAATCCACAGTCCGGGCTTCCAAGTCCTGCTCCAGACCCTCTACTTCTCTCAGTTCCATGTGCTCTAAGACCACACCCTCGCTAACATGCTTTGCCCAGCGCCTCCTCTAGCACGTCTCTCCATGCCCTCCTTCTCTGTCATTCATACAGCCACCAATGGTCTACGGCCCCCACCCCCCTCTTGAAAGTCCTGCTGGATGGCTCCGTCTTACCCAGCCTGTCCACGCTCCACACTGCCACAGCTGTCTTCCCTGCCTCCCCTTCTGAGTACCCCCTGAGCCCACTCTCTGTGCCCCGCCCACCACTAACTCTGGCTGCACCTTCGTGCCTCTGCCCGAATGTGTGTGGAACGCTCCTAACGTGGATTTGGAGCTTCTCTTCATGTCCTGGAGACCTTAAAGGGCCCCTTCGAAAGAGGATCAAGCTGCCAGGCTGGAAGCTGCTAAGGGCAGCAACTAGTTGTTGGGCTTTAGCATTTGATGCAAATTAATTTTTTAGAAGGGGTGGCTTTAAAATTTGGGAGTTTTATTAAGAGGTTAGAGGGTAGAGAAAGATCTTGGAATCCTAACCTATCAAACTTAGAAGGCTCTTCAAAGATCATCTGCTCTAATTGCTGCATTTTTTTGAATAGGGAAACTGAAGCTCAGTAAGGAGATGCCATTGGCCTAATGTTATTTATGAAGTCAGTGGCAAAGCAGGAATGGAACTCTCTTTGGGTCCTGAATTAGTCAAAATCTTCCACTCACAGCACCTGGGGTTCTTGAGCGAAGCTTGAAGCATTGTGGAAATTCAGGGGCACATGCTTCTTCCCTCTTTCAAGAACCATGATAACATGCATTGAAGTTGATTTTGCAGATATAAAGCACTTCAGGCCTGTTGTCTCAGGTCATCGCCATTATAGCTCTATAAAGTAAGTCATATTTATCTCCATTTCCCAGATAAGGCTAATAATACCAGGGTTAAGTGACATGCCCAAGGAAAAATAACCAGTAGGTAGCCAAAGAGGGTCTTGGGCTCAGGCCTGTTGCTATGTGCAATGTGTCACTCTACCTCCTATTCCTCGAAAGGTGCTCCACTCTTTTAGAAAATCATGCAGAAAAGGCTGCAGTAGAAAATAGAATAGCTCCAGGATCCAGGGACTGGTACAACAGCTCAGGACATTTCATTTCTCGTAGTGGAAAGAAACATCTAGAACAGGGGCTCTTTATCCTTTCAGACCCAGGATCCCATTTTATCACAAATACTTTAAAGTGTCCCTTCTGTACTGAAATGAAACTTATGAATAATATAACACACCTACACATATGATTTTTTAAAAATTAATTCAGTGCCCTAACTATAAGGAAAAAGAAATAGTAGCTTATAATAAAATAATATGTAATTTGGTTTGTCCACACTTGGGTACATCAACACTTGTAGACATAATGTAATAGTCAAAGCTTGTACCTAACTGTTGAGTCACCCTGAAAGTGACAGCTAAAATACCAAGGAGTACAGCTGTGTGTCTCTCTGACACCCGGAATACACAGGCATTGTTGTTAGTAAGGTGGCACTCAAAAATAGTGAACAACTCTTGGTAAAGTTCAGAACAAAATGAAGCACATTCTTCTCTCAATATACATGGCAATTACATTCCTGTAAGATTTAGTGCACATTAAACCTTTACAAACAAATACTACGTGTTTACGTAAAATGGATTCAGGTTCTAGGCTCAGATAATTACAAATGATTTTTTTTTCTCCCCTAATGAATGTTTGGCAAAACATGCAAAAATTTTGCAGGATGGGGGATAATTCTTTATGTGGGGCTCTTAGCAGGTCACTAAGTGTCGCTAGCCCTTGACCACAACTACCCCCGCACCACCCCGCCCCTGCAACAGCTGTATGAAAGCCAAAAACTCCCCGACGAATTCCCAAAGCATCCTATGGGTGTTGATACTACCCCTGCTGAAAAACACTAATTTGGAGATTTTCTCTGAGAAGCCAGGCATGAAAGAGGGAAGGCTCAGACCTCTATTGTACCTAGATGTTTGGATTTCTCTCAGTTTTGCTTTTGATGAACATAATTTAATACTAACCTTGGATGATGCTTAGTCTTCAGACTTAAAATTAATGCAATAAATGTTGACCACGTGTCCTCTATTTTAAAGACTATTCATCCAGGGGATGGAAAAATGAATATGACCTGGGCTCTGCATGCACGGCTTTCCCTTTATCATATTCTAAGGGTGATAAGCCATACGAAACCCATCATCTAAGACTGGATGCATACAAAGGCTGGGGCTTCAGGAGAGGTGGAAGTGTGAGCCCGGGGGACCAGAGCACGCTTCTACGAGGAAGCACAAATTAAGTGAGGCCTTGAATACCAGGAAAGAAGTTTTCAGGTGAAAATAGGGGGAATGAGCAGCTAGCTGTGGAAGGGACAGTGGGGATGGAGATGGAGTTGGGAAATTGCAGATACGTTCAGGGAGCCCGAGTAGCTCTCTATGGCTGGAGCATGGTTTTAGGGGAGGGGAGGAGACACATGTCTGGAGAGATTCGTTGGGCAAACTGTAGAGGGCCTGTGAGGGAGCACTGCTGGGAGGGGAAGGGAGGGGGAGAGGAAGCAAATGCACATTCCATATTAATTTTAACTTCTTGAGGAAGGTCCCCAGTACTATGGTAACCATCACATACTTGATGGATGCTACTCAGTGTCTGCCTCCCCCACCGAGCTGCAGGCTCTGCATTTCTCTAGTTGGGCCTGGCACCCTGCAGGCTCAGGTTTGGGATGTGGAAGGCTTTTGGACCCAAGGTGAACTGGACTCTTTGGGCCAGTTCTCTGTATCTAGGTGAGCCAGTGTGCTGAGGCCAGAAGGGGGGCCTGGGAGTCTGGACTCCTGGGTTGGCCTCCGACTCGCACATGCCAAGAGGCCTTGGGTGGGTCCATCTCTTGGTGTTCCCCTTATCTGTTCAGTGAGGGGCCTGAGCCCACAGAAGAATCATGTCCCCTCCAGCTCCCACTTTCCTGCCTTGTTCCGTCAGGTCACCTGTTTAGAGCCTGAGGTCACGACCTGAGTAGCACTGCCCCCTGGTGGCAGCTGCTGGATGGCAGGAGAGACAGTAGCACCTTCCAAGTCCAATCCCCCTACCAGTACCACCTTCCAAGTCCAAGCAGAGGTTGGCCCAAGCTTCAGTGTCTGTCTTTGGGTATGGCTCCAGAGCAGAGGGGTGGGCAACTCAGCAGAGTCAGTCCCTTCCCAGGGGACTCCCAGTAGTGCTTCCAGTGCCCTCCCATGACCACCCACCATCACTGAGGAAAGTCCCTGGGACCACATGACTTCATGGGTCATTCTGTCCCTGGGATCGGGCAAGGGGCATAGGGGGAGGTGGGGCTCAGGAAATACCGTCCTCCCTCATCTTCATCATCATCACCACCACAAAGCTCTTGGAGTCTACGAGCACAGGCAAACCTGCCTTATCCTAAATCCTCACGGTATCTCTGTGGGGTGAGGCTATCCTCTCCCATTTTATTGATGGGAAAACTGAGATTCAATGGGAGGAGGAGATGGCCCCAGGGCATCAGGCTTTTCCTCGACCTCTATGCCACTCCTCTGTTCTTAAGCTGCCTGGGGCTCCTGCTGCCCACCGGGTGGTGTCCTCATGCCTTGACCTGTGAGTCACAGCCTCTAAAGCCTGATTCCACCAGCTCCAGAGAGTATCCCCTCTGCTGCCACTTGGAGCCTGGGCACTCTGAGGCCAGCCCTCCACCTGTGCTGCTGGTCTCTGCTGCCTGTGGGGGTGGCAGTAACAGCTAACACGTGCTCTGGGCCTTGGTTTCCAAAGCTTTCTTACATCCACCATCTCATTAAAACCTCACTGCAGCCTGTGCCAGAATTAGTTTTATTAAACTCACCATAGAGATGAGAAAAACGAGGCTGAGAGAAGGGAGGGACTACCTGGCGCAAAAGCAGGTCCAGGACTCTGGCTCCCCCTGACCATAAGCCCAAGACCCCGACTGAGCCGGGACAACCTCTGGGACGGGGTGAAGGGTGAGAGGCTGAATGCGGGGAGACTGGCTGGCCCTGGAAGCAATCTGTGTTTTCAGGTCTCCCCGGGAGCAGGAAGACTGCTGGACCCAGGAGCTGTCTCCAGTGGCCCGTCTGTCTTGGCCCCTCAAGCCAGGCCCCAGCCTGTGCTGTGGATCTGAACCAGGCCTCCTCCCTCTTGCTGAGACCCTGCTGTGTTCTGACTCCAGCCAGTCCTGCCTCTCTCTGTTTCCACCCATGCTCGTCTGTGTTTTTCTGCCTCCCCATCCAGGCTTCTTCCGATGACTCCCTTTCATTCTCCCCCTTTCTCTCTGCCTCTCTCTGCTTCTCTGTTGCTGTCTCCTACTGTGTCTTCACTCTCTCTCCATCCATCTTTCTATGTGTTTTTGTCTCTTTTGCTTATCTTCTCCTTCACTCTTCGTCCCCACCCTTGGTCACCATCCTGCTCAGCCCCCTTGTCCCCCTCTTGGGTCTCAGGGCAGCAGAGGTGAGGGAACACTGGGAAGGGATGTCTGGGGACCTGCAAGTCCCCAACCCTTCCTTGCCTGGGAACTTGTGTCTTCAGGTTGGGAATTTTATCACTGTTTTTTTGTGGCTGATCAGGGAGGAAGAAATGAAAACTAAGAAAAAACAAAACAACAACAACAAAACAAACCAGGAACTGTTTTGCAAGCCCAGAACCAACTGATATGAAACAAGATTTTACGAATATTTTCTGAAAATAATTTCATTTTGCGATACCGTAACAGTGGCCAGCCCAGCTCCCCTGGCTGGCGGCTGCTATGAGCAGCAGCTGGAGCCCCTACCTCCTCCCCTCCAAGCCCAGCCCATCCCAGCCTTCATTCTGTCCTGCTGGCTAGGCCAGGGTGCTCCCTCTGCTGCAGCACCCCTAGAAGGTAGTTGTGAGGTGGGGGGTTTCTTGCCTGCCTGAGAGAGCCCTGCAGCTCCCAAGTCCCTTACCTCATGAAAGCCCAAGGCTGGCAGGTCTAAACTTGTTATTCCCAGCTACCTGTAACCCAGTATTGCTACTGCAAAGTACCTGGTTAAGACACTCTTGGCACCCTACTCTGTGGCTGAGGTTCCAAGCCCTCCCAGAGTGCATGGGCTCCCTGGGGCTCACACACTTGTGATCTTGGTCTCCAGCTTGCAGCCTCTGCTTTACCCCATGTCTACTTGGGGGCAATCAGCCCCTTCCATGGTACCACCCCGCTCCGTCCCAAATCTTCACAGGCCATGAGGACCTAGTGGAGACTGGCAGAGCAGATGGGGGTGGGGTTCTTATGGCCACTGTGAAAATGACTGCTGTTGGCAGGTTTTCTCCCCATCAACGAGATGTTCCTCCTCCTTCACTTTCTCTCCATTTGCCTAGCTCCTGACTTCTCATCCTTCTCTCTTGATTTCCTCTGTCTCCTGCTCTCCTTTTCAGGAGTAAAATGATAAAATTCCTACCCCAGTCATAAAGAATACCTTCTCTCTACCTCCTTTGAGGTGGGAGACAGTGGTTTTCCTTCCTACCTCAAGCCCTGATAGAAGCAGTCTTTCAAAGAAAGATGCTGCTCTTTCTAAAAGGAATTTTAGTGACTACAATTTGCTCCACTTTTTGCTCTTTCTATGCAGATAAGGAGACAGAGGTCCAAGAATGGCAGAGCTTGCCCAAGGTCACACAGCGGGCCAGCTGAGCTGGGACTGAAACCCAGCACCCGTTGTCCTCATCTCAAGAGTCCGGCTGCTGCAGGACATCATTGTCCGATGGTTCCTCTGAAGGGCTAGGCTGTTGAACCCTAGATGTTCAGGGACAGAAAGGCCTCAGAGAATGCAGAAAGATGGAGAGGGAGTGAAGACCTGCTGCCGTACGGAGAACAGTGTGTCAGGAGCTCTGAGGAATCCCTCGCCCCTCCCTCAGCCACCCATTGCGTCATGTCTGAGAGCCTATTTCTGGGCCACGGCCTCTCCAGGGAGTAAGTGAGCTGGGCACTACCGCCCCTAAGAAAGGACAAGACCTCATTCGCTCACCGAACTTCTGGGTGGATGGATGACAGCAGCCTCCTTCCTGTGTGTGAGGGGCAGAGAGGACAGGGGTCACAGCCACAGCAGGAATCCTCACACCATTGACGTCAGCTCTTAAGACCATCATCGGGTGTGGTGGGGAGTGGGGCAGGGCTTCTCTGGATCTCTGCCCAGAGTCTGATGAGTGGGACAGAGGTCTGGGCAGGCTCCTGGACATGGAAGAGGCTCACTGTGTTGGGCCTCAGTCGCTTCCTGACTTTGTCCCCCGCCTGTGAAATGTGGATGCTGGATGCATCCTCGCCCACCTCGCAGGCCGCAGCCCACACCTGACATCGCGGAATTGCCGGATAAAAATGAGAATAGGCCTGGAGCTGGACTACTTGGGTTCCCAGCCTGGCTTCAGCATTTATAAACTGTGTTGGGTTACTTAACCTTCCTGTGTCTCAGTTGCTTCATCAGTAGACGGAGATAAGGAAGAGCAGCCACGTGAGTGAAATGATTTAGTATTTATAAATGCCTAGAACATTGTCTCATGCATCATAAATGCTCAACAAATGTTAGCTTCCAGTTGCATTCTTGTCACCCTATGTGCAGGTGAGGCCACTGTGTGGAGTCCATATTCCTCTTAGTAGGAACCAAAAGAACTCAGTAACCATGGGCAATAAATCACCTCTGGTAGAGGCTTCTGGGGCTTTAGAATAGAGTCCTCTTCCTCTCTAAACTTCTCAGTGACCTGTCCCTCCTTCCCCGCAATTCCAGTGACTAAGTCTCTCCCGGTGAAACTTGCTGCAGGAATACCTTGTGTGGTTCCCAGTCAGCTGACACTGGACGGTATGTTGTGCTGTGATAGAACAGATATGACATGTTGTATTTGAAGTCTTCCCTTCTTTCTTTCCTCTTTGTTTACTCCATCATTCTTCCACAAGTCCCCACTATATATAGTGTCTATATGGCATACATAAACGACTGTGCTGAGGCTGACTTCACAGAGAGGCAACCCGTGGCCCTGGCACGAGGAAGCCAAGGGGCAGAGTGGGCACTACAGATCATCTCAGCACAACCTTAAGTGCTCCGAGGAACAGCGAGCTGTAGGATCAGAGGGGAGGCATGGCTTGGGGAGTTGGGGAAGTCTCTGTGCAACAGATACCACTGGAGCTGGGTTGTGCAGGATGTGTAGGAGTTCAACAGAGCAATGGGTGAGGCATAAAGAGGAAAGACTGGCAGTGCTGTGGAAACAGCAAGTGCAGAGGTGGCGGGTGGTGAAGCGGGGGATGGAGTTAGAAAACACTGAGGCTGGCAGTAACTCTGGAGTGTGGAATGCTGGGGGAAGACTTGGCAAGGCGCGGCTTTCTTGTAGGAGGCATGGGCAGGGACCAGATCTTAGAGGGCCTTGTGTAACCTTTGTCAACCTCGAGGAGACACTGAAGAATTTTCAAAGCAGGGGAGATATGTGGTCATTTTTGTTGGTTGACAGCGCTCTCTGGCTGCCGAAGGAAGAGTGGACTGGAGGGGCCTGGCTAGGTGGCAGGGGCTCAGGTAAAAGGTCTGGACCAGGGTGGAGCAATGGGGATGAGGGAGTGTGTAGGAAGAGCTGATCGGGAAGAATCAGTAGGTCTTGGTGAGTGAGAAAGGCAAAAAAAAAGGGAGACTGCAAGCCTGAGCCCCAGATTTGAGCTGTGTTTAAAGTCCCCGAGCAGCTCCTTCTCCACATCGTTGGGCAGCTCAATCTGGCTGGGGAGAGGGTATCTGGACCTCATTTGGCATGAGGCCTCTCAAGCCATTGGGTTCCTGCTGAAACCATCCTCCCAAAGTCTGCCCGATTCTGTGCATGAAAACCGGGCTCATTCCAACTCCTCTGCTTCACTGCAGGCCTTGGCCCTCACAGCAAAGGCAATTTTCCTGAACGTTCCCTGGCAGGAAGAGAGGAGCTGTCACACAGAAACACTAAGCCATTGAATTCATAATATCTTTTATTAATATATTATGCTACAAAAATATTTTTGGCAAAATAACATTAATAGCATCTTTCTTTGTCTTCTATTTATACTCTTAAAGGACTCTTCATGATAATTCACAGAGGTGAGGGGCAGAGGTGATAAGAGAACAACATCATGAATACCTTTCAAATACATGAATCTGAAGCCTGTGTTGCACAGTGAATCAACTCGGGGACAAGCTCTGTGAGGCTCAAGAATGGGGCAGGGGCTCTGGCTTCCTCTGTTCTGGGCTAGAGCCTCCTTTGGCTGAATCAGCCCCTGCCCACCCCAGCCACTGGGGACCCAAGATGTCTGAGAGCCCTTTGTCCCTGGCAGCTCACCGGAAACATCTTAGACTTGGATCCCGTTCAAAGCCCACTTTCCCCACAGCAGGACTGGGATGAAGGGGGCCTTGGAGGCATGCTACTCTGTCACCTTTCCCACCTCCACATGCTTTCAATCCCATGGCAGCCTGTGGGTCCTGGGAAGAAAGCCAAGCACCTCATCTCCATGGAGGCCCAAGATTGTCCATGTCACCCCTGCCCTCCAGCCCTAGAACTGCCCAGGCAGGAATCAAGGTCTTCATTTGACAGATGAGGAAGTGAAGGCTCAGAGAGGGACAGGAACTTGCCCAAGGTCATCCAGCAAAGTGAAGGAGTATCCAGAGTATCTCCGGAAAGGAAGAGCCCAGCTCCCACTTGGAGAAAGGGTGAGGATAGCCGATGCTCCCTGGAAAGAGCCAAGTAGGGGGTCAATCAGTTCTCGTGAACCCTTTCCTCCCCTGGGGTCAGGGAGTGGGGCAGAGCGGGAAGGAGCTCTGGGCTGGGCTGCAGGCCTGGGTTCCAGTTCACTCCTCCTCCACCTTTCAGAAGTTCCCCCACCCAAAGGCAGCAGTCAAGCCCAGCTGGGTCATTGAAGGGGGCGCTGTGAGGGGTGGTGGTGGTTGTGGGTGGAGTGGGGAGGCTGGACTTATTCCTGAACCTTACTGGTTTAGACAGCCAGCGGGGTGATTTTTTTTGGCTGCTCAGATGAATTTCTGGAAAAATAACAATGTTCATAGAACTTGATCATTGCAGAGCCAGGAGGGACCCTCAATGTCATCTACACCAGGCCCTTGGCAAGATGTCAACTCTCCTACCACTTCTTCAGCCAGTGGGCACACTGCCCCTGCTCAAACACCTCTCCCGATGGGAAACCTGCCACCCTTGGGGGCTCCGGGCCATCCCCAGACAGCTTTGGCTTGGTGGAAATTATGCCACTGGTGGAACTAAGGTCTGCCTCTCTCCTTCTTTTCTGCCTTCATTCCTTTCTTCCTCCCCTTCCTTCAGCTTCCTTCCCTTCCTTTCTCTCTCTACACATCTGTTGAGCACCACCTTTGTGTCAGATGAGGGTACAAAAACAAATTTACATGACCCCTGCCATTAAGCTGCTCACAGTCCGAGAGGAGCAGATACACACTAGATAGTCACAACACTGGGCAGTGGGTATTGTGATAGATGCTAAGAAAGCACAAAGGAATGGGAGGGGGCTTCCTGGAGGAAGTGCTATCTGTGTTGATCCTCAATGGATGAGCAGTTACAGGGGAGAGAAGGGAGTTTCCAGGGGTAGGGAGCAGCATGTGTGAAACATCCTGTCTATTCTAGAGATGACTGCACATCACGCTGGCCAGGCACAGGGTAAGAGACATGAGAGACGTGGCTGGTCAGCAGGGTTGGGTCACGAAGGGTCTAGCGGACACTTCAGGGTGAGGCTGAGGACTCTGGTTCTTATCTCACAGTCACTGAAAAACTATCACCAGCCCCAATTCTGCTGTCTGCCACACAGGATGCCATCAAAGCTGCAATTCCCTGGAGAACTTCTCTTGTCCTTCACAGCATTTTCAATAGACTTTCCTTTTGGTAGAAGGACTTTCCCTCCTCTTTGGGATCCACTGTGACAATGGCCCTGGGCTGGAGATTAGGCAAGTGGGACAAGGGGCCTGAGCACCTAGGCTTGTCCAGGTCTAGCCGAGGCCAGGAAGTTGTAGATAACACATTATTTAGCATGAAGAAAATATGCTTAGGGTCTTTCAATGCAAGGACAAATTTGTTCATAACCAGCACAAGGTTCCATGCTTCCTAGATCCCAGATCTTTGACTCTCAGGACTGGAGGCATCCTCAGCAGCCCTTTGCAGCTCCCTGGCAGCCTGATTCTTCTCCCTCCACTGTGGATGACAGGGCTCTCCCTGTCTTCATCTGGCTGCTGGTGCATCAGACCCACCACTGGAGGAAGACCTGGGGACATGGCCATTCCAACATGCCCCAGAGAGCCCTTCATCACACAGTCAGCTTTCGTGAGAGGTAGAGGACCCAGGGCCACAATAACATGCTGCCCGACCTTAAGCAGATCACTTTACCTGCTGGGTCTCAGACCTTTCATCTTTCCTGCCTGCCTCACAGTCAAACAGAAAAGTCTAAGAAGTGCACACAAATTTCTCAGAGCAACAGGAGCATTTTATGAGGCTGGGCACAAAGAACGTTTCTGGAAGAAATGTCAGTTAGTGGTGGATAGATCGTGTCAAAGGTGTGGGTTGCTGCTTATGGAATGGTGGTTCTCTGGCCCAGGATGAGAGAATTCAAGTGCCCCAGACATGCAGATTCCTGCATATGTGCCTCAAGTCTTTTGGGTCATAAGTCAGCAAGTTGAGTTCATTTCAGACCCTGGCCAGCTGGTGGTCCTCAGAGATCAGTGAACTTTGGCAACAGATGTCTGACCACATTGGCTCTTGCTCTCCTGTAGGTACATGTCTACTCCATCGGTTAGTCTAGCCATCTTTCTTTAAACACTTGAATTAGGGTAAGGGAGAGTTTAGGATCCCCTAATATGCCCAGAGGAGGGATCTGGGAAAGACTAAGGCTGAATCTTCCTGAAGTTAGGGGCCAGGACGACGTAATCTAGCATTGCACTGCTTGTCCCATCTTGATAATGAGTTCCTCTGGGCCAAGGAGAGTGGTTAGATTCAGCTCTAATACAGAGCCTGGCATTGCATGTGCTCAGTAATTACAAGCTGCATTAATTTACCTTCTTGGCTCAGTGCCTGGCACAGATCTGGGCACACGGTCAGGTGCCTGGACTGTTTACCCAAATGCTTCATCTTTAATTAACCTCAAGCTCCATCTCAATACGTCTCACGCCATACTCTGCCCCAAACAGAGAGGAATCTGGCCTGTGTGCTTCTAATTCCTTTACACTTATCTCATCCAAATAGTGCACTGCACGATCCGTTTGATGTCCAACTTCTGAGCCTGCTTTATAAGTCAGCTAAGCCCCTTCCCGCTCAGAAATAGGAAGTCACATTTTTGCCAAGGATAAACCAACTCCAGCCTGGATTGAGGTCAAGTTCAGTTTAGAGCATGGTGCCCACAGGGCTGGCTGGGCCCTCTAAGGCAGAGCTCCAGTCTCCTGCCAGGTCTCAAGCTCAAACACGTCCATCAGGGCTGAGCTGTAAAGAATTCAGCTGCCTGCCAAGATGCCCGTGGGACTCCTGACCATCCCATGAGCTGCCCAGAACTTGCCGTCTCAGAAGGGAGATAGCTGCCAAGCTGGGCAAGATGGCACTGGGGCCAATTAGCTGCCATCAAGCCTGCCAGGGAAACCCACGAAGCTATAAAGTTGGGGTGCACTGGGCTGGGAGTCAGCAGGCCCACCCGGCTGTGCAGCCTTGGAGAAGTGTCTCCTCTCTGTGGGCCTTATTATTCCTCCTACTGTTACTATTATCCATCAAGTGAAGGGTCCTTTCTGCTGTCAGGTTCCAGGACTCTGTAATTACTGAGGCACCTGCCCCATAGGGTTTCAGGCCTCCCAGGTGGGAGTTAGCCCACCTGGGTCCTCTGTCTCCTCAACCACCACCTTGAGGAGCCGAGGGGCTAAAGTCTCTCGGAGTCCCTGTCACCTGCCTCCCCACTTGGCTGCTGTGCCTCCCCAGGTGCCCCACAGCTGTGCCCACCTCTCAGCCTTTGATTTGGCAGGAAAGCTTCTCGTGGGCTCCAAGATCTGGCAAGTCAGGACATGCGACACATGGCACATGCAGTTGCCAGAGCCCTTTGGCCAGAGGGGTCAACATAAGCAGCCGGCCAAAAGGTTTCTTGGTGGAGTGAAAGCTTGTGCTGGCCCCAGTTTGGGTGAGATCTGCTCCCTTGCAGAGAGAACGTGGCAGAACAGGGAACAGGAGGCAGGAATTGTTTTGCATCACACTGATCTGGGGCCACATCCTGGCTGGGGGATCTTCAGCAAGTCCCTTCGCCTCTTTGGGGGGCTCAGTTTCCTCATCTGTGAAATGGGGATAGTCACATCTCACAGAACTAGCGCAAGAATCAGTGAAGCAAGTGTGCAAAGTGCTTGCCACGCTGCAGGCTTTGGAAAAATGGCAGCTCTCATTACTATTAACATCATGTGAGGCCTAAGCCCCTGTCTCTAAAACTGCCCTCCTGTGCCCACTCCAGTCCCTCGGCCCAGCTCAATCCATTTAGCCAGGACTTCAACAGCCTCTCCTTTAACCCAAGCTGGATTCATGACACCAGAACAGAGAGGTCTGGATTTATGTCCTCACTCTCCCACTTGCCGTGTGACCTTGGGCTACCCACCTGGTTCTCTCTGGATCTCAGTTTATTCATTTGTTCTGTGGGGTGGGGACTGCTTTCCTCAGCACCAGTATCCCACCTCCCACCCCACCCCAGCGCTTTGGTTGAAAACACTTACCAAGAGCTCTGGAGGGCCAGATAGACACTCAGGGGTTTCACAATAGCAGCATTCTCTTTCCTAAATTATCTTCCCAGGCCGCGGGTGCATCCAGCAGAGGGGAGGATGGCCAACGTTCACACCTCTGGCTCCCAAATCCAGCTTCACAAAGGCTAAGCCTGCCTGCCTGCCCCTCCTGCTGAGGGCCCCACAGTCGGAGAAGCCAAACCCAGACCCAGGAGGCTTCGGTGATCCAAGAGCAAGCCAGTCCAGAGCCACAGTCCACAGGAGGTCACTGATGTCCCGGGTTCCCCTCCCGGGCCAGCACTAGGGCTAGGGGGTTATAACACAGGCCACATAAGAATAGTTTTATCGGTAGAATAAATACATTTTTCTTTTTTAATATGGACACGTATTTTACAAAAGAGCCCCATAGCACTATGGGAAATTAAGATCCTTCTACAAAAAAGAAGATGTAACTTGGGTACAGTAAAGCTCTAGAGTGTCTAGCCAATCCCATGTGGACTGCCCTCGACGTGTTGGGCACCCCCTGGAGGTGGTGGCAGGAGCAGTTGGGTGTGGCCGAAGACCCCTGTGTCATTTCTCTGGCTTCTCCACTTGGGGTGGCCGAGGTCAGGAGGGCCCAAGGCTATGCAGCAGGAAGCAGACAGCGATGGTGGTGGCGATGGCGGGGAGAAGGCCCAGGGTGGGTGCCGAGCTGCTGGCGGGCCCTGGCGGGTCCTGCTGTTGTAGCTGGTCTGAAAGCTGGAAGGGGGGCTTGGCGGTCCCCGAGCTGTGGGTGGGCTGCAGGGGCAGCGGGGGTGGTGAGGCGGTGGTGCTGGAAAGGAGGAAGCACATGGCAGAGTCACCATCGGCAGCCTCGTCCTGGGCAGAAGCCTTGGGGCTCAGATCTGATTTTTTCAGGTCTATTTTGCCTAATACAATGGAGAAGGGAACAAGGAGCTTGAGCAGGCAAACCGGGCAGCCCAGAGCCACACAACCAGCCTGGCTGAGCTCCAGAGTCCACACGGACCCCCTTTGCCGGGCTCTGGGGGATGGGCCAGGCCCTGGCAGCCACAGGTTGTCACATCTCAGCCACTCAGATGTCACCACTCGAGAGAATGGGTCCCAGGCAGAAAGAATAGTGTTTTGGGGAGATAGATCTGGGGTACCATGGGGTGGTCAGTCATCGACGTACACAGGTGCCCTGCCTGCTGGCTGCTCTCCCCTTGCAGACCGCCAAAACACGCAGAAAACAAGACAAGCAACCCCACCGCGTTCCCTGCCATTATCATAACTACCGCTTGTTGAGCATCCATCATGAGCTCAGCACTTTCCAAGCAATATTTCTGATCCTCATAACAAGCCTTCAAAATGGGTCTCATTGCTCCCTTTCCATGAATGAGAAAACTGAGGCTCAGAGAGGCTGTGTGGTGGCTGGCGGGGAGGCTACCTGGTGGTCAGGTCCCAGAGGAAAGTGGGAGTGGGACGCCATGAAGCAGGAGCCCTGGGTCTGCCTTACTTTGCACAGTTGCAGGATATGTTTAGTGAGAGGTGCAGTCTTTCACGAATTTACAAAAACAGAATCTAGTTTTGGAAATAACAGGTGAGATTCTTGGCTCAAGAAAGCCCACGTGACAGAGAGAGATGGAAGGAGAGTCAGGGCAGGAGCCAACTGGAAGCTGACCTGAGCCCAGCACACGGTGGCCTTGGGAAGCTGGAGGCGGGGGCAGGGGGTACTCAGGGCCAGGTTACTGGCTCAGGTCCAGGAAAGAGACATAGGAAATGGACAGGCAGAGAGAGACAGAGGCTAACACAGGGACTGAGGAGGGAGTGCACAACTACAGAGGCCTAGCAGAGAGGTCAGGAGGCTGACAGGAGACCTGTGGACGAGAGGGACAGGCTCTGGGATAGAGAAACAGGCTGGGCCCTGAAGTAATGGCCATGCCTATCCTCGAGGAACCCTGAGCAGGCAGGAGGCAGACAGAGATGCAGATGCAGACAGAGGAGCCCACAAGCCCCGTCACCCAGAGGGGAGCACCGGGGGGCAGCAGGTAGATGAAGGGAAGGCCATGAGGGCCTCCCGGAAGCAGGGAGGCCACAGTCAGCCTGAAAGGCATAGTGAATTTAGTTTGAGCATGGGGAGGGCACTCCTGGACGGTGAAAAAAGAACGTACAGAGCCCTGCCCCTGCACCAGGCTCTGTGTGAAGCACTGGCCACTCTTTAACCTTTGGACCTCATGACAACACTGGGAGGCAGGGATGACTGCTGTCCCCATTGTACTTAGGAAGAAACTGAGGCACAAAGCGGTTAAGTGGCTTTCCTCCAAGACACAAAACAGGGCCAGGATCTGAACTGGGCACACAGTAGGTGCTCAATAGCAGATGGGTGGGCAAGAAGCTTGCCCTTCCCTTTGGGCTGGCCAGCCTAGAGGGTAGGCTGTAGAAACAGGGCAGGGCAGGCTTCATGGGGTCTGCAGCATGCGTGCCTTCCTGCCACGCTTCCCACTGCTTGCCCCACCTCGACAGGCTGCCCTGGGTCACTCCGGGCTGCATTTCCTCGGGCTGGGCCGTGAGGTCCTAACAGCTGGCCATAATCACAGTGGTGACAGCCTGTAATCACCACCACCAGAACTAAGTCCAGGCCACCGTCCTGGCCAGACGCCTCTCACATAGCCCTGGCTCAGCTTCAGCTAGGCCAGGTGGGCAGGGGAGGGAACCCGGGGCCACCAAGCATATCCTGACTCCACATGGGCTCTTGGCTTGGGAGCAGGTGTCCAAACGGCCTCTGGCACTCTGTCCTGGCTTGACGTATGTCATTAAAGAGAGGGGTCCTCACTCACTGCCCCATCCCTCTCTCCCTTTACTTTCTTCCGGTGATGCTCTGGCCTTCAGCACCCCCTGCAGTTGCATAAGGTTCCTTTCAACCTGGTGTGATGTGCCATGATCTTCTGTCTTTAGAGAGACTCCAAGGAACTATCAGGAGGGGAGGGAGCAAACTCTTGTTCCACCCAGAGGATGCAGGGATGGCGTTTCTGAGTAGAGTGTGTGTGTGTGGAAGTGGGGGGGGAGGGCCAGGTGGCTTCCAATGTCCCTTACACACCCACAGAATCAAGCATGTTGTGCCTCCCACCCCATGCCGGCCTGATCTGGCCTGACTGCCCTCCCCTTTCATGGTTCTCTCAACACATACCACCCTCTCCATCACACCTACAGTCTTGCTGCCATTTTCCTACTCACCTTCGAAGGCCAGACTCAATGCCCTTCCCCTGGAGGGCTTCTTTGATCTGCCTTCCATCCCTCAATGCCACTTGGGGCAGTTAAGGCTTCTCCCAAACCTTGTACATTTCTCATTGACCTCTCTGTGTTGTAGGTCTCCATTTATTATACGTAGTTTGCATGGGTTTCTATATGTAACGTGCTTTGAACAGTGCCTGGCACACAAGAAGTGCTAGAAGAGGTTGGCTATTTTTAGCATCATTATTAATATTTTTGTGTCTGTGTCTCTCCTAATAATAACACCTTCCACTTATAGAGCACTTACAATGTGCTGACATACATTGCTTGGTGCTATACACGTGTTATGTTATTATTATTCCCCTTTCTAAGGTGTGGAAACTGAGCTTGAAGGACTTCAGATTTCTTGCAAGAGACAGTGTCTCCCCAGCCTGAGACAGGCCAAGGAGCCGTCCCTGAATGAACAGATGAGCAAACCCCTGATGGAGAGCCCATGAGCGAAGCGTGGGTGCTTCCGGCTGAGATCTCTCAAACCCGCAGATGGAGGCTTGCCAGGCGGGGACACTGAGGCCTCATCTGGCCTCAGCCCCTGGAGGGGATTAGTGCCTGTGCCGGGCAGGGATCATTACCTCAGCCCCTTTCCTCCCTTTCTTTTCTAATGAAAACAAAAACAAAAATAAAAAAAAAGAAACCCACATACAAAACACAAGAAGTCCATAAAAACGTCCTCCTAGCTGCTGCCCCATCCTTTCAGCCTGAGGAACTGTTGGTTTGGTGGGCTGGCTTCAGGACAGCAGGCTGGTGTGCCCCTTGAGGTGCCCGGAGCTGGGGCCCCCACCATCAGAAGGCGAGACCAAGTAGGAGTTATGAATACTATGTCTCACAAGGTGCCCAAAGGCATTTTCTTTCACACTTTGAAAACCAAAGATGAAAACTCCCGCTTGGAGCCTGAGTGGGCTTTTTATTGCTTGGCAGGAGTCCCAGAGAAATGGGGCAGGACTGGTGGGTGGGGGGTGTGGAGGACAAGCCCCTCCAAATGCCCCCAGCCCACCTCCTGGGCCTGATTCTGCTCACAAAGCTCAGTCCCCCAGTCCAGATCCCCACCCCTTCCTAGGCTCACAATGGGGGAAACTGTCTCATGGCAAAGTGGCCTCAAAGCCAAACCAAACACTGCAAGTGTTCCCAGGCTCCACAGATGGCTGGCACCAAGAGGCCGCATCGGCTCTGAGTCAACAGGGACCCCAAAGTGGGGAAGAGGCCCTCTGCTTGGGCAGAAGGCAGAAGCCTGGCTCTAGCCTGTAGTGCGTTCCTGGCTTGCTGTGTGACTTTGGCAAGTGCTATCCTCTAGACCTCGGTTTCCCCATCAACACAATGAACAGGAACAGACCCGTGGACTTTAAAATGTTTACTAGCAGCAGAAGCCAGAGCGAGATCTTAGGTGGAAGCCCAAGGCAGAAAGCAAGGCTGTGTGTGTCTGAGACACTGTCAGCTGTCTGACCATGAGGCACCTCCAAGGGGCTCCCTGGAGCAGGGGTGGGTCTTGGCACTAGAGGGTCTCTGAGAGCCATCCCAGTCTAGGATCTGGGCATCCCAAGCCTTCTTGCCGGTACAAGGGGCTGGTGGGCTGTACCCTGACTGACCTCCTTAGAGAGCTTTTCAGCCTGAGGAGACCGGATTTGGGGCACACAGGGCCTGGGTCACAGGTGGCCCTCTGCCTGGGGATAGAGATCTCACTGTGATCACTTAGCAGAGACCCTGTTGTGATGCCAGTCTGGGCCTCAGCCTCTCTGGGCCAAGCAGGTCGGATGAGAGATCCAAAGCAACTGGTTTGCCTGCGGCTCTGGGTATCTAGGACTTTGTGATATCTAGGGCTCCTCCCGCCTCCACACCTTTGTCCACATGGTCTTCTGTGCTGGGAATGCCTTCACGCTTTGCTCAGCCTCACTGGGCCATGACTGATCAATTCCATCTTGGGCACAGGGCAGACAGGCTTGTTTTCTAATAGCTTCATAGCAGACCATAGCTGGAAGGGCCTGTCTGTCCCTCAGATGGGAAACTGGGCCCAGAGAGGAAACGGGACTTACCAAGATCACTCAGGAGAGCTGAGGCAGGGTCTCTGGACTGTGGCTCCAGGGCTCTTCAGTGGCACCACACTGGAAGCCATCTGTCCCTGGCCATGACACGAGACTTTTCCTCTTCCTGTCCCTCACTAGCACTAAATGCAGTATGTGCCCAATATGTTCCTGTCAAACTGGGGGAAGTTCACAGCACCCAACCAATGCCTCATTTAAGGGTTTGGCCAAAGGCCCTTTCTGCTAGGGTAGGGGGCTGGTCATCTCAGACCAGAGACTCTGAAAGTCACAGGTGTCAATACCAGCTGCAACTGTTACCGAGTGTTACTGGTGGTCTGATGCCAGCTTAAAGCTTACGAGCATCATCTCACATAATCTCTAAGCCTCAAAGTAAGTAAAAGGGGGGACTGGATTTGAACCCCATTCTGCCTGAATTTGTCTGTTTTTATTCATTGGATGATCCTGCTTCTCATTCTCATGGGGGCATCTTCTACCTCGAATCTGATGGGGTCATCTTCTGCCTCTAATCTGATGGGGTCCTGTCCTCACCTGGAGACTCTGCCCATCTCGAACCATCCCAGAAGGAGGACTGGCTGTGCTATGGGGAACTGGAGCTGGAGAATCTGGGGGCAGGAGGGAGACACTGCGTCTCTTCCCCTCTTTGAGAGCTCTAGCCATCTGCTCAAACTTCAGGGGAAGCTGAGACCCAGAGGACAATGACTCTGTGGCACATGTGTCCTGCACCCCCTCCCCCTGCATGGTGGAACTCACCAAGGCTCTGTATCTGTCTTGTCACCCACCTCTGTGCCCTGCTTTGGGCCATGCCTGACACTGGGAAGGTAGTCTCTTCCCTACACCTGGCCAGCATGACTTGCCCAAGGACTTCCAATCTAGATGGCCCAGACATTCTGCTCCCTGTTTATGAAACTCCCCTTCCTCTCCCATGTCAGCTGTGGACTTGGAGAATAAGAGCTGGCATGACCTCCAAAGACCCATCAAGGCCCTAACTGCACAAAAGGAGAAACAGAAGGAGTAGTACAGGTCCCACGCTGCACAGAAATGACCTCTACCCTGTTTTAGAGCACCCTGGTCACAGCCCTGCCCTTCCCCCAAGCCTGGCTCTCAGCGGTGGGGGTTCCCCAAGAATATTCTGCCACTGCACAGCCATCTGTGGACACACGCTTCGTCTGCCCTTTCCATGGGTCCCCATAAATCATCCTGCCATGGGCTACTGCTTCTCTAAACTTCCTCCAGTGTGTGTTTACATCTCCGGTAATGAGGGGCAAGGGGGAGGCCAGCCTGTTCCAGGTGGCATCCGGGACAGGCACTCCAGGCGCGTCCCTGGCTCACTCCCTCCTTCTCACACTCGCTCCCAGCCCAACCCGGATCTGATCCTCACGGCCTCCCAGCCTGGAGCATGAGTGAGGACTCGCAGTCTGTGCTACTGTGTCAGGACAGGGGCACCCACCGGCACTGCGTGGAGGAAGGGAGGCCTCAGCTGGGCCAGGGAGAGGGGGAAGGGCAACCACATGGTGCTGGGTGATGACAGCGACCCTTAGGGTCAGGCAGGTCTGCCTGACTCTCTGCCTGGCCTTAGGCAAGTTACCTAACCTGCTGAGTCTGTTTCCTCTGGTATAAAATAGGCCTACCTTCCACAATTCTTGACAGAAAAAGGGACAGAATGGAGGCAGGTATCTGGCACAGCAGGGGAAGCTTGACAAATATCCACTGGCACCCCACTCCAAGCAGAGAGAGGAGCAGGACGAAGGTGTGGAGGTGGGACGGGGCACCTCGGGTGGCACTCAGCCTGGTGAGGACAGGGGCAGCAGACCTCGAGGAAGCAGTGTGGTGGCTGAGGCGGAAAGAAGGTGAAGGCCCTGCATCTGGGCTGAGCAGCGGCGTGGGGGCACTGTAGGACCCCAGGCTGAGGAGCGGCCATATGGGAGGGCACTCGGGGCCAGGACGACAGGTGCAAGATGAGCTGGGAGAGGTGATGGGGAGTAGGAGATGGCTCCAATGGGGTTTCGGAGGAGAAAAATGAGAAATGGGAGTAAAAGCTTCCCCAAAAATGGTTTTGTTAGAAGGACTATCAGTGGGCCCCAGGTCACCCCCAGAGAGCTCTCATCTGCTTCTCTTAGAAAATTGGAAACCTGGGGACTGCAGGAGGGTGGGATGAGTCCCCTGGGAGCAACGGAGGCTGTGCCCTGCACCTGGGCCTCTCAGGGAGCTCAGGGCCTGCTCCCCTAGAAGCGGCAAGAAATTTCAACAAACAGGCTGCCAGGCGGTGGTGGAAACTTTCTTCTCCAACCCAATCAGATGGAATAAAGTTAGCCAACTGCAATTTACCTGTGGGGACAGAAAAGGGGCTCCCTTCTTGCCAAAGAAAAGCTGTTTTCTTCTCCTGAAATCAGGCTCTGTGTTTCGGAGCTATGTGTTGTGAGAAGGAAGCCGTTTGGAGTCATTTGCTGAAATTTACCTTCAGACATGGTTAGGGGCCGGAGCTCCATTGCTGGAGCTGACAGCCCAGCTTCCCGTCACCCCATGGGCTGGCCCCACCACTGGCCAGGTCTCCTGATTACCCTAGTGTGTTGATCAGGGCTCTGAGTGACCAGCCTAATTGGAACTTTTAATGGGTTGCCAGCTCCTTCACTTGCTTCAAGCCTCCCTGGCAGCTTGCAAACCCTCCCTGCCACTGACGAAAGTGGCTCTCAGTAACTCTATGCCCTCACTCCCGATTAGAAGGGGGAGGCCCATGCTGGGCACGTGAACCAAATGTGTCATAGCCAATATAGCCACAGTAATGCCTCTGCCTTAGGCAGGCAGGGTGATATGGTTAGGCTGTGTCTCCACCCAAATCTCATCTTGAATCGTAACTCCCATAATTCCCACGTGTTGTGGGAGGGATCTGGTGGGAGATAATTGAATCATGGGGGCGGTTTCCCACGTACTATTCTTGTGGCAGTGAATAAGTCTCATGAGATCTGAAGGTTTTATAACCCCTTTGGCTTGGTTCTCATTCTCTCTCTTTGCCTGCTGCCATGTAAGATGTGGCTTTGCTCCTCCTTGCCTTCTTTCATGATTGTGAGGCTTCCTCAGCCATGTGGAACTGTGAGTCAATGAAACCTCTTTTCTTTATAAATTACCCAGTCTCGGGTATGTCTTTATTAGCAGCATGAGAACAGACTAATACACAGGGCCAGGTTCTGCAGAAGTACATTTCTCAGTAACCCAAGGTTCTCTGAAACCAATGCCCAAAGGATCAATGGGCTTGACTCTTATTTGCTGGAAGTCTTTTAAAGATAGTGTGTACCCCACAGTTTATGATAATGGGCTGGACCATGGCAACATTTTGGCATTGGCTCTGAGACCTGGCTGTAGGAGATTCATGAAGTGCAAAGTGCAAGAGGCAGCCCTTGATTCCTTGTGGGGACCCTGGTCAAACCCTCTCCGACTCAGGCCTTGGTTCACCATCTATAATGCACAGTGTAGTCAGGGCTTCCCACAGCTGCTCAGAAGAATCTCCAGGTGTACACGCAACATACAGAGTCCCAGGCCCTTGTCCTACACATTCTGATACATGAGGTCTGCGGTGGGGCCTGAGAATCTGTTTATTTAACGAATAGCCAAGGTGATTCTCTCTAGGGTTTCGGGGGAAAATCCTGGATGGCGATCTCTAGGGTCCAGATGGAGAGTCTAAGGCTCCCCCTGATAGAGACTCTGAGATGGAGACTCTATGACTGCTAAGCATGGCATATTCAGAGCTGGGCCAGTGCAGTGGGTAGGATTCTACCCCATCACTGACAGTCCCTCCCTGGGACATTCCTTGTGCTCTAGCAACACTGTTCACTAAATATGGAGACTCCTGCCAAAAAGTGGAATCTGGGGAAACTCCTGTGTACTGAGATTGCAGGCAGAGGTTGGAAGACAGCATCCTGGTCACAGCAGGACTTTGGTGACAGACAAGCTGAGGTGGGTGGTAGAGGTGGCAGGAGGGGCATATAGGAAGAGGACAGAAGGGTCTCCGTGCATTAGGATGATTTCTCCTATCTGTCCATTTTCAACAAGATATATCACAAATCCCCCATCCACTCCTAAGACAGAGCCCACAGCTTCAAGGGCATTGATCACCATCTATCCCATCTCTCTCTTAGAGCACGGTTCCCTTTGCAGCCTCCCTGCCAGGGTGTCGGCTACTCACAGCTTCTAGGCACAGGGAGCTCATGCCTTTTGGCTTAGCCAGCTTGTTCCATTTTCTCCTAGTTTCACCTCCAGTCCATGGGACAAATGGCGCCCTGTTTGTACAGGTGTGTCCCAGGAAAGCTGAGTGCAAAGCAGATTTGTGCGCTGTGCCTGAAGAAAGCTTCTATTTCCTCACCTTTAAGGTGCAGAGAATTGTACTTGTTGTTGAATTGCTTTTGTTTTGAGAATAAAACTGAAAAATCAGATGGGAACGTGCTGTAGAAAGCCACCTGCCACACTTCCTTAGAGCAGGGCTGGCCTGACGACAGTGTGCCCAGCTGTGGGGGGTTCAGGGTATACTATCCCGGGTGCAGACGCCCAGCTCCTGGGCAGACCTGCCCTCCCTGGCTCACCTGTCCTCGATGCGGACCCAGAGGTCATTGAACTGCCGCGGCCGCTGGTGTGTGCTCTGCCTCTTGTGCCACTTCCTCTGCCGGCCAAACTCCTCCAGCTGGCTGAGGCTGTCGGGGAGCAGGAGGTGTGGGGACAGGGCTGGATCCTCATCCTCTGGTGGGGCGGTGGGGGTCACAGAGGGTGCTTCGGGGACAGCGGCAGCTGGGGTCACTGGGGCCGGGCTCGTCGAGGTCCCCTCAGGAGAGGGCGCTGGGCTCTGGGGGGCAGGGCTGGAAAGAGGTAATGGCACATGGGGCACATGTGTTGGAGAATGTCATCCATGTGTGGTGGGAATACAGTCCAATTCAGTGGGAGTTTGTCATGGCAGGAGAAAGTGCCAGGGTGCCCCTGCTGGGCCCGGTGACAGCAGCCCAGGAAAACCTCGTCTGGTGCTGAAAGCCAGTGCTTTGAGTCATGCCTTCATTTGTTTAGTCGACGGATATTTACTGAGCACCAACCCTGTCCCAGGCACTTTTTTAGGAGGTAGGTATCAGCATGATGGAAACAGACAATGCCTCTGATCTCTGAGAGCTTACATTCCAAAGCAGCAGACAGAGAGTAAAACAGAGGATGCCAGACGCTGCTAACTGCCGAGGAGCAAATGAAACAGAGACAGGTGTGAGAGTGGGGGTGAAGGGTGCTACTCAGGGAAGGTGGTCTGGTCACCAGCAGGTGACATTTGAGCCCAGGCTAGGAAGACGTGAGGGAGCGAGCCCTGGGTACGTCTCTGGGGCGTATCTGAGCTTGGTCAGGGTCTCATTTATTCAACAACTCTGGCTGAGACTTTAGGTGAGTTTAACCTCACTGTGCCTCAGTCTCCTACGCTGTGAAATGGGGGTGTTGCAGACTCTATCTCACAGGGTACTTCATCAGGATTATGAAGGTGAACACCGGCAAAGCACCGAGAACAGTGTCTGGCAAATAGTAAGCAGCCAAAACATTTAAGTAATTAAGATTATTAGCATTGTGCATTCATCCAACCTTCCATTCATACATTCAATACACATTTCCTGTGCACCTTTTCAGTGGAGCAAAGACAGTGTTAAGTAGTCAGAGCTGGAGGTAGACTGATGTGGGTCCACAGCCCGGCTCCACAACTTGCAAGCCGTGTGATGAAGGGCAAGTTACTTAATCATATCAAGCAGCAATGAGCTATAGCACAAGAATAATAATACTACCTACTTCATGGGGTTGTCATGAGGATGAATGAGATGAGGTCTTAACACAGTGCCTGGCACATAAGCCTCTCTTGGATGTTGGCCGACAAGCAAATAGACCTGGCTGTCAGGCAGGCGCTAAAGTGTCATTTGTCACATTGTGGAATTCATGTTTTATACAGGGGCATACACGTGCACCGCTTAGCCCAAGGGCACCCTCTGTTTTTCTCCCTTTTATTCTTTCCTCTCCATGGCCACAATAGAATTTGTTTTAGGGACATGTGATCCTGGGAGAAGGTTGGGAATGGTTTCAGGAATTGTGGCTGAGTGGGCAGCTTGCAAGGTTAGACAGTACCCAAGACAGCAGGCAGGCCGTCTTCCCAGCCCACTCTCACACGGCACGATGGGTGAGGAGCTTCTCTCTTTGAAGGAAAGAAGGCCATCAGCTCAGCCTCTCCTCCCCTACCCCCATGGCAACCCCAGATTCTCAGGATTCAGGCTGCCTGGAGATGCCGCAGCTGCTGGGGAGATAATTCAAAACAGTCAGACAAAAAGCTAGATCCAGGAAGCACCTGTGGCCGATGATGGCTTTTATTGTTGGAGCCTCCTCAGCATTCCCGCCCCCCTCCGCCCTGCCAACTCCCTTGCTCCCCCGTGCAGGAGGCTAAGGCTGAGAGTCCTTGGAGCAGAGCCCATGGGGGAGCTGTGGAGGGCCCCCTCCCCTAATGCCTGGGCTCTGAGATGAATAGGAGGCTCGCTAGCCTCACTGGCCTGCCTGCCTCCCCTGCCCTGGCCAGAACAGACACAATGAGCTTCAAGGGGAAGGTCCTTGGGGCTGCTGGGGTGAGGGCTGGGGTGAGGGGAGAGGAGGGAAACTTGAAGAAGGCTTTGTCCCTGAGGCTACCTTGGAATCCCCAACCCTCAAACACATGCTTGCCCCTGGCCCCCAGTATAAACTAATGCGTGCTGGGCCCAAACGGTTCAGGTAGGAAGAGCAGCCTTGTCAGTTTGACTCAGATGAGAAGTGGTGGGAGACTGGGATGAAGTCCCAATGTGAGGGTTTATCGAGACCTCAGTTCACCCTCAGAGCTGGTACAGGGAGTAATAGTTCAGGGAGGCCCTGGAGCCAGACTGCCACTTACACCGCTGTGTGTCCTTCTGCAAGTGACTTCACCTCTCTGGGCCTCATGTTCCTCAAGGATAAGGTGGGGAAACTCATAGCTTTGACCTCACAGGGCTGTTATGCAGATTAAATGAGTTAAAAGGTCTTAGAGCCTGGTACGGAGAGAGCAGTTAATAAATACTGGCTATGAAGATCCAAGCTTCTTTCAAACTCCGGGTCTTTATGCTGGAGCACGAGCTGCATGGAACCCTGGAGTCTGAGGATCCTGTCACTGACCTCTGGGGCTCCCCGGGACTCAGAGCCTGGCTCTCGCTGACACCTCTCATGTCTGGCCTGGTGCTGGTGCTGTGGAACCACAGATGGACTGAGCTGGTCCCTACCCTCGGGCAGCTCCCAGACTGTGGGGGTGGGGGTTGGAAGACCTGGCAGGAATAGCGGATGGCCATTAGTGGCTATTTGAGCAGGGTGGGTATGCCCTGGCAGGAAAGTTAGGGGTGAGGGGCATAGCCAGAGACAGCAACGGAGAAGGTGAGGACCAGGAGTGGGTGGGGCAGCAGGGCTGCCACAGAGTGGGGCTGTGACCCAGGAAAGAGACCAGGGCCCTGCCCATCCTCCCAGTACCATCTCGATTCAGAGCCAGGGCAGCCACAGTCTTCCAAGCAGCACCCAGGAGTTCTACTGAGTCCCTCTACCCCCGACCCAACCCACCATCTGTAAATCATAAGTACCTCTCCAGTCTTAACGCTGCTCTCACTCCCACCCATGCTCTGGCCCTGCTGTCACCTAGAGCCAAGACGGCTCACCAGCTCCTTCCCAATCTCCTGCCTCCAGCCCAGCCTTTCCATTCTTGCTTCCTGGTAGAGACCTGCCTCTGCCTCACCAGAAGCCTCTTCACAGCTCTCCTGAAAGCCTGGGCAGGAAGGCAGGGTCAGTGAGGGCCAAGGCACACCCAGATGTGGCTTACCTGTGTATGGCCTGCCCGGCGGGTGTGTGGTCCACCTCCAGCCCTGCCTGCCGCAGGATGTCGATGACTGTGTTGTTCCCCAGAAAGTGACCTGGAACACAAGTGACAAAAGGGGCTCAGCCACATGCCAGGCCACCGGCCACAGGGGACTGCCCCAGGCCATCCCCTAAGTTTGTATCTGGGCCAGTGACCTACACCAAAGTCAATGCCCCAGATTCCCTGAGAGGCAGTATAGCATAGAAGGTAAGACATGGTCCTGGTGCCACCCTGCCTGGGTTCAAATCCTGGCTCTGCCGCTCATTAACTGTATCTCCCCATGCCTCAGTTTCCTCATCTGCAAAGTGAGAATGGCTGTAATAGCAACATCCAGGGTTGCTGTGAGGATTATAAAAAACAGCTACCTGCACGTAGTAAGGGCTCTCCGTGCTTCCCTGGTGCATCTCTGTGCCTCACACCATGAAGCTGACCCCAGCCCCCCACAGTCCAGGCTGGGACAGCCTCCAGCAGTCACTCAAAGCCCAGCTCCAGGGAACCCTCAAGCCCCTAGCAGGGCTATGGCTCATCTTGGTAAGTTCTACCAGCAACTCAGGCCTCCCTCCTTTAGCATGGGAGTGGGGTTCTGTGTGTTCATGTGGGCCTCCTCACTCAGCTCCCAGAGAGCAGAGATGGCATCTCCACTGCCCTGCACAGGCTCAGCACCTACTGGCTGGATTCACAGACTCATCCACCTAGTACCTGTGGAGAACGCACTATGGGCCAGGTCCTGGGACTCACTGAGGTGTAAGATCCCAGCCGGGGTAACCAAAAACCCTGACTGATTGCAGGGCCTGGCAGACAGTGACGGTCACCTACAGGAGGCAGAAACATAGAACTGAACCCTCCAGAGGTGTGTGTGGGGAGAGGGGCTGGCCTCCATGTCAGTCCCCCACTCACTATTCATTCATTCAGCAAACATTCATGACAACCTTGCTCTGTGGTCAGTTCTGCACTAGGAACGATGAATACAGAAATGGGCAATTTAGTTGAAAGCCCCATTTGGGAGTGGAAATCGTCTTCCTGTGTTGGAATGCAGGCTTGATGTCTGAGTACTCAGGGGAGCCTCTCCTGGGCTCTGGTTGGGAAGAACCCTCAGGAGGCCCAGTGGCTCTGGACACAGGAGGTGCTGGGAGTCAACACTCTGGGATGTCCCTCTGCCTCGGGGGCCTCAGTCTCCCCCACCTGCTCAATGTGGTGCTTGTTCAGGGCCCATGGGCCCCTCCTGCCATGGGCCTGCCCTGTGGCTGCACTCATTAGGGAAGCACTCTCCCCTACTGCTCCCTGTTCATCCTGAACCCTAGGGGAGATCCCTGCACTATTCCTCTAATTGCCTGTGAATGGTGGTGACAGGTGGAAGCCAGAAGGTCAGCATGCTGACAGCCCCAGGGAGGTCTAGGAGAGTAGAAAGTGGACAGGCTGTTGGGGAACAGAGATGCTCTGGCAGAGGAAGCCAGCATAGAACTGCATAGTGGCTGGAGCAGAGAATGAACCGTGCTGCTGTCTTGCCCCACCAGCCTCGCACACCTCTGGGCTGGTTTCACAACTCCTCAGGAAGTCTCCCAGCCCAGTGATCTCCCTCTTGCTGACCATGCCCTGCCAGAGCATCTGGAGTTACCTTAGGCCTGGCTGACCATGCCTGACTATGTGCCATGTGGCTGGCTGACCCTGCCTCCCTGAAGTTTCACTTGAGGATCACTGGGAAAGGTCACTGGGCTTGGAATGTCAGAGGGCTCTAGTCTGGCAACCACCACACTTACTCTGAGACCTCAGGCAAGCATATTACCCTCTAATGCCCTCAGTTTCTTGCTATGCATAATATCTATAGGCTCTTCTGGCTCTCAGAGCCTATGGGGAAGGTTTTTGTTTCATTCCAGAGACCCTTATGAAAAGATACCTCCCTCTCTTATTTCCTTTCCCCACCTATTCATCTCGTTCATTTAATGAACACTGCCTAGGTGCATATCTTGTGCTGGGTAGTGATGAAGAGGCAGGGTCTTTTTCCAGGCACTCACAGACTTGAGAATGGGAATCCTGTAATCCGGGCACTAAGTATGATGGAGAGGGAACTGTTCACACAGGAGGCTGTGAGGGCACACAGGAGGCCTCTAAGCCAGCCTGGGGTCAAGCAGACTTCCTGGAGGGGGCACTGCTAGCTGCAGGGTGGGATAAGAGTTATCGAGGTGAGGATAGGAGTGGGTGGCACAGTGGGGGAGGCTGTTCCAGTAGGGGGAACAGCATGTGCAATGACTAGGAGGTGAATGAGGCACATTTGGGAAGCTAACTGCAGAAGAGGCATGGGCAGCACAGGCATGAACAGGCCCTTCCGGAGCTCTGGCCCTGACCTAGTGCTGTTGAGGACAAAAGATCCAGGCTCCCGCCAAGGCTCTCATTCTGCCCCGCAGCCTGTGATCCTAAGCAAGTGGCTTCCCTGCCACCAGCCTCAGTTTTCTTGTGCGTCAAACGGGCCTACAGTTCTTTGACCGACTCCTTGGGGCAACTGTAAAGCCCTAATGAGGCAGAAGAAGTGGATGTCCCTTGGAAAAGCCCAGAGTGCAGTACTGAGTGATGGGCTGGAGACAGTCCCCGGCAGGGCGGGGTCATCCCCACTCTTGCCTTTCCCCACAGCACCATAAAGCTGGAAAGGGACGGGAAGAGGCAGCCTCCAGCACGCAGGCTGGAGGAACTCTCTGCAAGCGGCTCTTGGACTCTACTCCTGGCAGCAAAGGCAACTCCTTTTCTGCCTCCTTGGAGACCTGTGCAAAGACAAGGCCTCCCAGCCCAACAGCGGTCCTCGCGTTTGCCCAGAGGATTTCAAGAGCTGCCAGGAAAAAAAGCCCTGCCTCGGGCTGTACAGGAGCAGCAGCAAATATTTACTGACTGCTGCGCGGCTGCTCCAAGAGGAGCGTTTCTGGGACTGAGTAGAGGAGACACTTAGAGGGCCCAGGCCTCAGCCCGGCCGATGGTGCAGGCCTCACCGGATGCCCACTGGATCCTGAGCACTGCGCGGCAATGGTCCACGTGTCTGGCCGGCGTTCCTATCCATCCCCTCAACCTCAACCATTCCACACCTTTATTGTTTTCTGTAAGACCCAAAACAGAAGACTTCAGATGCTTTGAGAAAATGAAACCAATCAGGAATAATCCTTCCAATTCCCATTCTCTCCTTCTCTAAGCCACACTCACCTTCCTTTCCCTCTGCCAGGGCAGGGAGAATGGTCACCTCCACCCAGGTGGCTACTCCTTGCACAACTCCAGGAGGCGCCATTCCCATGTGGCCTGTGCCCCAGAACTGTGTAATGCGGTTCCTGCGCTCCCGAGCCCATGTTTCTACCACCCTGCCCTCTCTGGGCTTGGTTTCACAGCACCCCACAGCTGGGTTGGCAACACTTGCAACGGCCCCAGTGCTCACGACTCCATTCCATCCTGGTTCTCTCTGTACTTCTCTCACTGCCCCCTATCTGTCCTGTTGGTGGGCTCCTCTTTCTCCTGCCCAGTCAATGTGGGAGCCCTGGGAACCATGCCCTTGGCCCTCTTCTTCTCACCCACAGACAGATCATCCACCCTGATGGTTTTGGTAACTACACAATGCTGACCACTCTGGAATTGCCACTTTTGCCCAGATGCATTTGTCCAGCGACCTACTGGGCATCTCCACCTAAACATCCTCAGAACCTATAGAATCCAACTCTTCCTTCTCTGCAACAATGTCTTGCGTCTCAACCAGGCTCTGCTATTCAACCTAAATAGGTCCTATCTTGATTCTCCTCGCTCCTCATCTTCATACGATCAGTTCCCAGAGGCCCCCTGCTGTGACCTCCTAAACGTGCTTGACTCTGGCCTAGGTCACCATCACCTTCTGCCTGAATCACTGCAGAAACTGCTCTCCTTGCTCTCTCTAGTTCACACCCCAGAGCTGACTTTGTCAGAACGTGCTCCCAACCCACCTGAGGGGGATCTAAGAGCTTTTTGAGGGCAGGGGTCATGCCTGATTCATCTTTATCCCCAGAGATAAACTCAAGTCTGGCATGTGGCAGTGGCTTTGTGAATGTGTGTTGAATGAATGAGTGAAAAAACCTGTTACTCCATATCCTTTCCATGATCTCATCCTATCCCCAGGAGACCTGAGCTCATGGATCTCCTCTTCTTGTAACTCAGCCCTGCCCCTTGGTGGTGCTCCTCCAGATTCTACCAATCCCAGGAATTTGGCCCTTGGACCAGCCCGAGTCAGGGCCCAGAGCATGCCGTCCTCAGGAGCTGGCAGACAGGAACCATGCTTGCCTCCAAGGTCAGAAATCCTAAAATAGGTGCCACACCTATCCTGGAACCTGCAGGGAAAGTCATGGAAAGTCTCCAAAGGGGCCCCACGATGTTGGGGCTCAGCCTGCAAGGCTTGCCCAGGCTCCCCAGGTCTCCTGGCCACGGCTCAGCAGCCCCTTCCAACACTGACAGCTGTTCTCTGGCCAGCTCTCTGCAGGAAGATACGTTCCATTTCATCTGCTGAGGCCTCGTGGATGAGAAGAGGAGGAAACAGAGGGAGGACCATGGGGTGGGGGGGTTGCGGCACACAGAGCCATGCAGACAAAGAGAGGGAGAGAGGAGAAAGAGAGAGAGAGGTAGGGAGAAGAGCAGAGAGATACTCACAGAAAGGGGCACGGAGGAGGAAGAGAGCTTCAGGAGCAGATGGAGAGCAGAAAGGCAATGTGGAGAGAAAGAGAAAGGGGCCCAGAGACAGGCAGTAAGAGACACAGAGACAACAGTAGGGAGAGAGGGAAGAAGAGACACCAAGAAAAACAGAAAGAGACAAGGACAGGACAAAGAGATACAAAGACACAGAGACAGAGAGGTAAGGAGAGAAGGGAGAAAGAGGAGAGAGGGAACTCAGAAATGAAGACAAAAAGCGTGGTGGAGACCAATTCACTGAGGACATCAGGGAAGGCTTCCGAGAGGAGGGGCTCATGTATCCAGTCATGTATCGAGGACTCCCCCAGGATGGGTGGGATTCAGATGCAGATGTAAGAGAAGACAGGCAAAGTAAGGAGAAGCAAGGGCCTAAAGGTGGACTGGATCTTAAAAATTGCGGGGCTGGGATGGTGCCTGCCTACCTTGAGAGAAGCCAGGGTCCCACATAAAGGACACTTATATACAAACAGGAAGAGGTTCCCTGCTCTGAGCAGGTGCAGCCCCCATGATGTTTTAGTGCAAAGAAAAAGACTCCCTTTCTCCTAAGCGCAATCTAGCCTATGCCAGGGCACAAGGCTCAGTGAGCAGAGCACAGGCCAAGGCCAGATCTACCCCGCCTCCCATCAGCCTGGCACAGCCTGACAGCCCCTGTTGATCCTCTGACATGGGAAGGCAGGGTAGAGCGAGTGCTGTCCTAGGGTTAGGACTGTTAGAACACCCCACTCATCAATTAACCATGTCACCTTGGGGAGTTTCCAGTCTCACTTTGTGCCTCAGTTTCCCCACATGGTGTTGGGCCCCATGGTCTCGGTCTCATGGGTCCTCCCACCTCTATGATTCCTTCGTTTGATGACCTGCACACATGCTCATACTTAGTGGGCCTCCCGAGTACAGGATGCTTCTCAAACGTCATTTCATTTCATCCTTGCAGCGGCCCTTTGAGGTGTTGCCAGTTTCCAGATGAGGAAACAGGCTCAGTGAGGGGACGTGACTCGCCCAAGGTCACACACCTGGTAAAAGGCAAAGCTTGGACTTCAATCCAGAGATGTCCCAGTTTACTGCATGTCCTACTACACCCACTCTGAAGTATTGGCAGCTGCAAGGGATCCTGAGTTCACATTTGGGGGCAGGAAATTGTCAGAAACATGCGTCCCTTCCAAGGTTCACCAGATCGGAGAGGAGAGTGTGCAAGTGCTCAGCAAGAATAACACACAATTAACAGGGCAGTTTCAGGACCGTGTTGAGGGGCTGGGCAGAGGGAGGAGGGGAGAACCAGATGTTCCCACAAAGGCTCCAAAGCAGCACTGGCTCCCCCCGATCAGCACACATGTTTTCTCTCCAGTGAGTATGCTGGGTTTCCAGTTTTCTCCTCCTGGAAGAGGCATCCCAAGCCCATATTTATGTTCCGTCTGAAATTAATGCAAGGGAAACTTTCAAATGCTAATCTAGCTGCCAGGACAGGCCGGCCGGATATCAAGCTATGGCGGTGTTTTTTTTCCTGAGGAAGTATGACAGGAGGGCTGGATGGGAGGGCCAGTGGAGGATGGACAACTGGTCTCTCAAAGAGTGTCTGGAGGGACACTGGCAGAGCCGAGCTTCCTTTCTCCTGCTTTGCAGGCCGCCCAGGGAAGGGCTAGGGACCTTTCAGTTCAGTGGGGCCTGAGATGACACCACCTCTGTACCCAACCTTGTGCCAGGAGCTGACACACAGTCCCCTCCCCTGAGGAGGTCACGGTATGGAGAGGGGGAGATGGGCAGGCAAACACTCACAGGACAGCATGAGCCATGCAGTGCCAGGGGCCATGGGGTTGAAGTGGAAGGAGAGGGACCCAGACTAAGGAGATGAGTGAGGAGTGAGAGGAAGAGAGGAGAAAGGGCATTCCTGGTAGAGCACAGCAGGATCAAATGCACGGAGGGGAGAGGTGGTGTGGCACGTGCTGGCCAACAGCAGTTCTGGGTTGCAGTAACATAAAGTGAAAGGAGAGGTGGCAATAGTGAGGGTTGGAACACGAGGGTGTCCCTCCTCCATGACATTCTGATTGCTGCAGGACATGGTGAAGGGGACAGATTCAAGCTGGGACCAAAAAACACTCTCCCAGGCAACTGTCCAGCTGTAAGGAAGTGAGTGCTCCACCCTGGGAGGTGTGTAAGCTGAGGGTCGAAGAGCACTTGTCAGGCCTGTGAGGGGTATTCAGACATCCTATGGGGAACTGCTGTGTCTGGGTGGAACCAGAGATTCTGCCTGCTTTAGCAGCCTTTACCAGCTGCTCCTCTTTGGAGGCTGTTAGAACGCAGGACGTCAGAAATGAAAGTGCCCCAGGTCTTCAGCTGGACAGCTCAGCTCTGCCATGAACAGCGCAAAGATGGTTACAAATTCCGAGAGGAGCAACCCTGCTGAGGCTAACAGAACTTGCCCTGTGTCACGCTGGCAGAAAGGGGCAGAGCTGGGCTCAAGCCCAGGCATGGCACGGGGTGCATCCATGTCAAGGCCCAGATCCAGGCAATGGCCATGCAGGCTGATTCCAGGTCAGCACAGGACAGAGCCTGTGATGGGTTCTGTGAACTGCAGGAGGCAGTGCTCAGCCAGGGATCTCCATGGCCATGTCAGTCACTCTTTACAACATCCAGAGGCTCCTTTTTTAGAATCACAACACCCCAGGACTCCTGGGAGCTCCCTGTTGGCAGGGACAGGGCCCCACGCCTCCTGAGCCTCAGTGCTACTTGGAGCTGAATTTGGCTCTTGGGGTTTTGCCACAGCGTCCCAGTTGCATCCTCAGAGGCCACCAAGCACTTCTGCCCCTCGACCCCAGTGGCTCTACTGTCTCCTGTGTGGGAGTCCTGTTCTTAGAGGACTTCGAGCTCTGAGGGGCCAGGGACCCTGAAATAATGGTGGCAACACAAGAGCTCACATTTACGGAATGACTGTGCAAGGCCAGGCCCTGAGTGCTAGTGAGCTGGATCTCAGGCTCATCTGCAGAGTGGGAGGCCGCAGGCTGAGAGAAGTGAAGCAACTGATCTGCCCAAGGCGACTTCTGATCAGGAGAACGCAGGGTTTCTAACTCACACAGTCTGGGTCCAAGCCCATGCTTTTAATCTACACTTTCTTCTCTTCTTGCCTTTCTCACACTGTCCAGGAAGAATGTTGAGCTCCCTGCCAGATTTGTACATTCTCCTTCACTGATGGAGCAGCCCTGGGATCTGTCCTGGGGTGTGGGCACTCTGTTCTTCTAGACTCTCCTCTGTTTCGGAGGGTGAGGGCTGGCTCCAGCTAGGGACAAGCCAGGAGGGGATGTTCCTCTGGCTGGCTGGATGTTCTGGCCTGAAGCAGCAACGGCGACTCTGGCCAAGGATTGCAGCCCTTCACAGGAATGCCAGTTGCCAGATGCATGCGTGGTGGGGTGGCAGGACCCTTTGAAGCACCGTTGGAAATTCTGAAACACTTCAGATGCTGTGGCCTCAAGCTCCAGCTTGGGGAGGGTGGCAGACCAGGGCGCTTGCCAGTGAGAGAGGATAGCAGCTGTTATTTTTGTTTGTTCATTTGTTTTGTTTTTTTTTAGAGATGAGGGTCTCACTCTGTCACCCAGGCTGGAGTGCAGCCTTGGCTCACTGCAGCCTTGACATCTGGGCTCAAGCAACCCTTCCACCTTAGCCTCTTGAGTATCTGGGACTATAGGCATGCATCACCATGACTATGACTGGCAAATTTTTTTATTTTTGTAGAAATGGGGTCTTGGGATATTGCCCAGGCTGGTCTCAAACTCCTGGCTTCAGGTGATTCTCCTGCCTCAGCCTCCCAAAGTGCTGGGACTACAAATGTGAGCCACTGTGACTGGCCTGCCTCTTGTTTCCAAGGTGAAAAAGGCCCTATATGGACGATGGCCGCTCTTCTGTGCCCAGCTATGAGCTCTGAAGGGCTGCCATTCTGACGCCACCAAGTGAAGAACCATGATGGGGAAGGAGGTTGGTGTGGGTCTTGCCCTGAGGACTATGGAGATGATGAGTAAACTGGAAGGCAGCTGGATCTGCATCAGGGAAATTTCAACTGGTTTTCACCTCCTCCAGGAAGCTTTCTCTAACTTACCCTGCCTCCTTTCAGTGCCAGTCACTCAAACCTCTGTTAGACATGTGTGGAAACGCTGAATGTTGGGGGCTAAAGGGGACCTTGGACCTAGCTCTGTCTAAAGCCCCTCACTGTGCAGACAGAGGAGGAAAGACTCTGAGAAGGCCACATAGAAGATCTCAGAATCCCCTTTCTACCCTCACGTCTTTGGCGTAACTCTCACCTTGCTCTATTTTCTTTCTTTTCTGGCTTTTCCCTACCTAATCATCTTGCCGCCTCCCCTCCCTACAAATGCTCCTGCTTAGCACTAAACTCCCCCTCCTCTAGCTGTGATTGCATGGTTTACTCAGCAGTACCTGGGACTCTCTTTCCTTAGGTCTTTTCACCTGTCAATCTAGCCTCAGCTTCCAAAGGCAGATGTGATGTGGTTGGACCCCTCAGTCTCCCACCATGGGGGCAGAAGATGTAGGTTTTAGGCTGGGTTTTGCTGTGGGATAATGTAGAAGCAGGCAGCATTTCTGTTTATGGACCTCAGGGTTGGTGCATTCATTCATTCATTCATTCATTCATTCAACAAGTGGGTAATACGCACCTTCTTAGTGCTCAGGGAGTGGACATCCTAGACTGGGAGCATGAGAGAGGCTGTGATAGCAAAATCCTGGAGGCCTATGGGAGCCCAGAAGGGAAATCAGGGAAGGCCCAGCAGAAGAATTCCCAGCAGAACAGAGGGCCCAAGTGACAGCTGGATGGATTTTTTAGGGATCAGGATGACTTCCTGGTCATCAGGAAGAATGACCTAGACAATGTGACCACCATTTCACTTCAGTTCTAAGACTCTCTGACATCCCATCTGTACTTGGATTTACTGACCAGCCAAATGGAATAATAAATACCATCCTGTTTCCCTCCAAGAGGAATTGAGGATGTGGAAGGGCCATATAAGTTGATGGATATGGGAATTTTTTCAAGCAGGATGGTGTCCACTCTCTAGGGAGCAATTTCTAACGTTATGAATTTTAAAAGGTGTTAATGGTATTCTGTGTGTTGGTCTTATATCTCTCCCTTCTCTCAAGCCTGGGTGCTTACCTCTGATCTGCTTCTGTGTCCCAGCTTCACAGGTGTGTTTTGGATTATGGGGTCTGCGGCACTCTAGCTGGGGTAGAAACAGGCTGGCATGAGCCTGGGGGCTGCATGTGCCAAATGTGTGGGTGCCTGAGTAATGGAGCCAGCCTCTCTGTCTCTGGTGCTCACACTGCTTGCCTCTTAACTCTTCAAGTTCTGCCTTCTGCCTGGACTTCTGCTCCCTGTGGAGCAGGTGACAGCAGTCCTGCGAAGAGTGATTTCCATTCCTGGAAGGCTCTTAGCTCCATACTCCTCCCAAGGAATCCAAGAGAGGCTGGAGCAAATAATGCTAGCATGTTAGAAGGCTCTGATTACAGCATGCTGGAATATTAGAGCTGTGCAACTTTAAAGCAACAGCATGTTAGGGTCAAGGATTTTGGAATGTCAGAAGTTAGAATTATACTCAGATTATAGCACGTGCTAGGGACGGAGTGTGTGATAACCACTGGTTCTCAGAGTTTGAAATGAATGGGCCCTAGAGGTTACCTGGTCCACCCCTGAGTCCGGCTCATGTCTCCAGCCCAGTTCCTCTAATTCCTACATTACTCATTCTAGTCCAGGAAAAAAGAATGCTAGAAGATTTCTGGATGGCTGAACAAGTAAATATCCTGAGAAACCTGTTTCCCTGGAACTAAGGGTAAAATTGTAATTTTCTTCTAGTGCATAAGACTGGACCCCACCCCCACAATTGGGCCTGGAGATACCTTGACTCAATGGAATGAACTTCATTCTGTGTGATTTGGTCCAGTATGTCCTCACAGAACATCTCCTAGGTGTCAGCAATTCTGAGGCGTATGTGCCCTGTCCTGGAGTAGTTCACATGCAATGGGATGATCACTGAGCAGTGGGTGCTAGGATAAAATCAGCACACAGGCCTGGGTGACAACATCCACATTTACACCCCAGCTGCTTGGTGTTGCTGGAGAAAATCTTACACCCGTGACTTGGCAGGTTCATGGGCCCTCATTGCAGTCAGCATCCTCTATGTTCCTAGCATAGACAGAGCAGATTTGTAGCTGGCATGTGCCCTAATCTCGGTCCCCAGCAGACATCACAAATCAATAAGGGCCTCTTCTCTGCTGGGCTCTGATGCGACTTTATCATCTTATACCATAACGTTCCAGGCAGGTGCTACCAATCAATCATAATGGCCCATGGGAGGAAACATCTTTAACTTCTTGTCCTGGTCAGTTCTTGTGGCCAATTTCTCTTATGTCAAATAGTCTCACCTCTTCAAACCAAGAATCCTCCCTTCTCTCTCCTCTTCCTCTGTGGATGACTTCACCTTCTACTTCAGACAGTGGTGCTCTGATTAGAAGCCATCAGCTGAGAATTTGCTCCCTTTTTGGCTGCCAAATTACTTGCCTGCCAGCCTCCTCCCTCCTTCCCTTCAGTTACAGGTGAAGAGGTGTCTTCCTCCACCCAAGGCGTCCTCCTCAACCCTGCACCCAAGCTCTGGTCCCCACCTTGCTGCCTTCTTGGAACCTCAGGCTTATCATTTTTCCCCCCTCTCTCCTGTATCATCAGCCTCACTCATCCTAGAATATTCTCTTCCTCATATTTCAAGCATGCTCAATTCTTTCTCATCTTAAAAAAAAAAAAGGTAGGTGAGTGGGAAGAACAATGCAATTACCAGATTTTCATTTTGCCAAATGAGGACTTTGAGACTTTTATCTGCTTCCCACCATCATCTTTTTAATTTTCTTAAGTAAGGAATATTTTAACTTCAAACACAGTTGAAAGGAGATAATTTCAGAATATAAACCTGTAAATTGAATAAATTTAGCTAACAAGGAATTCACCACCTTGTACTTATTTTTCTGTTAATTGTACCAGAGGAAACCCAAGGACCTGCATCTACAAGCAACTGGACTAGAAAATCTTGGGGGGCTCTTGAGGCTCAGCCTGTCCAGCTACAGGAGCTCAGCAGACAGAAAATGGGCTTTTCCTCCCCTCTGGATGACACACCCCTCCATGGCCACAGCCTGGCTACTTCCAGAACATCTGGGCTTGCACACTGGCCACAGCCACCTCCTGGATAGGGAGGGCTTCCATCTGGGCCCCCCCAGCATCACCCAGGCCTGCTCAAGGTTGTCACACATTTGCACCCCACCTGCCCTGAACTGCAGGGTAACCTCTAGAAGAGGTCACACAGTGCCAGGTTGCAGAAACATCACAGATGCTAAGAGTATTTCATGAGAGGCACCAGCTAAACAGGCACTCGTTTCCACAAAATCATCAACACTTTTGTATGCATACAGCAAGGGCACCACGTGCAAGGGAAATGGCCACACCTGGGACTCAAGAGGCCAGGCTTCCCATGGCAGGTCTGCCTCCATGGCCTTGAGGAAGCCGTTCATCTTCCCTGAGGCTTTGTTTTCATCTGCAAAATGAGTATCATTAAAATCCATCTCGTGGTGTTACGTAATCAGAGAGCCTGGAATGGTGGCTGGCACATAGTAAGGGCTTTTATGATAAGAACCCTTCCACCATGGAAGAGCATTTTAATACTGTGTTCTCAAATGAGTGTATCCAGAACAATCCCATGAGGCAGATGTATTGTCCCAGTTTTACAGATGAGGGACTGAGGCCCTTGGAGGTGAAATGGCTTTCCCAGCATCTCTTAGCTCACAGTGGCAGAGCCATACTTTACACCCAGGCCTCCTGACCCCAAAGCTCTTACCCTTTGCACTGAAGCCCCCTCAGAGCAGAAGAGAGGAGAAGCCAGACTGCAGTCAGCACTGGAAATCCCTGTCTGTCCTCGCAGGCTCTCAGGGCAGGATTCTGGAGCTGGGCTGGGTCGGGGTTGGGTCCTAACAAGCACTGGAGGGGCCAGGCAGGCGGAGGCTCAATCTCTCACCTTCACATGCTTGGCCCCATCCAGACTCCAGAACCACAGAGCTTTCAGGAACTTCAGCTGGACACTGAGGCTGGGCCTGTCGTGGAATGACAGAAGAGCCCCCAGCAGGGGCTTGGCTCAGACACCTGGCAAGGCTGGGTTGGTGGGGGTCATATGTTTCTATTTCCAGAGATGTTTCTTAGAGATACCCATGGACTCTAGGCTTGAGAGACATTTGCATGAGCAGACACATGCCTGGGGGATGGATAGCTGCATTCCTGGTAGTATAGACCCTTCCTACATCCCATAGCCTTGGGGGTCTTATGAGTTATTTGGGACCTGGCAGGCAATGGGCTGCGAGAGCCCACTGAGTCCCAGGGTCCCCACTGCCCGGCAGTCCGGGGACAGAACTGCAGGGGCCCCCAGGTGGGTAGGTGAGGAGTGGAGCGGGTATGTCTTCAGGTCTCACTCCACCAAGAGAGTGCTTAGTCCCAGCTCTGCACGTAAGTCAGCCTGTCACCAGATGTGGGACTCAGAAATTACATGATCATAAGAATGTAACGAGGCCGGAGTGGACTTCCCTCACCACAGCTTTCATGCGGATGCGTTCCATGTCAATAGGATGACTCTGTAACAGGCCCGCTGGGGTGGCTCAATGCCCTGCACACAAAAACAGAGCCCTTGGATCATAGATCCTGGGCCTAGGGTACGGTTCTGGCCTTGTCCTGGACTTTCTGGGGGCTTTGCTCATGTCCCTGCCCTCTGTGGACCTCAGTTGTCCCACAGCCAGGATGAGGTGGGCAGCTCAAGCTCAGAGGCTCTGTCCAGCTTGGAAATTCTTGGGTGGAAAGGAGATCTGCTGTGCAGAGTGGGCCATTTGTTCCAGGCATGGCTGAGCCAGGAGAAGTGGCAGCTGCCAGCAGGATCTGCACGTGGCTCCAGATCTGTTGTTTTTGGAGAGTGGATTCATGAGAGCGGAGGTGAGTCTCCCTTTGCCCTGACTTTACTGCTGGCCTATCCTTATAAATTCACCAGCCCAGAGGAGAACAGGATGGGAGACCCTGGTCAACGTTCATTTCTTCACTCATTCATTCTTTCATTCACTCAGCAAACTTAAAGCCTATTACATGCTACCAAAGACACAGCGATGATTAAGTGGTGCCCCACCTCTGAGGCGAGCATGGGAGACAAAGCCAGCACCACTCACTGACCACAATGTGGGGAGGAGTCCAGAGGCAGGGAGGAGGGGAGGAGGCTGGGACTGGGATAGTGCCAGTGGGCATGGACAGAATGGATGGGTGTGAGGTCTTTCTGGTGGCCTGTCAACAGGATTCACTGGGGACTGATTACATTTTGGAGATGGGAGAAGCTGGCGTTTGGCATGCCTGTGTGCTGGCCTGTTGCTGGAGTGGACATCAGTGCCCCTACAAACCTAGGGTTTCAGGAAAAGGAGGTTAGTGTCCACGGCTCCCCTCACTGCTGTGATTTTCATTGTTAGACTCTTCTGCTTTCTTGCTCACAGACAGAGCTGGTGGTAGCTACCCCCAGCCCTGGGAGACTCTGCTCCTGGGTCCTGGGGCAGGCAGGACTACTCAGGTGGGGTGTGTAGAATGAAGGCCCCTTCACTGACTGCACTCTCTGGGGGCTCCCCTTAGGCCTGGGGAGGAGCCTGGGGGCTGGATGACTCAGGGTGGTTCCCCATTTGGAGTCTACTGGGGGCTGTTCCAGAGCAGGATGCACTGCCCTGATGCCTATAGGAGGGAGGGCGGAAGAGGCAGCTGGATGGTGAGGGAGTGGGAGGGGACTCTTCCCTGCACAGTCCTCAAAGCTGTCCTGACTCACACCGAGCTCCCAGCAGGTGCCCTGCGGCTGGAGAGTGGCTTACCCTCTCCATGCTGCCAGTCAATGTCCTGCTCCTGCCCCTACACCCCTACAGGAATCCCTCCCTTCTCTAAAACCTATGGCTGAATAGCTCTGGAATCCTAGATGGCCCAAGTGAGTCCTGGCTCTTCCTGTTCAGATGGGTAAACTGAGGCTACAAGAGGGAAAGAGACTTGCCGGAGGCCACAACAGGCCACAGCAGAGATCCTGCATGAACCCAGAACTCTTTCTGCCCAACTGCTGTGCCTTAAAGGTGCTGTCCCAGGAGGACTGTATCTACTTCTGAGCCCCTCCCCTGTGTCTCTACTACGTGAGGGCTGCAAAGGAGGGGCGAGGCCCAGCAGATGTGCCTCTGGCTCTTGCCCTTAAGGATGAATGTTCAAACAGTGGACATATCCCATTACAAAATCAGGACATCCACAAGGGCCCTGGTGGGTTAGACTGACTGCTCGCCCTGGAGGGCGGCATGAGGGTGACAGGAGGGGAAGGGAACACAGTGGCACCAGGTGTGGTGAGCATGTCCAGGAGCCATCTCATTAATTCTCACAATGCAGGAGGTGAGTTCTGGCAACCCAAATTGCAGGTAACATGAGCAAGAAATAAATGTCTGTTGCTGTCAGTTACTGAGCAAAAGCTGGTTAGTAACAAGAGGCAAACACAATATCCTGGTCCCAGTGTAAACATAGTGTTACTGGCAGGGACAGCCATATAGAAGGAAACAAAGAGTGAGGGAGGAGAGGAAAAATGAAAGGCAAAGGAACAGGGAGAGAAATGCTAAGTGAGCCCTGCACCTGAACATGTAGACTCCCCTTTGCATGAGGAGGCCAGGTCCCCCAGAAGCAAGCATCAAGTTCACTGTTCCATGTGTGATGATCACACTTATACTCAGTATCATCATCATCATGATGATCATTGCAGCTGCCTTTTTGAGTTCCTACTATGTGGCAGGTTATTTTTAAAATATTATCACTAATCTTTACAACTATTCTACAAAGTAGATATTTTCAGTTCATCAAATAGTTATTGCTATCACTGCCCATTTATATAAGAAAGAATTGAGTCTTTGAGAAGGTACCAGCCAAGGTGATGTGGATGGGCTGGGATCTAGAGCCAGGACTGTGGGACGCCAGAGCCAGCCTCTCCCTCTGGGGCCACATGTGCTTCACAGCCTTGCTCCTGGCTCTGTGGGTGGGCCTGAGGCTGGGCTGGGCAGTGGGAGCTGGCTTTAGTCCTGGGCTCTCACATGGCTGCCTGGGGGCATGAAGGCACCACAGAAATTATCCTGGCCATGGCAGGGGTCATCACTCCCCTTTCCCGTGGGGACCGTTATGGAAGAACCCTTGACCCGAATCAGGAGAACTGCCTTGGATCTCGGTGCTGCTGCTAAGCACTGTGTGGCTTTTCCTGCCCCATCCTGGGCCTCGACTTCTCCCTCGATGAAGTAGAGGTTAGGGGAGAGCCAAGCAAATCTCCCAGGATTCTGCAAACAATCCCTTCCCCACACTGGCCCAAACCTGCTCCGAAGGCAAAGAAGCAGATCTTGTCCTCGTTCTCCCGTAGAAGCGCCATGACCCTCTTCCCCATGCGCTCATTCCTCTTGTAGATGAGCTCCTGGCGGAAGTAGCTGTCAATCTCCTGGGCCGTCACCTGCTCGTGTGGCGGGAGGGTGGTGTTGATAAAGTTGGGCAGCTGCAAAGGCAAGACAGAGGCTGCCTTCAGTTTTTTTTTTTTTTTTTTTTTTGATAAAGGGTGTTACTGTCACCCAGGTTGGAGTGCAGTGGCTCACTGCAGCCTCAACTCTCTGGCTCAAGCCATCCTCCTGCCTCAGCCTCCCAAATAGGTATGAACCACCATGACTAGCTAATTTTTAAATATTTTGTAGAGATTGAATCCCACTATGTTGCCCTGGCTGATCTCGAACTCCTCCTGGCTCAAGCAATCCTCCTGCCTTGGCTTCGCAAAGTGCTAGGATTATAGGCATGAGCCACTGCGCATGACCTGCTGTCAGTTCTTTATGGAGCAAGGTGGACTTAGGATAAGTATGCACAGCCCCAGTGGGGCTGGGCAACTTCCTTTTATGAGGCCCCTACAGTGGGCTACATGTTTTGTACATGTTTCTCATCAATTCCAAAATCCTCTCAGATAAGCATTGTTATTCCAGTTTTACAGATGAAGCAAGCAAGAGTGGAAAAGATCCAGAGATGTGCTGGCAGTGCCAGGATAAGGCCTAGCTTCTGGGCTTCCACATGTGTTGCTCTGCCTTGTGTCTCTGCCCTGCTGAACCTCAGCAGATGCTGAGGTCTGGGGAGGCTGGCACTGTGCTCATCTTGTTAACTGCTCTCACTTCACCGCCGAGCCTGGTGCTGGCAAGTACAAGGAATTTAGTTCAGCAAGAGGATGTGCAGGGTCAGTTGAGCTGCCTGGTACAGCGGGAAGGCCACTGAGTACAAGAGTAGGCTCACCCCCTGTTCTGATGCTGCGTGGCACCGGGCAAGTTACTTAACTTTTCCGAGTCCCAGCTTTGTCACTTGTAAGATGAAACTGATGATATTGTGGGGATTCAATAAGAGGATGGGGGCTGTCATGGGCTACATTCAGCACATGCCACCCTACAGAGATGAGAGAAAGGATCATCACTTTTGATTTTCCCAATGCCTGAGCCACCATCTGCTGCCACCACCAACTCCCCATCCCTGCACCACCACTTTCCAGGACATAATGCAAATGCCTCCATCCCTTTTTGAATACCTCAACCCCAGGACCATGGCTTCCCCCAAGTTGGCTTGCTCAACAACCTAGCTTGGAGCTGCCTAGGTGTTTTGCCATCACCCCACACTATACGCCCAGCCACATGGCCTGGGAACAGCATTAACAGGGTCTTGAACTAGGCAGAGAGCTTCCTGGGTTCAGGGACAGAGCTTTTGTCATTCCTGGCCCCCAACAGCCGGCACAAAGAAGGTACCCAGATTCCTTGAACCTTGAACTTAAAGTTGTGCTGTCCCTTTCTGACCACAGTTGCCCCACTGTGTTCTTCTATTCCCAACATTTTGTCTTTCCAACCTGGATAACAGGCCCAGGTGCTCCTGCACTGTCTCCTCCAATATGCACATGGGGCTGTTGAGGAAATTGAGGCAGGGAATCAGAATATACTCTCTCTTTCCTCACAACCTGTCAGTGTCATTCCAACCTCCAAGCTCCTGCTCACAGGATGGTTTCCACCTGGTGTCCCCTCTTCCACTTCTCTATCTTCACCTACCCAGGCCCAAAGCACAAGACACCAGACCTTGCAAACTGAAGGGTGAGGTGGATGGAGAGCCTGGCATGAAGAGGCTAATTTTCTACAGGATTAAGCCCCTAAATGGCCCTGCAGCCCAGCCACATGGCTTCTAGAGCCACTGCAGTGTTGTCAACACTCCTTCTGAGGAAAATGGAGTCAATGGAGGCTGAGCCCTAAGGGACTCTAAGGAGGCTAGGATATTTGCCTCTGCTATCTGCTGGCCAAGGCCTAGTGTGTTCCCCAGAGTGAGAGGAGAGGTAAAGGTACATGCACCATGGGGCTTCTCTGCCAGAAAGGCCTGACTCACCGCTCTGGGATGAACAAGACAATAATATGGCTGATGTCCCCTAACCTTGTGCAGTGCGCAACCTGGATAGCTATAGACAGCAGTGTTGCTAGTGCCCAATCAGAGTTGGCAATGGAATTCTTACTTCCCTACATACCCCCTTTGAAAGCGATAATTGGAAACCCTAACACAACAGGGCATGCTTGAACTTGATGCAGCTATGGGAACACTGACGGCTTCTGAACGGGGAGAAGCACAGAAAGCCCATGACTCAGAGGAGTTATTTCTGGAAATGTGACCCTCACAGGTTCTACCGTTCTTTAGGTATGGAAAATAATGTGAAAACTATGTTGTACCACCAAATAAATATTTGTCTAATCAGTGAATGAATGAGTGAGCTGAGGGGCCTTAGAAGTATGGGGCTATGAATGTAGGGCCTGAAGTCAGACAGCCAGGACAACTTGGGTTGGAATCCCTCTTTTGCAGCTTACTAGCTGAGTGGTCTCTCTAGAACCAGAAAGTGACTTGGCCTCTCTAAGACTAAGTTTCCAAATTGGTAACATGGGGGTAACACACATTATTGTAGGGATTAAACAAGATGTGTTTTGGAAAGTGCTTACTGAGCACTGTGCCTGGCACAAAGGAAGTCCTGAATCAATGTCAGCTATTACACAACTGGCCTGGGGATGGAGCTGGCTTCATCACTTTTCCCAGTGAAGGGTGGCTTTGGGCACAGGGTAAGGATGAAGATGACAAATAAATGGCTCTGAACCATTGGAGAGTACCATGAAGGCAGCAGTCCACTTCCCCTCTCCTTCCAAGGGTCCCTGGAACCTGAACACGGGTCCAGCCCCTCCTCCTATGCTTCCTGACCACAAATGTGCATGTACACAAAGATGATTCTCCATTTGTTAATTGGGGAGTCAAAAAAAATTAACAAGGACAAGAACCCAAAAGTGAAAGTTTAAAGCCATGAAGGAAACTGGGCTAGCTCCCCAGGCTCCAGGGGCTGGCCAGCCGCTGGCCAGCATTCTCTGCATGTTTCATGCTGATGGGCCTTGGCTCCTTGCCAAGGATGAGTTCTGGGTTTGGGCCACGGCTGGGATGGAAGCAAATTAATGATGTCATTAGACTTGTTGGGGGCCTTAAATCTTCTATGACAAGTTTAAGTGCAGGATGCACAATGACATTTTAAAGAGGACATGTGAGGTCTCCAGGGATGGGGTGATGAGGTGATTGGTTGGACAGGGCTGGGGTGGGGCTGTGGGGGATGAGTTCAGTGTAGTCTTCCCTGACCCATGAACCATGTCAGGTCTAATAGTCAAATGCTCAGGTCTGCTGACACCACCTATCTAAACTCTGCACCCCTTCCCTGTAGCCCATCCATCCAACAGACACCCTGTGGGAAATTCCATGAGCCGGGCCCTGTGTTGGGCTAGGGGGCCTGAGAGCTTCCTCAGACTGGGTCTGCTCCTCTTGATGAGGGTCACAGACTGATGGGGGAGTCACATATGCGCACAAGAACACTGATGGATATGCGCTTTGAGAGGACAACGAGGAATGTGTGAGCCCAGAGGAGGCACCTAATAGGGTAACTACGTGTCTTGGTTTGACCAGAACAGTCCAGGTCGATGGCTAGAGGAGATTGCTCCATGCCTGTTAATTATCTTGATCCTCAATTGTATCTGACTCTCAAAATTATCTGGGTTTGGACAATAAATGCATGCAGCAACTCTACACCTAAGGCAGTCTTGAGGCTCAGGCCAGGCTTCCAAGGGGAAGGCCTTTGGATCACCCTGCTGTTGCTAGGCACAGACAGTGCCAGTGGCCTGGGGGCTGCAGAGGCCAGGGATGCAGCCATTGCTGCAGGTGGGGACAGTGGAGCCAGGATGCAGGCCAAGGATGAGGTGCCCCTGGCCCCTTTCCCAGTGTTATCCACCCAGGCCTGCACCTGTCCTGCCCTGGCCTCCAGATGTTGCTTCCTCATCCTCCACATTATAGCCAGAGGCATCTTTCTGACCACATTGCTCTCCAGCTTGCGCTCTCCACCCCTCAGCATCCCCTCTTTACCCCCATCTAGGGGACCCTACTGCCAAGCCTGGTTCTCGTATCACTGTCTCCCTAAAGCCTTCAGGCAAAGGCACTGTGGCCCCACAGCCTCCGTATCCTCAGTGCCCTGCAGACTTTGAGGCCCCCAGCTACAGACACAGCCCCACCTCCAACAGATCCTCATGGGAACTGGATTCAGCCTTGCTACCCTGACACCAGGCTTTTCTGCACCTTGGGGTAGGGTTGCCTAGCCCCTCCTCAAGCGACTAGATTCTATCTGTGCATCCTTGGGGCAGCCTGGGTTGCTCTTCGAATCCAGGTGGCCCAATCCACCTACCTTCTGTCCCACTTCAAGTACGGGAACTGTTGGGAGACCTCTGAGGCAGTTCCACTTGCCAAAGGCAAATCAGTGGTCTGGACCCAAGCTCAAAGAAAATCTGAGCTTGCCTTCTCCTGAGGTCACCTCATGCCTCCGTTTCTCAGCTTAGGGTCAGCCACAGTCTGGCCAGCACCCTGTCCTGCACACTCCCGCCCTCCTGGCCACATCATGGCCAGACCATCCTAAGTCATGACCAGGGTCTCCTTTGCCACAGAGCTCCCTGGCTGCTCAGGACTCACGGGGGTCTCCCTCAGCAGATGAAGCAGGGTGGGCCTGGCCACAAAGGGGGTCACTCGTAGGTGAGATTCCTAGGAGCCTCGTGGTGTCAGGGTGCTTCTCTCCACCCTCACTTCTCTGCCACTGAGTCAGAGCTCTCGGAATCCTGAGTGTCCTGCAGCAAAGCCTCCAGTTCTTTTCTCTTTCATTCTCTATGCTGCTGCAAGGATGCCACATGCCTACATTTGCTCGGGTGACAGTCACTCACTGCCATGTGCTCTGTGCCAGGCCTAAGCTGGGCAACGGGGACCAAGATAGGCAGCACACCATCACCCTCAGGAGCTCCTGGTCGTGTGGGGGCAAGTACTGATGGAACACCATGGCCCGGCCCGGTCTGTCTGCAGGCTATACTCTCAGCACCCCTCTCCGGCTCACTGGTGCATGGTTTCCTCTGCTGGAATATTATTCCTCCCCTTGTCTATGGCCAACTCAGGTTCTTCCATGCCCTCTCATCTTGCAAAAATCTTTCCTTCTCTCCCCAGTCCCAGGCCCTACCCACAAGCCCATCTAAATCAGCCGTTCCTTCCACAGGCTCCAAATGCTTCCTCCACTCCATCCTCATAGCAAGGATCACACTTTGGTGCAATTCATTCTCGAATGTCCCCATCTTCCCTATGTGACTGTAAGCCCCTTTTCATAGCACTGTGTCTAGCATTTATAAACTATTTCATTCCTTCCTTCCTTCCTTCCTTCCTTCATTCATTCATTCAGCAAATGTTTACTGAGTCCAGCTCTGGGCCAGGGGCTGCTCCAGCCAGTTGAGATAAATCCATGAATAAAACAGACCGAACTCCCTGCCCTCATGGAGCTTATGATCTAGTAGGGAGAGCAACCAATAAACAGTCACTAATCAATGAATCAAGTAGATAGTGTGTTAGAGGATGGCAAAGGCCATGGGGAAAAAAAGTGGAGCATAATAAAGAGGGTGAGAGTGTGGTCATGCAGGCCAGGTTGCAATTCTGAGTCAGGTGGTTGGGGCCAGCCTCACTGAGATGACGAGATTTTAGTTAAATGCTGCAGGCAGAGAGGGAGTGAGCCATGGTCATACCTGGGAGAGGCATTCGGCAGAGGGAGCAGCCAGTGCAAAGGCAGAAGCTGGTGAGTTGGGTTCGCACACCAGCAAGAAGGCCCATGCAGCCCAAGTGGTGTGCAGGAGGGGAGAGCAGAAAGTGACAGGGTAGGGAGAGAGCATGGGGGCCATGCAGGCCACTGTAGAGACTCTGGCTTTCACCTTGATAAAAATGGGAAGTCCACGCAATGTCCTGAGCAGGGAAGTGGTGTGTTCTGCCTAATTCAACTGCTTCTTGAATGAACGGGTATTCAAGCACAATGACAGAGGAGGCACAAGGCCCTAGAGGTGCCTGGGAGAATGCCTGACCCTATCCAGGGGCTCAGGAAGGTTTCTCAGGAGGTGACATATGACTATGACCAAGTGGGAGGAACCCTGGAGGAGAAAGGAGCCTGAACAAAGGCCCAGAAGCTTGAAAAGACAAGGTACAATGGAAGAGTTGCAAGTTCCACAGTCTGCAGAGCAAGGTCTGTAGGGTGGAGGACCTGGGCTGTGACAAGGCCAGCAGAGGGCACGTTGTAAGGTCCTTGAATGCTGGAGGAAGCATCTTGGAATTCACCATGAGAGCAATGAATGGGGAGGCATGGTGGAGTCTGAGCAGGGGTGAGCCATGCTCAGCCCCTTGGGTTCTACTTGCTGCCCGACCAGCTGGTGACAATCTTTCCTCTGAGACTCAAATCAAAGCAGAATGCTCTGGGCTGGACTCAAGTCCAAGCTCTGAGTAACTGTGGGCTTTTCCTTCCCTGGAACTTAATTTCCCCAGATGTAGAACTGAACCTCTGAGGCCTCCCTGGTCTTACAAGCTAAGTTTCCAGAGTCCTAGGCCCCAGAGCCACATAGATCTGGCTCAAGTTGCTGCTCTTGGTAACTTAAAACTCAACAACTCATAAGCTGTGTTGCCTTGGACAAATCTCTTCTCATCTCTGAGCCTCAATTTCCCCACCTATAAAAGGGGAATAACGATAGCTCCTTCTTGCCATGGCTGGAGAGAAGATTACCTATGCCTGGCACGTCATAGGGATCTAATAAATGCCAGGTATCCAGGTCTTTGGAGAGGAGCCTCACCTGGGATGTGTCGTGGTTGAAGATGACTGCGCTGAGGTCTCCGCAGTTGTAGTGCTTGATGAGGTCCTCCGTGGTGTAGGAGGCCTGCAGGCTCCCGGCCCGCACACTCTCCTGCTGCAGCAGGGTTTGGTTCAGGGCAAACAGCACCTGGGCCGAGGAAAGAGAGAGGAATGAGGGCTGTGCTCAGGGACCCTGGCTGAGCTCTAGGACTGACCCTCCTCCCTCTGGACTTCAGAGCAACAGGCCTGAAACAGAGAAGGTGTGTGGGGCTGGCACCAGCTGGCTCAGGCTGTGTGTTTCCAGTTTCTGCTCCTGCCTCATGTCTCTGAGCACGTTCAGCCTGCTCTCACCTCCAGCCCTTTGCCCACACAGGTCCCCATTCCTGCTCTGGGTCTCAACATCTTATTAAAGAAGCAGCAAAATGAGAACCCAACTTGTGTCTGGGTTTCGGAATGATGGGTGAGTTTTTCTTTTGACTCCTTTGTGTTCCTGTGCTTAAAAGTGCATGAATTAATTTTGTAATCAAGAGCATCCTGCAAACAAAGCAACAGGACAAGAACAAAAGGCCCGGTTGGATGTCAAGGCCCAACCTAAAGGCCGCCTACCCTGGAAGCCTTCCTCACCCAGGGAAAGGCCTGAGGAGCTCGGTCCTGAACATCTGCTCTATCCTTGTATTCAGCATGCATGTCCTCAAGCTCCTCTGTCCTCGGGGCCACCGTGCCTGTGCCCAGCCAGATCTGTGGGCATCAGGATCACTGTGGGCATCAGGATCACTGACAAAATGTCAGATGCCCAGATCTCGCCCTCTGGGATCAGAGGCTCTGTATTTTTAACAGGATCCCTGCACACTTCCTAAGCAGTCTGACCGTCTCTGGCATTTGAGGATCGTGGCTCTAATGGAACACAACCTGCTCATTTTAGATGGGGACACTGAGGCCCAGGGAAGGGAAGGGAAGGGAGGGACCTGCTCAATTCACATAGCTAGGCCTGGAGCTAGTTTTAGGAGACAGAGTATCCCAGACTCCTTTGTTCAACAGAAGGGAGGAGGCTGATCATTATTTGGGCTATTTAACACAGATAAAGAGAAAAACTTGGTCCCTGTACAGAAAGTCAGGAGGCTGTCTCAGGGAACTGGTCCCTGCTGTTAGCCCAGCCTAGCCCTCAGTCTTTAGGCCCTGCTCATTCTGTCTGCACAATGCCTTGGACACCAAGTTCCCAGCCTTGTCACCCACCTCAATTCAGGCCCCAGCATTTCTCGTTGAGTCCCCTGCACCAGTCCCGCCCATCTCCGGGCACACCCCCTCCCTTCTCTTCTATACCATAGTTATCTGTCATGGTCCTCTTTTAAATGCACAAATCTGATGATTTCTCTCTCTCTCTTTTGCTCAAAACGTTCACAGGTCCCTCCCACCTGCAGGCTAAAGGGCTAGCTCTTGAGTAGAGCCTCCAAGGCAGTAACCTGGACCCTGCTATGGTCAATAACCTCATTTCTTACATGGCTTTCATGCCTCCAAATACTAAAATACTCAGCATTCCTTCAAGCAAAAAAAAAAAAATCTTCTGCCTTTGTGCCTCTGTAAATGCTGTTCCATAGGGAAATCCGGCTCCCTCGTCTCCACTTGCAAACTCAGACTTAGCTGTCCAGACTCTCCTCGGCTGTCTCCTCCAGGAAGCTTCTCTGACCACCTGGGGACTGGGTTAGGCCCCTCACTGGGGGTCCCACAGCCTCCATGGGTGGCAGACTGATAGATTAATGGCCCTAAACCTTAGCCCCTCCCTGTATTCATGCCCTTTTCCATGGAACTTTGTAGCTCCTTTCCAGTCTGACCCTGGACATCCTTCAGCCAAGGGGATGCTAGTAACCATTATAAATTCAGGCCTGAAAAGTAGTTACGTGCTGCTGATGCTGCTGCTGCTGTCTGCACCTCTGCCACTGCCCTGAGAACAATCCAGGCTAGACTGCTGGATGATGAGAGACATGTGGCGCAGAGCCGTCCAGCGAAGGCCATCCTCCACCAAGAATAGCCAACAGCCTGCCAATCCCCATACATGCAAACTAGCCCAGCCAAGATCAGCAGAGACTATTCACAATTGTCCCCAGATGCATGAGTGGAAAACTCTTATTGTTATTGTTACACAGCATAGTTGTGGTGATAGATACACCATGCTTCCTTCCACTACGGAGTGAACATTATATTGTATTTGCTGTTTAGCTACCAGCCTCCCACATTAGGCTATGAGCTCCTTCAAGACAGGAATTGTGTCGTGTTCATTTTTGAATTTGCAGCACTCAGCACTGTGCCTGGTGAAGATAAAGTGTCACTTCATTGTTTCTTTATTTCTTTGACACTGCTATGGTCACTTCATAGTTCAAGGCTGCTCATTGAGTCCTTAAATCTAGCCCCTACAACTTCTGCACTCTGCATTTTGAGGCATGCCACCACCTTGTGGCAGAAGGTCCCACCAAGTGGCAGCAGTCACTTGGTTCAAGAACACATAATCTGACCAGAAAAGCTCATAAAATAGGTGTGCACAGCCAGGCCAAAGTACTAACATAGGCAACAGGGCCAAGCGTGTGCTCATGAGATCACCTCCCTCCCCTCTCATTTTGTTCATGGCTGGGCAGGAGCGCTAGATTGCACTGGATGCAGCCCAGGCTGCTCCACCTAATGAGCTGGCTGGAGATGAGGTCAGCCCCCACCACCCCCTACCCAAAACTCCACCTCTGGGCCTTCTCCAGGCCTCTAGGCTCTGGCCGCCACCATTGAAATCTGATATGTAGCCATCTGGTGCAGGGTGTCGATGGCAGCATGGTGGCTGGGGATGGATCACAGGAGGCAGTGGCCCTGTTGCTGTGGGCATTGCTAAGGCAACAGGCACTTCCTCCCACACGGCACATGCCTCGGATGAAAGTGTCCATGTCGAGTTGATCCGCTCTCCTTCCCTGGGGGCCTGGGACACAGGCTTCCCGTGACTACACTCGGCCACTGCACACACCTGCTCCCTTGTTTCTCGGCGTCGGCTTGGCCAAGACACCACCTGACCTGTGGTGAGGTCATCGGCCCAGGCACCCAGAAGAGCTGACTGGAGGAGAAATGTCTCCCCAGGACCTTGCTCGACTCACAGAGTTGCTTCTGCAATCATGCAACCATCACAGAGCTGGAAGGTGTTCCAGTGAATTTAGTATGTTATAATCTGTGGGGTGCTAAAAACAGTCCTGGCATGTAGTAAGTGCTGGATAAGTGTTTGTTAAATAAAACTGAGAGGAAAATAGACCTAAAGCTTCCCAGATTGGAGCTGGAAGAGCCCTGGAGGTCATCTGGTCCAGAGGCTTTTCAGGCCTTTTAAAGCCATGTTCTTGCTGTTGTTTTCCAAAGGAATCTTACTTAGAACTCAAAATATGGAGAAGGTAAAAATGGAAACTTCCCTGGTTGATGTAAGGGAGGCAGGCGGGCGCCTGAAGTCTCACTAGCTCAATGTCTCCCTGCAGCAGGGACTTCTGCACCAAGGCCCTTCTGTGGAACCCACAGGTACCCTGGAGCCTAGTTTGAGAACCACTGATCTCATCCTGTGGCCTCCTCATATTAAAGAGGAGAGGAGGCTAGGGTCCAGAGCAGGCAGGATGGGGCTTGCCTAAGGCCACACAATGAGCTGTGGGCAGAGTGGACTCAACCCCAACTCTTAACTCCTGGTCCAGAACTCTGCAGTGCCCTGGACCACATGGCTGGATTTCCAGATGTCCACAGGCACAGCCCACATTCATCCACACACACTGCCACACCCATTTTTTTTTTTTTTAGAGCCTTGTGAAATAGCCAGGGAATATTTATTGTTAGTCTGTTACTAATAAGTCTGTTATTAATAGTCTATTACAAATATATAAAACAGAGGCCAGACCATTTATGAGGCCTTCCCATGTGTCACAGCAGGAGTGTGGTGGGGCCAGGACTGAAACCCAAGCCTATCATCCTGATTCTCCCTACCTCGGTGGGGTTTGGTGTCTCCCAAAGACCCCTGTCCTTCTTTTTCCTTAGACACTTATCTCACTGAATTGTCCCTGTTCTCTGCCTCTCTGTTTCCTGCTGAATCCCAATGTCTCCATTAGCAGACATTCAGGAAGCACTGCAAGAAGAGGTATGCTGATCCAGAATCATGCGCACTTTCCCTTACACCTCCTGCCCCGTACCATCATTTTGCAATTTATAAAGAAGTCTTCATCCATTCATTACCAGGATTACGATGTTTATTGAGCACTTACTATGTGTCAGGAACTTTCTAAACTCATGTTCATTTATTTAATCTTTACAGCAACTCTGAGGTAACTCTATTATTAGCTCCATTTAATTAAAAAAAAAAAACTGCAGCAAAGAGACATCAAATACCTTGCCAAAGGTGACAAAGCTGGAGAGGGATGGATCAGGCATTTGGGCCAGGCCTGGAATGTATCCTCCTAGTTAACCACTGTCCTGTAGGCCCTCCCTCTGCTCTCCCTGGAAGAGAGCCAAGAGGGATGTTGTCCGTAGTCAAAGATGGGAAACCAAAGAAGCAGAAGGGAGTGATGGGCACAAGGCCACACAGCTGGTAAAAGACAGGGCTGGGGTTTGAAATTACGTCTGGCACCGGACCAGGTTCTCACAACCAGGACTTCAGCGCGGTATGTGCTCCTTCACCAGCATCCTTGGTGCTTCCAACAGACAGAGGGAAGCTACATCCATTCATTCACAAACATTTACTTTCAGCTCCTCTCTGCAGGGATTTGAGATTAGTAGATTAATTGGACTTGGCTTCCATCTGTGCAGAGCTCATTTTAGAGGCAGATGTGCCAACTGGCCAGCACAGCAAGGGTGGTAAGTACACAGGCTTTATAATGAAGCGCCTGGCCCTGACTCCTGCCTCTCTTTCACTCACCCTGAATTCCCAAGCCTGGTGCTGCTCAGACTCGAGATGTCTTCTGCTCCTGGCCACCTTAGAATAACAAACCTTCTTTGTACATAGCCTCGGTGGCCCACTCTAGGATAATGTTTATGATAAGGCTTTGACATGGAATAACAAACATCGGGTGAAGGCTAGAGCTGCCTCTCTCACCCTGGATGGCTGTGTGGAGGCCCAGCCACCAGGAGCTCCAGAGCATCCTCTGTGGACTCCCCTCACCAACGCTGGCTGGACATGAAATGGCTTGTGGCATCTGCTGAATGTAGGCCCAGAATTTAAACACGTCTTCAAACGAGGAACTAGGAAGGAGTGAGGCAGGCGCCAGGAGGGTGGGAACAGGTTTATTGTTCCAGAGTAGTCCTGTAAACAGTCCTAGATGGGCTGGAATGGTAGACTTGAAGGCCTATGTTCACTTGATGGCCCAGCAATGGCACTGAGAAGGCAGCAGGACCCCCTTAGTCAAGAAGAGGGTTTAGAGTCAGGGTCCCTTGGGACAAGCCTGGCTCTCAGCTTGCAAGTCTGCTCACCCAACTCAAAGCCCAAGGGAATCACTGCAAAGGCCCCAATCCACTCAGCCATTCTTCCTGAGCACCAGGCATTGTTCTAGGTGCTGGGGAGTTAGCCAGGGACAAAACAGACTTTAAAAATCCCTGCCCTTACAGAGCTCACCTGCTAGAGGGGTAAAGTGAGAATACATAAATTATTAGTAAAAATACTAATATGCAGCATGTTGGACACACAACAATGGCTTCATTAAACTGGAAGTGAAGACTGCCACCCAGCCACATGGATTCCTCACACCTCTGAGTCAACAGGCAAAGAAGGGGTTACTATGCTGCCTGGAATGATTGATCCTGACTACCAAGGGGGAAATTAGATTGCCACCCCAGTGGAGGTGAGGAAGAGTGTTTCTGGAATGCAGGAGACCTTTTAGGGCATCTCTTAGTATTACCATACCCTGAGATTAAAGTCAATGGAAAACCACAACAACCCAATCCAGACAGGACTACTAATGGCCCAGACCATTCAACAATGAAGGCTTGGGTCATGCCGCCAGGTTAAGAACCATGAGCAGTTGAGGTTGTTGTTGAAAGCAAAGAGAATACAGAATGGGTAGTAGAAGAAGGTAGTCAGCAATACCAGCTATGATAACGTGACCAGTGACAGAGATGAGAACTGTAATTGTGATGAGAGTTCCTCCCTCTTTTGTTATTCATATTTGTGTGTGTGTGTGTCTGTGTGTGTGTTTCTATCTCAAATATCTTTGCTTTCTTCCCTCTCATCCCTTTATCATATAACATAAGATATATTGACTTATAGTATTTAGGTATTGTTAGCTTTACATCATATATTTAAGGTACAGGATATCAAGAAAAGTAAATGTCACCCAAAGACTTTGCATCCTCTTCTGGGGAAAGAAACAGAGCATTTTTGGTGTATGCAGGATAGCAGCATCATGTTAGGTGGAACTATGGCCATGTTATTGTCAGTATTTGGAGATTCAGTATGGTTGAAGATGTGTATGGGAGCCCAACTGAGAAGGGGTGAACTTGTGATGGTTAATTTTATGTGTCAACTTGGTTAGGCCACGCTATCCAGATATTTGGTCAAACTTTTTTTAGATGCTTCTGTGAAGGTACTTTTTAGATGAGACTCATATTTAAATCAGTAGGCTTTGAGATGCAGATTACCCTCCATAACGTAGGTGGGCTTCATCCGCTCAGTTGAAGGCCTTACTAGAAAAAATCTGACCCTGTCAAAGAACAAGGAATTCTACCAGCAGACTGCTTTTGGACTTGAACTGCAGCATCAACTCTTCCCTGGATTTCCAGCCCGCTGGCCTGCCCTGCAAATTTTAGACTTACCCACCAATGTCACCAACACTACGTGTGTGTGTGTGTGTGTGTATAAAATGTATATACCTATATATATATTTACAGAGATACATACACACATACATATATTCTATTGGTTCTGTTTTTCTGGAGAACTAATACAGAATATGTTATAGAAAAAAATAAAGCAGTAAATTGGATGGGGAGTGATGAAGGAAGGGGAACCAGCAGGTGCAAAGGCCCTGTACATATGTGAGGAGAAGCAGAGGCCAGCGTGGCTGAAGCTGAGCCAACAAGGAAGACAGTGATGGGAGACAAAGTTAGGGTTAATGAGCAAGCCCCCAATTACATGGAGCATTGTAAAGATGCTAGGAAACCATCTCACACCATAATTCTTTCAGATAAGGACTATTTCCATATGACAAACAAGGAAACTGAGCCCTTGAGGAGGGTAAAGTCACTTGCATAAGGTCCCACATTGAAGAACTAACGAGTTAGGATTCAAACTCAGGTCCAGCTGGCAGGTCTGGGTTCTTTCTGCTGTCCCTGGTCCTGGCCCACCAAGCCACCTCCACCCAACCAGCTGGTAGGAAGTACAGACAAGAAGAGACAAGTAGGGGCCAGTCTTTGAGGCCCAGGTTCTAAGCTGTCAGCTGGGAAGGAGAGGGGGTGTTAGAACTTTAGCTGTGGTGCACTGTCAGAGCTGCCATATGAGAATAAGAAAGAGGTCACCCTTGCTAAGGTAACCTCACCTGGTTCACGGCCTCCCCAGTCTGCTTTCACTGCCCAGGCTGACGAAACCTTGCTCCCTGCCCAGGATCCCCTCCTCTGCACGTCCTCTGTCTGGAAACCTCTCTCCATCTACCAGCTGACACTCCCCTTTGCACCTGGCTGTAGAGGCTCCTTCCCTCAGGAGAACTCTGAGCCATGGACTGCAAGGGTCCCCTGCTAAGTGCCCCCAAAGCACCTGACACTTCCCAGGCCAGGTACTCCCCATTTTATTACTAACACTCGTCCTTCCCGCTTGAGGATGAATGCTCTGAGGTCAGGCAAATCCTCTGTCTTCATCTTGACTATGTTCCCAGAGTGCAGTGCCCAATACACACATAGCAGCTGCTTGAGGAATGCTTGTAGGATGAATAAGTGAATGGAAAGCCAAGTGAGTCGCCCGTCACAGGACCCCCACCCTGAGCAGCTCCCTGCCAGAAGCCAGTACCTCCCATGGTGCAGAGCTGGGAGGAGCTGCGCCTGCTAGACCCTGGGCCCAAATCATCTCTCAGCACTGGGTAGGGGTGGAGGACAGCTCACTTCACAGGAAGCCTTCTCTGGCCTGGGGGACATTTCTTCAAAGGTTAGAGCTGCCAGGCTCTGGCTGAGATTTATTTATTTATTCTCCTTGCCCCATCGGCAGCACCAAAGCCATGCCGACTACCTCCCTGCTTCCTGTTCAGTATTCCGAGTCTCCTAGGCCTCCAGCACTGAATCCTGTCTCCGGACACTGGGCTACTGAGCAGCAGGCATCCAAATAAACACAAGATTTCCTGGAGCTGTGGACTGGCTCTGGGCTGGGAGCAGGGACCAGGGATCTAGTCACCACTGGACTCTTCACTACGAACCTCTGGGTGAATTATTTTCCTTCCCTGGGTCTTGGTTTACTCACCTTTGAAAAGAACTAATTTACACATTCATTGAACAAATATTTATTGAGCACTTATGTAGCAGATGCTGTTCCAGGCCCTGGAGGTATAGGAGTGAACACTGCAAATAAAGATCCCCACCCTAAAGGAGCTTTCATTCCAGTAGGAGAAAGCTGACCATAAAGAAACAAGAAGTAAACCATCCAGTATGTTGGAGAGTGATAGTTGCTATGGAGAAAATAAGGCAAAGAGGAATATAGGGTGTGTGTGTGTGTGTGCGCGCGCGCGCGCGCACGTGTGTGTGTTGGGAGTTGATATTTTATTATTATTATTTTAAATTTTTTTAGAGTTGGGGCCCTGCTCTGTTGTCGAGGCTGGAGTGCAGTGGTGCGATCTCTGCTTGCTGCAGCCTGAGCCTCCTGGACTCAAGTGATCCTCCTGCCTTAGCCTCCCAATAAACTAGGACAACAAGTTCGTGCCATCACCCCCTGCCCCCCCGCCACCCATTTTAGATAAGATGTCCAGGTAAGGTTGCAATGAGAGGTGACATTTGAGAAAAGGTCTGAAGGAGATGAGGGAGGGAGCCACGTGGGTATCTGAGAGAAGAGGGAACAGGCCCTGAGGCAGAGCAGGCCTGATAGGTTTGCAGCCAATGTGGCTGGAGATGCATGAGCAAGGGGGAGTGAGGCGACGGACCTGTGTTAGGCAGGGACCCAACAGCAACCAGGTGGCACACTGCCAGTGAGATGAGTTCCAAAGAAGTAATTTCAGCTGAAAGAGTGACTGAAGAGCAGTGATTGTCAGAATATTCACGAAGGTGTGGGCAGGCCATAGTGAGGCAGCAGGGAGTAGCTGCAGGGGGAAGCTTACCTGTCTCTAAACCTTTAGGGGAAGAGAGGGAGCAGGGATCTGGACCTGGCACAGCCACAGGCTTGAAAGGGAGCACAACTATGGCTGAGCATGGCCTGGACCACGGCAACGCCAGGGAAGGAGGAGAAGGGTGGGCGGAGGTAAGAAATATTCAACTCCCTTTCCCTTCTGCCTGCCCATCTCCTGCCAGGGAGGACAAGGCGGGAGCCTAGGTGATGCTGCGTCAGCTCATGCACAGGGTGGGGCAGGGAGAGCAGAAAGTGGATCTGGAGAGGAAAGTGGAGAATTTCCAGCACAAGGGAGAGAGGTCATAGTGAGGTGGGTGGTGGGCAGGGCCTGTAGAGCCCTGTGGTCTTTGAAGGCCTGTGGCTTCCTGCTGAGATGTGAAGTCACGGGGAGTCTGGGCAGAAGAACGTGGGGGGAGCTGTGTTGATAATGGAATCTAGGGAGGCAGGGGTGAAGCAGAGAGGTCCAACTGAAGATGAAGGCAGCTCTGCCCTCCTCCCTTCCCCTCACCACCCCCCCATCGCCCACCCAGTGCCCAGCCACAACCCAAGAAGCATGGACTTGGCCTCTAGTACAGCTGTCGCCTGCCCCGTGGACTTGGTGGTGCTGCCCACACCTCCATCTGCCCTGCAGTGGGCTGGCTGAGCTCTCAGTGCTTTCCTGGGCGGGCATCGGGAAGCCTGACTCACCCTAGCTTTCTTTCCTTCTTTTCTCTGAATGCTTAGTTTCTCCACCCAAAGACCACCCTTAAAGATCCTAGTGTTCCTCCTCTGTCCTTCAAGTCATGCCAGGAAATGCTCATAAATCCGGAGCCACCCACATGATGAGATTAGCATTCTGCTGGGTGGGTAGGGAGGCTGATGGTTGGGACTGGCTGGGGCTGGCCCAGAGGCTTGGGGTCTCCAGGAAAGGAGTTTATGTGGGGTCTGCCCTGTTGGAGGGCAAAGGGATCCCTTCGATTTTAGCTTTCAGTACAGCTAAGTCCAAGGGCGCTCAGAGATGCATATTCTGGTGCTGTGGGCTCTGACCCAGACCAGCTGTGAGACCCACTCTCTGGGCCACAGGGTTCCTCTGAAACAGGAGGGTGTGGGAGTACCTCCTAGCTCTGGAAGACCTATTCCAGGAGCCCAACATTTCAGAACATTACACCTACCATCCCATGATTTCAACAGTCTATGTTTCCAAATACTTTACATGTGGAGGCTCATTTATTTTTCTTCAGAGCCCTGTGAGGACAGCATTATTGAAAACCCAAGGCTCAGAGCAGTAAGTGGCATCCCTTGTTCCCCAGTGATGGGGCTCCATACCCAGGGCCTCCACTCTGCCCAGGCTTAATGCATCGAGCTCTCTCTGCTTCTGCTGTGAATCTTCTATTTCTATTCTTCAGTAACTACCTTTGATTTCATAAACCGAACACACTCTGTCCATTGAGGAAAATAATAAAACATACTGGAAAGTCCCAGAGAATCACCTACACCAACTTATCCTCAGTTATAAAGCTTTGAGCAACTTCAAGGTGATGGAGGAGATGACGGAAGGCACGGGTAATTATAATGTGGTAAGTTAATAATAAAACACAGAGGTTGGGGGCCTCAGAGGGGTTTCTGACCCAGCCTGGGAGTCGGTGAGGGAATCACAGGCTTCAGCTGGGCTGCAAAGATGAGTAGCGTTGAGAAGGAAAGTGTTCACCGCAGGCTGTGCATGGTGGCTCACATCTGTAATCCCAGCACTTTGCGGGGCTGAGGCAGGAGGATGGCCAGAAGTTTGAGACAGGCCTGGGAAACACAGGGAGACCCCATCTCTAAAAACAACAACAAAGAGCCAGATATGCTGTCACGTGCCTGTAGTCCCAGCTACGCAGCAGGCTAAGGTGAGAGGATTGCCTGAGGCCAGGAGTTCAAGGCTGCAGTGAGCTATGATCTTACCACTATACTGCAGCCTGGGCAACAGAGTGAGATTCTGTCTCAAAAGAAAAAACAAAGAAAGAAAGAAAAAGAAAGTGTTAACTGCAGAATGATATAGAGGAGCATGGTGTGTTTAAAGACGAGCCAGCAGTCAGGGCTGGAAGACATTCAGTAGTGGAGGGTCTTCAATCTCATGCCATGGACCATGCACTCAACCCAAGCAGCATACATGACCCTCTCTACCTGATCTTCAGACAGTAGACAAGTCACCTGTGGAGGCTGGAATGGATGAGAAATCAGAGATGAGCTGACTGAGGCCCATGGAGGGATAATGGTCTACACGGGAGGCGATCAGTCAGCGGTAGCCGTGGTTACCATTATCACTGTTATTGTTATTAAGCAGCTGCTTCCATTGGTTCGAGGCATGTCATTTTTATTTTCCCTGCTGTCTCAGACCTGCCCTGCTGACACAGCTGCCTAAACTTCAAAAGGCAAGTCTCCATTTTCATTTGCAAAATCAGTATGAAATTCCTAGAGGGCCCCTCTAATTCCTCTGGTCTGACCACATAGCAATTACCAATTTGCAGAGGAGGGAGGGGGTCTCACAGGCCCTCCAGCAGTATGGGGACCTCTGCTCTTCCTTAGTCCTGGGCAGTAGCCAAGGAGGACCGGATTGGAGGGGGCACCTCCAGGTGGCCAGGGATGGAAGGAGAGGAGTTGAGTCTGGGAGTGCTCAATACTGATGAGAGAAATTGTAACATGCCTCTCTGTTTGTCTGCTAAGCCACCGGTTACCAAGCCTTCAGAGACAAACAGCAGCTGAAAGGGCAGAGATCTGACCCAGTTTTAAACCTAGGACCTGCTACATGCAGGCTGTGTGAAGTTCTTATTCTGGCTCTTTGGGGCAGACTCTTCTCTTCTCTTTGCTGCGTCTCAGCTTACCCATCTGCCAAGTGGGGTGTATATTTGTCCTGCCTGCTTGAGACTAGCATTCTAAAAACCTTGTAAAGCAATATTGCCCTTCCTTAGGACACATACCCACACCCACACACACACTTTAAGAAATTTCTGTTCCCTAAGCACCGGGGTGGGTCCCAGTTGCAGGAGGTGTTCTGAAGAGAGGCTGGAATTCTGCATATGTGGATGAGATTTCCGTTCTCTCTTCAGTCTTCAGTATGGACTAGTGCTAGGCTCTGTGCTGGGTGCCAAGGCCATGGGACCAAATCAGTACCCTGTCCATCCTTGACAAGCTCAAAGGCAGGGTGGAGCAAGGGAGGAAGTTCCAGGAAGACTTGCGACAAGATCAAGTAACATTCATTAAGGCTGGGGCTAAGGGATGGACAAGGTGCTGTGAGAGTCCAGCAAATGTGGGGGACCACAAACAGGATTCCCAAAGGAGGTGGCTCTGGCTCTGCAGCAATCCCCTGTGGGGACACACATTTGCCACACAGAAGGGAAAGAAAAGGAATTCCAGGCAGTGTCAACAGCCCATGCAGAGGAATGGGGGCTGCGGTGAAGCTGGCATGTTCAGGGCCGTGTCAGTGACGGCAGGGGCTGGAGTGCAGCCTGTGGCTGGTGGAGGTGGACATGGGATAGACCCAGAGCAGGGAGTCGAGGTGGATCTGGAGCTCAGACTTTACTCTACGGACAATGGGATGCCACTGAATTTATTAAGGAGGGAGTGATCATCAGGCTTTCTCTTTAGAAGCTGCCCCTGGCTGCTGTGTGGAGAAAGGCTTTGAGGACACTGACTGTAGCAGGAGACATTCTTGGCTCTGGACAAGGAGAGGTGAGAAGGCCCCACTTGGGCCCCAGGGGCTTTGGGGAGGCATGGAGGAAGGGAGGGGCAGATTAGAATTCCAAATCTTTCCTGGCTTGCATGTTTTAGAACTCTCCAACTCAGGGCTCTGAGGCTTTCCTATTGCCCATTACTGCCCCCGCTCTCCTTCCCCGACTTTTGAATCTGGGCCCTCCCCACTCCCTTCCCTTTTAGGAATCCTTGAGCCCCACTTGAGGGAGCGGTTGGACAAATGCAGATGAGACCCAGAATGGCCGGAAGAAAAGAAGACTGCGTGGGACCCGCCTGGGACTCTGTGGTGCTGACAGTCCAGGGAACAGATACTCCTCCCAGGGTGCATCAAAGGAGACAGCTGCGCAGAACTTGGCCTCACAGACAAAACTAAAATGCAGTGCCAACTTCTGCTTTTTGCCTGTCTGAAGTCACAGGAGACACTTCCTGGCAACAGGATGGGAACACTGGAGACTCTGGCACTGCAAGAGACGGTCAGGCGAGGGAGGGTCCTTAGATCCTGCATGGGGCTTCTCGTTGTGCAGAGAGAACACTGAGCCCCAGAGAGGGCAGCAAAGTGCCCAAGGTCACACAGCAAGCCAGGGGATGCAGAATAAGGCAAGAACAAGGGATCGGTCTGCTTCATTTGGGCAGCTCGGGTCTCCTATGCTCCCTTATCCCCTCCTTCCCCCTACCACAGAAAGGGAAAATGTTTTTAGACCCAAGGCAAAAGAATGTGAAACTGAAATCTGAGCCTTGGGTCTTGGGAAAAGAACACAGAGAAGTCAGACACATTCTGGATGAGCACAGATCTGCTTACACTGCAGATGGGAAATACTCAGGGCTATCCAAGGCCTCCTTGTTGTGCAGGTCTGACCTGGGAGGGCGGGCTGTATGTGAGGCGATGAGAGCAGACAGGGGCCCTTGAAGGAGCAGGTTAAAGGGGCCAGTCTGCTTCCAGGATCCACCTTGGGCAGAGGGAGGACTGCTCCAGCCTTTTAGCTCCCTGCCCAGAATCTTCTCAAGGAGCCTCAGGCTCATGCAGGCATTCCAGCATGGACCTGCCACCAGGGACCCACCAGGTCAGAAACAGGGGTCCCTGCTGGCCACCACTTGTCCACAGCCCAAGCATCCATCCTGCCCCACCTGGAAGCTCACCTCCTCCAAGAAGGCCTTCCCTTCTGCTCCAGCCTTTATTTGTCTTCCTCTTGTGTGAGCTCCTGCAACCGGGAAGCACAGCTGCAGGCCAGAGCTTCTTTCAACCTGGAGTGTCTGGGGCTCCAAGTGACTGAGGGTTGTGTAAGAATGTGTGTGCACACATGTGTGGGCAAGAGAGAGGTAGAGATGGTGACAGAGATAGATAGATAGATAGATAGATAGATAGATAGATAGATAGATAGATAGATAGAAATAGAGTCAGGAGTGTGGACTGTGCTTTGTGTTATCCCAGCCATCAAGAGACCCAACCACAGACTTATATTCACACATGTAACAAGCATATGTGTTTGTTCTTGGTCAGGTGCTGTGCGGGGGTCCTGGGGAGACTGAGATTAATGGGACTTGGTTCCCTCCTTCCTGACACCAAGGAGCCCCATCAATCATTCTCCATGGTCTGGTCTTAGACTGACTTGCCAGGCCCTTTGTGATCTGGTCTGGCTGTTTTTGTGTCTTCAGCCTCACCCCCTTCCCCTCTCTCTCTTTTACTTTTACTTCTTGCTGCTGGAGGGCATGCACACAGTGATCTCAGGCCCTGGGGCCCGGGGTCTGGGCTGCATCTTGAATCCTGAGCAGCCCTGACCTGAGGTAGGGCCCACTGGTCTTGGCCTAATGGGGAAAGGGCATGCTGTGTGTGGGTGAGACCACGGCACTCTCCCAGGCTCAAATTCCCCATGGCTCCCCTCTGCCCTGGGAATAACCATGAACTTCTTCAACATGGACTCTCAGAAGTACTTGGCAGGGACCTGTCTGTCTCTCTGGACTCCTCCTGCTCCCTAACCTCCTTGCTTTGGGTTTTTACTGCCTTCATGTGCCGCCCATATAGTTTTTTTGAATGTGCAATTTGTTTCCTGCTTCAGGACCTTTGCACATGCTGGTCCTTCTGCCCGGTATGCCATTCCCATCATCTCTCCCCTTTGCCTCCTTAACTTGTAATATTTCAGACAGTTGCTCAAGTACCACCTCCTGCACACTCCTTCCCTGATCCCCCAGATCCACTCAGGGGCCCCTGTTTGAAGCTCTCCTACACCCTGGACTCTTTATTCAGAGTACTTATAATGGTTTGTCTTTATATACTTATGAGGTTAATCATTTGTTCCATGACAGGGAGTATGTGAAGTTTGTCACAAGTATTTCATTCAAATCCTGCCAACTCTGTGAGGTGGTTCTCAATTTTATCCCTATTTTACTGGTGAGACAAAGGAGGCACAGAGAGGTTAAGTGACTTTCCTGAGGTCACACAGCAAGTAAGTGGTGGATGAATGAAAATAGTCTAGCAATTTTAGCCATGTGCCAAACAGTCATCTACCGACTTCTCTGCAGATGTAACGAGAGTGGGGGCTATGTCAGCTTTACTCATTCTCGTATCCCAGTACCTAGTCCAGGACCTGCCATTTGTAGCCACTCACTAAAGGGAAAAAGGGAATGGAGGAAGGAAGTGGGAAGGAAGGAAGGAGGGGAGGAGTGGCTGGTGTGCCAGCTGTTAGAGAGATATCCTTGAGCAGCCTTTCCTAGAGGGGCGGCCTCCAGAGGCCATGTTTTCCATCCCCCCCAACACCCCTGCCCCAGCTCCTGGATCCAGGAGAGCCAGTGTTCAAAACCAGTCAGTGTGCTTTCTCAAAAGAGGATGGAAGGAGCACACTGGGAACCCAGATGTGAACCAGAGCACTCCCATCTGGGTTCCCAGTGTGAAGCCAGGGCAAAAGCAACAGAACCTCGGGATTGGGGGCCCTGAAACGGTGCGTCCAGGGGTCCTCAGCTGTGGAACCTCCCTTTTCAAAATACCTCCCCTTCCCTCTACCTCCAACTCCCACCTCATCTCCTTGGGGAACATGCCTCAGCTACAGGGAGAGACATGTCAGTGTAGTGACAGGGAGCTCATCACCTGCCTGGCTGCTCCATGCCCTCTCGGGGCACGGATGTCGGCTGTGAAGAGGACCTTCCGTCTCTGGTCCTGAAATCTGTCCCCAGGAGGCTTCATCTCTGCTGGGGGAGCCCAACTCCACCCAGCCTGCTCCCAGGACTGATATCTGCTCCTCTAGGGATGAGGGCCCAGTCCCTTCACGGGCTCCTCGCAGGACATGCAAGGAGGCCTCACTGCTCTCTCTTGTGGCCAGACTCCCACCATCCCCAGCCACACCCAGACCGAAGCTGTCCAGAGCCGCTCTCAGGGGCCGTGGGCCCAGGAGCAGGCCTGGGAGGTCAGCAAGCCTGGGAGGCTTCCACCCCAGCTCCTCCACCCCCGTTTGAAGGGGATCAGGTTCCCCCACAAACATAATTGAACGAAAATATGAGAGAGAAAAGGTCTTTGTTCTCCCATTTACAGCGTCAGAAAATATGTAACAAATTAGCCGTTTATGAGGTAAGAGAGCAGGGCTGTGTGCCGCCGCGGAGAGGCAGGGCTGCGCATAAGGGGGCCTTTCAGCCGGCTTCAGGGGGCGGCCAGGCGGGCAGGCGTTGCGGGGGACCGGCTCTGCCCCAGGCCTGCCAGTATGGCCTGGCACCCATGGGATGGAGGGCTGGGAGGCCCTGGTTGACCTCTGGCTTGGACTCTGGGTGAGGCTTGGCAAATGGGGACGTGATGCCCACCAGCTCATGATGCACACAGCTCTTGGAAGTCAGATGGCCAGGATGGGGAGTGGGGACCACAGGGCTTGGCTCCCAAACATGCCACTCACCTGGTCCCCTGAGTAACCCCGAGTCCTTCTTCTCCTTCTTGGGACCTGTTTTGCCATCTCTGACAGGAGTGGGGTGTTCACAATGATATCTAATAGTTTGTCCAATGCTCTTGGGGCACCAGTGTCCAACTGCACGGACTTCAATATCTTCCCTGCTGGTTTCTCTGAAACTTAGGAGCTGGGAGGTGGTTCTTGGTATTACACATGACTTTCCTCTCAAACACCTTTGATTTCTCTTCCAAGGTTTGATGAAGAGTTCCAGCGGAAGCATCAGCCAGTCATTAATTCCAGGGGAGGGTGCACGTGGAACCAGAAGGGGTGGCTGGCCAGGCAGGAGGCTGTCCCTCACCAGGGAGAGGAAAGAGCGCTCCTCTCTCCAGCCTTGCTGTGGCCTTTAACTTGCTTCACTGGGTGTCCAGAATCACAGGCGGGTGGAATGACAGCAGTTTGAATGACACCTGGTAGGCAGACAGTTTGGTATTGAAGTGCTGGGATTTCACATCCTCTGGGTTGTCTCGCTGTGGCTCCGATGCCTTTGACGTGAACAGCTCACAAGTCCATCACTCGCATTCTGTGGCGTCTGGCCATCTCCCAATTTGGAGTTTCTGATTCTGTGGTTAGACCTTATGTTTCCAGGGCCTGGGCTTTTCATTCTTTCTAATTTTTTAAAAATGTATGATTATTGTCTAGAGACATTATTTTTAAAAAGTATAAACCATCCCAGTGCTGACAAGCCTGTTGTGGGGAGGACTCAGCGTGATAAGGCATCTCAGGGTGCTGGCATTTAGCCTCCAATACAATCTAGCAGGGCTAGGGCACAGGGCCAGCGGCCACCCTGCAGGCTCACAGGGACAGGATTCCGCTCTGCAGTTAGCCCCAAGGATGGGACTCTCCAGCACTTTTCCCTCCAGTCGCTCCAGGGCGGGAGGATCACGGCCCATGCCAGTGGAGTGTAAGGAACCCCCTGGAAAAGCGGGGCGCTTGAATATCCTGAGTGTTTGGTCTGCAGTCACCAACACATCGCTTTCCTGGATCTGATTTTATTTATTTTGATTGGATCTTTAACAGCTCTTTACAAGGCTGAAACCGAAGCCGCCTGAGGTCCCCAGGAGGCTTGCTAAAACTTCAACTGCACCCAGTTTAGCAGAGCAACTTGAAAGTTAATCAGCGGTGAGGGACAATTTGCCTCATTATTTCCAGCCCTGGAATTTGGCGGCAGATGGAATTTGGGGCCTGGTGTGGACACGGCAATGAACACAGCAAGGACTGTCGCCCCTTGGTATGGCCTTGTGGGGTCTGGGCCTGGATGGGCTGATACTCCCTCTGAAGACGGGCGGTGCCGGGAAGGATTTCCCACTTGAGAGAACAAGGGCAATCAGGCTGCCCTATCTCAGGTCCAGGCCAGTGTGGAGTAATCCTTAGATACACAGTTCTGAGCACGTATTCGGGCTGAACCCTGCACTGGATTCTGGGGAAACAAGAGTGGAATCCGATACAGTTGCATCCAATATAGGACGCAGACCAGAGACACTGGGGTAAATTCTCACAGGAGAGGAACACCTGTGGCTGGCACCTTCTGCATGAATCTGCGAAAAACAAATCTGCCCCACTTGCCCTCACTTTCTCAATAAGGTCCACTCAGACCCTTGACTTTAATGTTAACCCCCTCCCAGGCACTCCCACCTCCACACTCTGCCATACTCTCCACAGCACATAGCACTGACCACCTTCTAACACACTATGTTAGTTCCTCACTTATCATGTTTATTGTTTATCACATCACCTTCCACAGGAAGGTAAGACCCTCCTTCCATGAGGGCAGGAATGTTTGTTTTGTTCATTAGTCTATCTCCAGCCCCAGCACATATGATGCACTCAATAAATGTCGTGTGAACAAATGAATGAACTGTGTGGCCTTTTATTACCTGTTACCAGTCCCAGGCCCTCCTATGTAAGTCCAGTCCCCCTGAGCCTCCATCCTTTCAGCAGCAGGGTGCTGGTGCCTAGGGAGAAGGCAAGGTGGTGCTTACACAGCAAGTGAAATTGCTTACTTTACAGAAAAGCTCAAAGAGGGGCAGGGGCCTGTCCAAGGTCACACAGCACGAGAACACATGTTTAGACAGACCGTGGGATATGCCTGGGCCTGGCCTACCTCAAGCTTGGTGAGGTACCAGGAAAATGCGCCTAAAAGGAAGAAGTGGAAGCTCTCAGTGAGGTCAGCAGCGGTGGGCAGGGCTAGGGCCCCTGGCTACCGGGGCATCCTTTCCCACCCTGCTTTTTTCCCCAGCCAGCCCTATGCCCTCACTGCTTCCAGCACCCTGTGTCCTGTGACTCAAGGGCCCACTTTCCCCTGTTGGTCTCATGTCCGTCCTCCATCAACAGGTGGGAATAGCAACGTTAAGGCAACAGATACCATTTATTCAATACTGAGAAGTTCACACACACCACACACACACACACACACACACACACACACACACACACAAAATCTTACTTACTCTTCCCATAATCCATGAAGGAATTATTATTTCAGTTTTTAAAATAATAAGACTACGGCTCAGAGAGGCTGAACAAGTTGCCAAGGTCACTCAGGTAGTAGCAGGAAGTTCTGACCTCAAAGAGTTCTTTCCTTCCTCCTGGACGTTTGGACACCCACCGTCCTTGCATCCTCTGGGCATCTGTGTATCGTGATGGTGCCCCTGTCTGGGTTCCCCTCCCCTTGATGCTGTCTTGCAGACCGCTCCCTGCAACATGAGCACAGGCTCTCACCCTCTGAGCTGAAACGGCCTCCTGTTTCTCCCAGTAGTGTTCCAGAAATGCCAGGGCATCATTTTCACATGATGGTGCTACAGAGGCAGCAAGCCAGTCAGTGGCACCCACCAGTGGCTGTTCTGTATAAGGCTCTGTGCTATGGAGTCTTGAGAGGTGGACAGAGAAACATATTAGCAGTCAGAGGCCCTGGGTTCAAGTCCCCCTGAACATGGTTAGGGACAATCAATTCACCCCTCTGAGTGTTCCATGTTCTCATCTGAAAAAATGGATATAAGAAATCCCAGGACTGTTTGAGGAATGGTAGGGGCCCACAGGAGTCTGACTCAGCTACAGGACTTGGCTGTGGGAGCAGAAATGAATAGCCCCAAATATCAGGACTGGAAGGAACCCGATTGTTTCTCCAGGGCGGGAGTTGCCCTGGCAATGCCCCTGACAGGCAGATGCTCAGGGCTGTGCCATGCCTCTGTGGCAGGAGCTCAGTATCCCCAAAGCAGCCTGCCACATCCTTGGACCACTCCCACATCTAGAATGCTTTTCACACTGAGCTTGACCCTGCCTGCCTGCCTCAGTCCAGCCCAGTAGCCCCTTAGAACTTGTCTGCACCCTGTGATCCTGCAAAGGCCTGCAGAGATTTAGGGCAGCAACCACCAGTGTCAGCCAGTCCTTCTCCAGCATGGATTCCAGGATGCCCCTCAACCCTGGTCACCCTCTTTGTACACCCTTCAGGCTGTCATCATCCCTCTTCAAAAGCAGCAGATGCAGACATTTGAGGAAAAAAATTATTCTACAGGGGGTGGAACAATGAGGCACTGCTGATTAACTCTCAGCCAACCAGAAAATGTAACTGCCTACCCCTGGAGCACTGGGTAATGTGTTCTCTCGTAGACATTCACACAGAGACGTGCACAAACACGTGCATGCACACACTCTCAGTCATATTCATACTCTAAAACACACCACTGACATCTTACACAAAGGTACGTTTCATGTACAGACACAAATAGATGCACACAGACCTCTAGGCACATGTGTGTACACGTACACACACACACACACACAAACACACATACACTCCTCCAGTGGAGATTCAGCTCACCCCCGAGGCCTGACCGATCCACTACACATTGCTTTGGGCTCTCTTCCTCCTTCCCACACATCTGTGGGCTCACTGTCGGGAAAGAACTCTCCACCTTTCTACTCTGGGCATCTATAAGTCCCAGAAATTAGGCCCCTGCCTGGTTTTTAGGTTCTGGAGTGAAGTGCAGATACCACCTCAACTATCTTGGGACTCAAACAGGCTTTTCAGTACAGTGCCTGCTGAGCTCTGAGCTTCCCTGTCACAGGGGTGATGAGGGGAGGGGGGCAGGTAGAGAATCAGGCTGTGGAATCAAATTTTCTGGCTTTGCCACTTGCTCACTCTGTGACTCTGGGCCAGTCCCTTGACCTCACTGATGGCATTTTCTCATCTGTAAAATGGGATGTCTTTCTTGCAGGGTTGCTGTGAAAGTTGGAGCTAACATACATACTATGCTTTTCATTTGTTAATAACTCTTTTAATCCTATAAGGTAGCTACTCTTATTATCCCCATTTCAGAGATGAGGAAACAGAAGTTAAATCACAATACATGGTTGTGATGATAATTTGTAGCATTGCCCTTTCCCAAGATGCCTTTACATTTTAGTTCTAGCAGCTGAGGGTCAGGACACGAGTAATAAGAACACACTTGTAAGCACTAGCAACTCCTGATCCAGGTGGTCTCGTAGAAGGCTGTGGTTCCATCCAGCATGTCATCCAGAGAGAGTGCCACCTGGCCACACCCTCAGCTCCTGGATTATCTGAGTACCTCCAAGGTGCCATCTTCCCTGAAGGCCTCTCATTCCAGGGGTGGACTCCTTCTCCACCCTAAGTGAAGAGTGGTGATGGGGACATGATGCTGGTGAGGCATTCAGGGCACTGAAGTGAGAGATGGGGCCGGCCTGGCAGATCCATCTGTGTGATAGGGTCTTGCTGTGCTCATGCATCCCCTGGGACGCCACAGGTTCTTGCCTGGAGATCTGCTGCAGGCTGGGAAGGCAGAGGTACTGAACATGTAGCTGCATGGGGGAGGCAGACGGCAGAAAGTCTGCCAAGCTGCTGCAGTGTCAGCACATTCTTGGAACAAATGCACTGAAAGGCTGGTCCTCCGATTCCACTTCCAAGTGAGAATCAGGACCTTGCTGTCCCAGCAGGTTCGTGCCTGGGTCACTGACTGGGGCTGGAGGCTTCTGGGGGAAGAGGAGAGGCTTCAGAGCTCTGCCAGCTGCCATTCTACAGAGGCAAGCCCCTCCGGCCCCATCTGGCCTCCCTGACCCAGGGCGCTGGCCTCTGATTGCATTCCCCTAGTGACAGGGAGCTCATTAGGGCCTGGGGCTTTGGGGAAGGTTGTTCCTCTGTAGGCATGCCTGGTTCTAGAGAATGGATATGTGTGTTTGCTGGGGCTGTCAGAGCAGGGGGAGGTGCAGACAAATGGGGAGGAGAGAGGCACATCCTTGCTACAGACTGAGAATGGGGTGGTGAGAGAGAGGCCTTCAGCCCGGCTGAACAGGAAGGCAGAGACTTTGTTACAGAGCAGCAGCATCCAGGCAGCCGAGGCCTGTAAAGATCTTCCTTCTAGTCTAACCCTCTGGGTTTTCACAAGGTGGGACCAAGGCCCAGCATCAAAGTCTGTCGATTCCTACTTCAGAACTCTTTCTGTGGGGTAGCCATGAAAGGGGTGAGATTTGAGGGGCTCCAGGAATCACTACCAACATCAACAGGGCTCTTCTGGGGCCTGCCTGCAATGGCTCCTTGCTCCCTCTGTTTGGAAGGTTGTAGGTGCCTGATAATGTGGACAGCTTCTTGGGTCCCCTGCTTGGGGGAATGGGTGTATCCCAAGCCTGGAGGCCTGATCGCTGTCACTGGCCTTCAGAGGAAAGTTGGCAATTCTCTCATCCTTCCTGAGCCTGGATTTCCTCACGGTGAAGTGGGGGCTGCTCCTATCTACTGCACAGGGTTGCTGTGAGGGTCAGTGACACATAAGGACATCACCCAGCACAGAGCCAGGCTCGCTCGTGTCCTCTTTCCTCACTCCTTTTTTTGGAGAAGGCAGTGTCTGGGCAGGCCCAGCTCCTTAGGCAACACAGATGGGTAAATCCAGTTCCCGCCAGTTCCACAGAGGCAGGTCTGGGGGGAATCTTTCAGCAACGTGAGTTACCAGCGCCCCCTCAACAGCCTGCAAATTCAACCCTGACTCTGACGCCCACCTACTGACCACTCACTTTGTGCTGTACATGCCCTTCATCCCATGCTGTAACTGGTCAGACTGGTCCAACAAACCTGTGGGTGGATGGGGTTAACACACCCACTTCACAGATGAGGAAACTGAGGCCCAGGCACACAGTTCACCTGGTAGGCAGAGGAAGTGGCACTCAAACCCATGTCTGCCTGACTTCAAAGCCCATGCCCTATTCATTCTGATCTCAAACTTGCTGGAAGCAGAGGACACAGGCAGAGAAGACCTTTGTGGGAGAGAGGCCCCACAACCAAGAGGCTGAGAGCAGGTGCAGGATGAATTATTGAGGGTGACATTCGAGGCTCCTGGCCCTTTAATAGTTCCTTTCCTTCCTCTGTGTTCCATTGTTTCCGGGCCCAGAGCTGCCTGTGGAGCTGCTAATCATGGGCAGTTACCAGAGTGGCACATCATAAATAGTCTGTAAAGGGCCCAGGGAGCTCAGCCCACACCCTCAGAGCCAGGCAGCACCCTCCAACATATGCATATTCACACGGCTGCCCACAGGAGGAGGCCAACTTGGCCAGCACAGCCCTGGCTTTGCACTGTCTTCTTCATGGTCAGAAGTCCCTGCGACGAGGATGAACCGCCAGCCCAATTTTACCCACGGGGGAATCTCAGGCTCAGAGAGAGGGGTGACTTTGCCAAGGTCACAGAGCGGGCTGTGGGAGGAGCAGGGACTGGATGTCTTTGTTTCACAGAACAACATGAGCAGGAATAAAGGCAGGCCCCACTGTGCTTTCCAAAGCTCTTCCAAATCTGGGGTCTCAATAATTCTCACAATAGCCATTTTGCAAATGCAGAGAGTCAGGCTCAGAGAAAGAAAGTCAAAGTCCATCATGAGCCCTGCTGATGGAATTACCTTCCCACAGCACAAATCCAACAGCACTGCCTTGCTCCAAAGCCCCGTGTGGCTCCCACTGCCTCCTTATCCTCCACAGCCTGTCACCTCCTTTTTACATTCACTGTCCCCTCATTCACACCATGGTTCTGAAAAGCCAAATAACAACTCATGAGTCTCCCAAGACCCCATTCTCTTTTACTCCTCCACACTTCTGTTAAGCTATGCCCTCCACCTAGAAGGGCCTCCTGCCAAACCTCCACCTGGCTGACACCCACTTGCACTGAGCACCCATCATTCTTTACCTGTGGGATTGGATGCTGAGCTCTGCCAGGGCAGCATCCTTGGCACAGTTCCCAAAACCCAGCCTGGTGCGGAGTAGGTGCCCAGAAAGGCCCTCACTTCAAGAATCACTGTCTATACTCTCAGAAGGCACCCACCCTCCCAACCCTTAGTTCAGGAGGTTCAGGAAATCCTCAGGGTGGGCACTGAGCCGGGAGGAAGTGGCTGAGTTCCCAGCATGTAGTTCTACTCTTAAGGAAGGGAAAGCAACTCCCTGAGGCTCTAACAGTGTGTAGGGCCTTGGACTGGGAGTCAGGAGCCTGGGTTCATGTTCTGCCTCCACCACTAACTTGCTGTGTGGAACTGGGCAAGTCACCAACCCTTGCTGGGTTTTGGTTTCCTCATCTGTTCAACAGGGAGAGGTTAGAGGTTTCAACAGAATGGAGACCAGGTCTGTTTCCTCACCAATGCAGGTCCCCCATGCCTGGCAGATGATAGATGCTCAGGAAACATTTATTTACCCAATGGCAGTTGGGCAAGTGAGGTTGGAAGGTCGCATGTAGTTTGAAAGTCTAGCAGCCCAACTGGCTTGAAGGGGACTGTGGTGAGCTCCATCCATCACACATACATCAAGGCAGAAGGGCTGGGCTGGAGCTGAGCCACAGACTTAACTGTGGTCAAAGGAGAAATACCTATCTTTCTAGTTGAAAGGACATTTCTAATTTTACCATTGTGTTTGGTTGTGGTTTAGCTCATGACATATAATTTATTTAATATGAAATATATTTAAGTGGGGTGCAAATCTGGGGTCTCACTAATTCTCACAACATCATTATATCATATATCATTACACATGTGATATATAATGTATTTTACATATGTAATTTATTTTAAAATATATATTTATTTCAAATAAATAAAAGAGAGTTTGAGCTGCTCAAGTTGCATTAAAAGGAGCCATGATGTTAAACATACAAAGAGTTGAGAAACACTGTCTTGGGTGAAGGGACGTTTCTAGGAGCCATTTTTTTGGTGGTGGTTTGTTTTTTTTGAGACAGGATTTCACTCTGTTACCCAGGCTGGAGTGCACTGGCGTGATCATAACTCACTGCAGCCTCAAACTCCTGGGCTCAAGCAATCCTCCTGCTTCAGCCTCCCGAATAGCTAGAACTACAGGTGCGTGCCATCATGCCTGGCTAATTTTTAATTTTTAGTGGAGACGTGATCTTGTTATGTTGCCCAGGCTGGTCTCAAACTCCTAGCCTCAAGTGATCCTCCCTCCTTGGCCTCCCAAAGGGTCAGGATTACAGGTGTGAGCTACTGCGCCCGGCCTAGGGAGCCATTCTTGGAGAAGATGATGTTTAGGAAGTCATCGGGAAGTACTGGGGCAGGACTCTTGAGTTCTATTTCTGTAGTGACCCCCACACACTGTGGGGCCTAGGGCAAAGATGGGGAAACCTTTGGGGCCTCATAGTCTGGCTCTGCCAAGGTGTCCACACTCCATGGAGGACTGAGTATGAATGGGTGTGTGACTGTAGGGTGGGGAGGGCGAGGATGCAGCACGGGCCTCGCTGGGGCTGCCAGGGATGCCACCCAGACTCTTTACTCCCTGTAATGCCATCTATCCCAGCAAGCTCCCCAAACTCAGCCTCCGGCTCACAGGGTGTGTAATGGAGGAGACAGCCAGGGAATTCCCCAGCTCATCAGCTCAGGGCTCCGGAAACATGAATGCATCAGGGAAATCTGCAGGCAGTGCCGAAGACACGCTTGATTTCTCAAATCGAGAGGCACATTTTCAGCATCTGCATGTGCTCTGCAGTGGGACCACCTAGGTTGGAATGCCTCTGTCTGTGTGGCCCATGGCAAGACCCTTATCTCTCTGCTCTGCATGCAGGGCCTTTAAATTGCTGGGACATGAAACATTTGGGGTGGAGCTGGCCAAGGGAGCTCCTAAAAGATCCAGAGCCTGAAAGAAGCATTTCCCTCCCTTCAGATTCACAGCACCTGACTTGTCTTGTTTGTGTTGAGGTCAAGGCCCACAGCCCTGAGGAAACAAACGGCAAATTGAGAAGGGGCCTATTAGGGAAAAATAATCAGAACAGCCACTTGTCACTGCTCTGAGAATGGGAGCTGAGGCCCCAGCAAGGGACAACCACCAACACTTTGGCCCACAATGAGGTACCCCCCTTTTTAAACAGGAGGGATTTAAACAAGGTTTGAGTCCACTTTGGCCCACAATGAGGTACCCCCCCTTATTAAACAGGAGGGATTTAAACAAGGTTTGAGTCCACTTTGGCCCACAATGAGGTACCCCCCTTTTTAAACAGAAGGGATTTAAATAAGGTTTGAGTCAAGCTGAGCCACCACCACCTGGGGACAGCTACTCCAAGGCTTAGTCAAGTGAGCTTGGATGCAGGGGCATAAAGGGGTGGGAGTCCAGCAAGGTCAGAAGGCTTGGCCACCCTTCAGCCCGGGCATCTCAGGCTAGGATCCTCAGTTTCCTCCTGTTAACTGGGGACAATGAGCCCTTCCTTGCAGGCCTGCCTGAGGTATTAACAACATACATACAAACGGGAGCATAAGGGCTCAGTCCAGGGCCACACACAGTAGGTGCGACCTAGATAGCCGATGTTTCCTCCTTCTCTCTAGGGCTCCTGGGTTCTAGCTCTCACCCTCTGTGGTCCCACCCCCATGGGCAGCACTGTCCCCCTCGCTGGCTGGTCCTTGGAATTCTGAAGTCTTCCAAACTCCCCTCCTTCCTCACAAACAGGCTCCTGAACTGAAAATCCCCCACCAAGTCCCTGGCGTCCCCCTATGTGGGTGAGGGGGACAGTATAGGCAGAGGGGTGAGTGGCGACCACATCACTTGCCCCTCCTGTCTTCCCATCCCCTTTAATTGTGCTAGAAAGTCACTGGGATTTGACAGTGCACGAGGGCCGCTCAGTCAGCAGCTGCTGCAGCCTTTGAGGAACATATGACCTACGGTTTGTAGAACAAATAATAAAGGAAAAATACTCAGCAAATGATTCCCTTTTGTGGCCAGAGCATGCCGAGGCCAGAGGTATAAGTCCCTTTGGTCAGGAACTCTAAGTGGCCCCTTGTCAGGATTTGGGTTCCCAGAGGGGCTTCTTCATCCTCAGCCTCTCTCAGAAGCTGCCCCTGGTATTTCCTATTGTAGATGGACTGAATTTAACCCAATAGCAACATTGGGTGAGCCTCAACATTAAGCACCCACACCCTAGAAAGTGGAGCCCTTAAAAGATCAGGGAGTTTTAGACTCTCACGTGACAGGTGCCACCTAGAGCGGTCTCACAGCACACAGGTGGCAGAGGCAGGGCTATGACCCAGCCCCCTTCCCCACGAGCCTCTCAAGCTCCACAGCCTGCCTCCGTCCTGTGCACACCTACTGTGCGTCTGCATCGGCCAATGCTGCGGATGCAGGAACCATGGCTGGAGGACAATGCTCTCATTTGATGCCTACCCTGAGCCTGTGATGTGGGGAGGGCAGGGAGGGTCATTACTGCTGAGGAAACTGAGGATGACTGGCCCCAGGGACCCCAGAGAGGTCCTGTGCCTGACTTGTCTCTTATGTTGGGACATCAGTATGGGTCTGGTCTTGGCTTTTCAAATGCTTACAAGAGGCTAATTTTAAATATCCCAGGGGACAAGAAGGAAGGAATGTGCTGGCTTCTCAAACCTCGAGCTGCCCATAGAGTTCTTCTTTCAAGGAGCAGTCTCCAGCCAGTTCCTGGAGGGGCTTCACTTACCCCCACTCCCCTGGGAGAGGGGCTCAGTTAGGGCAGGCTGTGAGCGGAGCCCAAGTGTTTAGAAGCTGCAGCTTGAAGAACCTGAGGTTGCAGCTCAGCTCCTACGCAGCCTAGGAGTGACTGCTGGCATATCACTCCTGTGCGCTAGACTCCTCACTGTCGATGGCGTGCATAATCCACATCCGTCTGCAGGAGCAGATGCCCTGGGCTGGGGTCAGCCCGGACTCCATCCTCTCCATCACCACTCCCTGCCAGATCCCCAAGCCTACCTCCCAAATCTTCAACCCAGAACTCCTCTCTGTCGCCACTCCCATGCTCAGGCCACTTTCCTGGTCCTCCCTTCCTTATCCTGTCCCCTTCACTTCACTCGTCATCAGTTCTAAGATTTAAATTGGAACACAAGCACCTATGGCACATTCAATGACTTCCCGTGAATAAATTCATGCATGACACTTAGGACATTCTAAAAAATATTACCAACCACAAAAAGTCCTTTACTGCACCCCATTGTTCTTAGGAGAAAGTCAGTTTTGTCACTGAACACTGGGGCCAGTGGCCCCCATGGCCACTTCCTCTTGGTCTCTTGTCACTACTCACCCCATGGTTTTACCTGGCTATACTGGGCTTCTTTGTGTCAGGCCTTCTCTGGTCTCTGGGCCTTAAACTTTCTTCTCTCTTCCCTGCCACCCCCCAAGCCTCTTCCATGACCCCCTCTGCCTAAATTCCATCCGTCCTTAGAATTCCCAGCTAAGTATTATTCTTGAGACCCTTTCCTGCCTGGTCAGAAGTGCTCCTGTGCTCTTGACTCTCCATCTGCTCTTCTGGGGTCTTACTGCCTTGCCCCAGGATGTCCCCCTCCCAGATGGGACCTCCCTGAAGGCAGCAGCATCGCACCCTCATTCACCCCTTGCCCCGTTCCCAGCCCCAAGGATGGGCCTGGCCCAGAGGATGGCCCTCAATACATCTTTGATGAACACATGAAAGACAAGTTGCCTGTGATAACATTAAATTCTAGACCCTTGGGGAGACAGTAAGGACAGAGAGATCACAGGGGCTGCATATGCACCAGGCATTTGCTACCAAGAAATGAAGTGACTTCGTAAGTTCACTTGCATGAGAAAACCCACCAAGCTGGGAATCAGAAGGAACTGGGTTCTAGTCCCAGCTCTGCCTCAAAGCCAAAGCACCTTCATTCTCCAGGGCCTTGGTTTCCCCTCCTAACAAAAGGGATGTGCCCCTCCCTGCTTTGCACATCTTTGAGGATTAAACAATGTAAGAGTGGTGAAAGGAGGCTTTGACAAGTACAAAGCTCTAGTCAGACATATAGGATGACGGATATTATTCAGGCACAAAGAGAGGTTTCTCCAAGGCCTGTTATCTCTTTTTTATTTTCTTTCAAGGAAATGGCTTAGCCCAGCCTGCCTGCATTATTGTTGGCACTGTGAGCCAGGGAAAGACGGAGGCAAAGAGGGAGAAGGAATCTTTAAGAGAGACTCTCTGGGGGACACTAATATTTTTAATAGTTTGTGGGTTATGAAGCAAATCTCTGTTCTCTGTATTATATATCTCAGCTGAGCCCGAAGAATGTTTCCAGCGTCTTTAATGAAACTGAAGCAGTAACCCAGCAGAGAGAGAGAAAGGCAGAAAGAGGAGATTTATTTGCAGAGATGTTTGCTCAGAGAAAGGTGAAAGCGACCAGAGAGGCAGGGGGCCCGACTGAGCCACATTCCCCCAGCCCTTGAGTGCCCTGATTCTGTCCTTGGTTGCCACGTGTCCTCACCTTTGAAGAGTATAGGCAGCTACGTGTGCTGGTCTCCTATCCCCATGGCTGGGGGGTGCCTATGCTTTTCCCTCTAATTGTCTGGAGACGGGGGGCAAACTCACCAACAGTTGGGAGGACTGGCTTTTACAGCACGTAAGAAAGCCGGCTGTAGCCCAGAGCCTCGGTGGGAGAGCAGAATTATTAATAGGTCCTACTGAGGCCTCGGGAAAAATGCAAGACTGCATGGAGTTTAAAAGGTCAGCGTGAATAACAAAAACAGACTTTCTGGGGAGTCAGAATGGATTTAAAATACACTCAGAGGAGCCTGGGGCTCCTTTGCTGCTGCGGGCGCAGTGTGAACGTCTTTTGTGTGTTCGCAGGCATGTGTGTATACACCTCCAGGATCTGCAGACATTTGTCAGCTCCCAGGGAGCTTGCAGCCTCACAGGGTGTGTGCTCTGGGCAACTTTTAGGTGCCAAGAATGGCAGCTCAGTGACAGAGCTGCTGTATGCTGGGTGATCACTCCCCCCTCTCTTTATAAAGAGAGGAGAGTGGATTAATTGGTCTTAAGGACATTTCCAATTCGAAAGTCGAAGCCGTGGAGGATGGAGAGAACCTTTCAAATCACCAGCGGGTCGCAAACTGGCTAGGTGACTCTGGGTGAGTTGGCATGCTCCTTGGCCTGGGTGTGTAGTTCCCACCCACAGCTACTGCAGGACGACTGGCACACGGAGCACCTGGCTCTTTCTCCTCTTGCCAGGCTTCTTCTTCCAGTATGTCGTCGCTCATCCTTTACTTGAACTTTGGAAGACTCATTCAATGAGATGAGTATTTACTGAACACCTACTGTGTGCTCCAAGTGCTGTTCTAGGCACTGTGATACAGCAAAAAAACTCCTATGGTCTGGAGCTTATGTTTTATGATCACTGGTGTCTGCCTGTCCTGGAGTCATGTGAGTCAGACTCTTAAAGAAGAGGTCGGGCTGGGCGCAGTGGCTCATGCCTGTAATCCCAGCACTTTGGGAGGCCAAGGCGCGCGGATCACGAGGTCAGGAGATCGAGACCATCTTGGCTAATGTGGTGAAGCCCCATCTCTACTAAAAAAATACAAAAATTGGCCAGGCATGGTGGCGGGTGCCTGTATTCCCAGCTACTTGGGAGGCTGAGGCAGGAGAAAGGCGTGAATCCGGGAGGCGGAGCTTGCAGTGAGCCAAGATCACGCCACTGCACTCCAGCCTGGGCAACAAGCAAGACTCCGTCTCAAAAAAAAAAAAGAGGTCAGACGTGGGTCCAGTCCGACCAGTCATGACCACAGGGGAGGCACATCATCTCTCAGAAACTTGGCTTCCTAAACTGCAGAATAGGGATAACAATAGCAATCCTGTTTTGGGGGGGATGATTTAAATGCATGGGACTAGCAGGGGCTTAGCAAATATTTGTTAGTGGATAACTAATAGGTACCAAAGCATTTACAAATTTAAATGGCTATAATTCTTCCTTCCTCTCTCCCTTTCACAGTCTTCTGCAGGTGCTGAAGGGCTGCACTGTGACTATCAGGAAACCCTAGTTAAGTCCCAATAATTTTATAATAGTAGGGACTAACATTACTTGAGCACCTGCTGTCTACAAGTCTTGACGCTGGGTGCTAGGGGCACAGAGAAGAATCTGGTAGTTTCTTTGTTCTTTTTATATTTGGTGTGGTTAGGGAGACACAGTTGCAAATAGTCACTAGCTATTTGGGGCTCTCAGAGTGGGGCAGGGGGAGGCACGGGAGCTTGTGAGGACCTGGGAAGGCACCTAACTCTGCTTTGAGGAGCTGGGAAGGCTTTGTAACTCCCTGAAAAAGTGACCCTCCACCTGGCTGTCACAGTCATAGGCTCCTAGTCTCAGAGGGTCCTTATTTAATAAGATCCTCCTGTTTATTTTACAGCCATAGAAATTCAGACCATATAAATTGTGTGGTAAGTGGCAGAATTCATTAGGATTGACTCCCAGGCTTGTAACCCCTTGAAACTTGTATTTTAGCAAATCAGAATTCATTTAAACACAGATGCTTGGACCAGGCAATGATGTAGTCAGCACTGATGACTGGAATCCCAGGCTCTGTGGGGGATGGTGGCAGAGAGGTTCTGAGCCAGGGAGTCTTGATCTGACTCCTGATTTGCCAAGGAGTTCTGAGTCCAGATTTACCTGACCCTGGGCTCTTAGGTAGCAGGGGAAAGGACATGTTACAGGTGAGAAGAAGATGTGGAGTTAAGATAAAGTCTCAGGTCCTACCTGGCTGAGCAGGTCAAAAGGTGCAGCCTTGAAAAGAGGTTGAAATTTAAAAACTAAAACCAACTTTCCCAGATAGGGCAGTAGCATTTGGTTGAGTTAAGATAACCATGACCCTGGTCAAAGATCTGGCTGGGGAATGATCATTGGCAGAAGAGGTTGTCAGGAGACAGAAGATGCTGGGATGGGTGAACACATGCCTAGTCCTTCCCTCTTGGTAGCTGGAGTAATCTGGAGTCTCACTGCCTCTAGTAACATTTACCTGTTTTTCAGTCTACCTTAATCATGCCCTTCTGAGGGCTTCTATGACCCTTATAATACCCATACCTTTTGCCACTTAGTAGATCTTCAGGACATTGCCTTCTGCATTCTCTTACATCCAGCTTGCCCTTTCACACCTGTATATCCTGCCTCCTGGCAAAAGTGGAAGGAGTTGGATATCAGTGAACCATTTGGTGGACTAAGGACCTCTGAAAATTCTCCCCTTCATAAAGCAACAAGAACACAGACAAAAATGGTCAGAATAAGCTTTTTCAGAACTCTGGAAATTAACCAAAGGCTTGCGGGATTCCAGGGAACATTAATCAGCAAAATCTCAGTAAAAACAGTAAGCTTTGTGGCATTTTAACTTGCCCTATTACCCATACGCCTTCTGCAGTATCCTTGAAAACCAACACCTGCAATCCCAGTGAAAACCAGCAGCCTGGCAGTCACTGGCAAAGGAAAAACTGGGTTGGAGCTCCTTCAAAATCCCATTCCCAGACAACTATCACTGTTTGACCCATCTGATGGTTCTCTGGAAGATCCTACCCTCAATGCTGTCTGTATTTGATCTGACCTAAAGCTTGCTTTGTGCTAACAGCATTTTCCCCAGGGGCGTTTGTTGCAGACAATCAGAGTCAAATTTTTGAACATCACAGCAGCCTGAGGCATTCGAAAACAGCTGGATCATACAAGAGACTAACCAAAAAGCTTTAAAGGAAAAGCTAGGAAATAAGATGTCCACATGGGCTCTGAGAAGCTCCAACATATTCCTGAGAATCTAGAAGGCTGCATGCAAGCATAGGGCTGTGTAAATGCCCAGAGCTATGTACATGCTCAGGAAAGACCTGAGAAGGCTCTAAGCTCTCACCTCTGCTAACCTTGAGGCTTTAAAACAGGAAGTGCAGGCTAAGGCAGAGTTGTAAACTGCATGGATGGGTGTTAAGGATGTGCTCCAACACACACACACACGCGCACACACACACACACACACACACAGAGCCCTTCAGCAAAGACTGAGGGACTTACTGGTTCCAGACGTTTAAGTAAATCTCTGTCTAATCATTAGCTGATCACAAAGCTAACTGAGCAGAGACTTCAATGGCTTTACAGACTTTACAGAATTAGTTCAGAAAAGTCATTAATTAAATAGTGACAACAAACAGCAAAGGCAACAACAAATCCTGAGAAGGGAAGAGAATCTGATTTCCAGATTTGCCACATTATATTCTTTTAAGTGTCAAATTTTCAACAAAAATATTACTAGAAATACATAGAAACAAGAAACTATGAGCCATAAATAGGAGAAAAAAGCAGTTAATAAGGAGTATCTTTGAGGAAGTCCAGAAGTTGGACTTACTAGGCAAAGACTTTAAATCAGCTATTTTAATATGATCAAGGAACTAGGAAACCATGTCTGAAGAACTAAAGAAATGTATGAGAATTATGCCTCATCACATATAGAATAGTAATAAATAAACAGAAATTATTTTAAAGAAAGAACCAAATAAACATTCACATATTGTATAGTTGAAAAGTACAATAACTGAAATGAAAAATTCACTAGAGGAGCTCAAAATATTTCAGCAGGCAGAAGAATCAACAAATTTGAAGATAGGCCAATTGGGATTATTCAGTCTGAGGAACAAAAAGATAAAATAATTTAAAAAATGAACAAACATGGCACACCATCAAGTGTACCAACATATGCATACTGGGAGTTCAAGAAGGAAAGGAAAGAAAGAAGGATAAAGGATTTTGATGAAATAATGGCTGAACACTGCCAAAATTTGATTTAAAAACATTAATCTACACAACCAAGAAGCTCAGTGAACTCCAAGTAGGATAAATTCAAAGAGATCCACACCCAGACATATCATAATCAAGCTGTCAAAAGCCAAGGACAGAAAGAACCTTGAAAGGAGCAAGAGACAACTGAACCATCATACAGCTCAGTAAGATTAATGGCTGATTTCTCAACAGAAATCATGGAGGCCAGAAGGTGATATATTAAAAAGTGCTAAAAGGAAAAGAACGTCAATGAAGAATTCTATATCCAGCAAAACTATCTCTCAATAACAAAGAAGAAATTAAGATATTCTCAGATGAACAAATATTGAGATAATTTGTAACCAACATACCTTCCCTTCACTAAATGCTGAAGTGAATCATTTAGGCTGAAATGAAAGGACACTAGACAGCGACATAAACCCAGGAAGAAATAAAGGGTACCAGTAAAGATAACTATGTAGGTAAGTATAAAAGACAGTACAAATGAAAAATGAATTTTGAAGGGTTCTGGTTCTTAGTTCATTTCTTCATTTGTGACTTTTTTCCACTGTCTGATTTAAAAGGCATAAAAGCAGTTATAAATCTATACTGATGAGGTACAAGGATGCAATTTGTATGACAATAATGGCACAAAGGAGGAGGGAGGAAAAGGAGCTACACAGAAAAAGTTTTTATATATTATTGTCATTAAGTTGATATTAATATGAATTTATAATTCTCGGGGCAACTACTAGGAAAACTAACTCAAAATGCAAGTAGTCATAGACCTGGGTTCACATGAAAAAGCTGTCATTTCAGTCTAGATGACCTTGGGCAAGTAATGCCCCATTTTTGAATCTTAGTTTCCTTATCTTTCAAATGGGGATAACTATGGACAATCCAAGGTTTACCTATATCCCTAATAAGGTAATGAGTGTGCCATGCATGTCAAAGAGAAGAGACTGACCTCCAGTGGACTGTGGGAGGCCACCCTGGTGGCCTGGCCTGAATCTTGCCCCTCAGCCTTCTTAGCTGTGTGGCTTGGGGCAATCATTCAACTTCTCAGGGCCCCAGTTCCTTCTTTTGTGCAAAGGAGAAACAACAGCCCCTCATCTAGAGACTGCATGGAATTATGTGTGTTGTCCTTAAAGCAGAGTGCTTGGCATATAGTAGGTATCCAATAAATGTTGGTATCCAAGAAATGTTGGCGATTATTCTTAACTGTGAGCAATCCAAGAGGGCAGTGATGCCTTCATAGACAGAATGTTTTTGTCCCCTCAAAGTTCATTGTTGAAACCTAATTCCCACTGTGATAGTATTTCTAGGTGGGGCCTTTGGGAGGTAATTAGGTTATGTGGGCGGAGCCCTCATGAATGAGATTAGTACTTACAAAAGAGACCCCAGAGAGGTCCTTTGCCCCTTCCACCATATGAGGACACAGCTAGAAGACTGCCTTTTATGAACCAGGAAGCACACCCTTACCAGACACTGAATATGCTGGTGCCTTGATCTTGGACTTCCTGGCCTCCAGGACTGTGAGAAATAAATTTCTGTTGTTTATAAGCCACCCAGTCTATGGCATTTAGGTCCAATAGCCCAAATGAACTAGGAAACCCTCTTAATCTGGGGTCCCCCAAAGCCTGTCATAGAGTGGCTTCCTATTAGGTGTGGTGTTTGTTCACTGAACTGAAATTCACTGGCCTTTTTGTCATCCAGAGAGAAGCCTAAAATCCTGTGAAAGTTCACACCACAGGGGAGAGCACTGGGGCTCAGGAAGCCAGGGCTGGGATGAGAACAGTTGCTGGTGGGATCCAACCCTCTCCCCTGCTGGGCTCTGGGAGTCCACAGCCAGGGCCAGCAGTACAGTGGACTCCTTATGAGGAAATGTCATAACCTCAGCACCAAGAGGGAACAGATCTGCATTTTTCCCACATTAGGACGTCTTGTTAAGAACGGGTTCTTGGCCCTGACAGATATTTGGGATCCAAGGGTGACCAGGCCTGTTTAAAATCTCTTAAAGGAACCCTCACACTCCCTCTACCCAATGCAGCCCCATCTCCTTCACAGCCGATCTCAACAGTCTCCATTTCCTACTTCCCCATCTCCTACCAGATCTAATTTGACTTCCACCCAGACCCTCCCTGCCTCTGCTCCCGCCAAGGTCCCCAAGAGCCTCCTGTGACTGTATCTGAGTTCAGTGCCTTGGACTCGCCTCCTGTCTGTATCACCTTGACCATCAGGCCTCTGCAGGGCGGAGAGAGAGACGAACCGGGCTTCTGAAGAATGCACATTCCATGGCCCGAGTCCTCCTGAAAACTCTGAGTGATGAGCGGAAAATGATTCCCGAGGGCAATTATTGCACTAGGTTTGCACAGCGGTGCAAATAAGCACGAAAAAAGGAAGAATGTAGCCTGCTATGGGCCAGGCCTTTTCCAGGCCCCTTCCATGGGTTTCCTCATTTAATACTCACAGCAACCCTAAGAGGCAGATACTATTATAGCCCATGGTTCATCTCATGAGGAAACCGAGGCACAGATAGGTTAAATTATGTGCTCAAGTCTACAGAGTGAGAAGGTGGAGCCAGCACGGGGATTCAAGTAATCTCAGGGCGAAGTCCAGCCCTTAACCAGAATCCCATGTAACCTTTCAAGGCTGGACACCTGCCCTGGGCAGGCCGGCACAGCCCTGCCTTTGTGTAATTTAGGGCCAATTTACACAGCACTCAAAGGAAGCAGTGTGAGACAGTCTGTTTGCAATGAGACTTTGCCACTGTCCTCCCTCTCACCCTACCCCACTTCCAAGAACACTGGTTTCCCTTTGTCAGACACATCCATGGCTGGTTTCTAAGCTAAGCTGACCTTTCTGGAAGTCATTCATCCAGGGACCCAAAGGCATCTGGGCAAGAAGGCAAATGTTAATTGTCCTGCTTGGAAGATGAGGCAGGGAAGGCTGAGGCTTGAGATTATCAATGCCCATAGCAGAATGGACTTCCCAAGGAGGTGGTGAGCATCCATCTCTGGAGGAGGGTCAGCAGGGTCTGCAGCCCAAGAAGAGCGGCTGCAGCTCATGTCTGAGGTTCCTGCAGGCTCTGTGAGGCTCTGAGTCTGTCTGCAGCTTGCTGGCTGCTTTTGGGCACTTCATTAACTTCTCTGAATCTTCTGTTTCCTGGTCAGTAACCCAAGAGTGTTGAACAATAGTCCCTAGGGTCAGTTACTGCTGATAGGTTTAGATATTCACTTCCAAGTCATCCACTGAAGAAGACTAAGTCCCTTTGGTGACACTTGTAAGGAGACGCAGTGTAAACCACAAATGGTCAGTGCTGGAAAGACATGGCTATCGACTGATGCAGTCACATGGCTGACAGATATGATGGCTGACGCCCAGAAGAGTAAGGGACATACTGAGGGCCACACAGCAGATTCAGCACACTGGGGCCTGACCAAGAAGAGAGGAGGAAATGGAGAAATGAGCAGTCCAATCAGAGGGTCAAGGCTGAGCCCTAAATACTCCTGAGACGAAACGGGAGAGATGTCCAGGCAGGGGCGAAAGCTGGAGCTCCAGCTGGCTTGCGGCCTGGGCTGTTTCTGTCTGCCCTTGTTACTCTGATACCCTCATGTGGCGGGAGGGCACTGGGTTGGCACGGAGGCCATCAGTCCTGGTCCCCATCTGCTGTGATAAGCCACACCCTTGGCGTCAGGCCTTGTGGGATAGATTGGAACGCTGCCTTCAAGACATTGTGGGATAAGGTGAGATCATGGATGCCAGTGCTCTGGTGACAGGACGTTATACAATGGAGTAAGCGTTACCCGAGAGGTCACAACCCCACCACAGAGTCTATTCTCAGAGAAGAGACTACTGCATAAAGGCCAGGGGCCTGACACACACACCCGTGAGCAAGCAGAGTGGGCACGGGGACATATGGGATGGCCTTTAGCTCTGTGCACACCTCCACTGCAAGTGCTAGGAGCCTGCCCCCTCACTCCCACCACACACACACACTCACCCACACAGAAACACATTCACTCACACCTAACCAGTCCCCCAGTGAGACTGATTCAGCCTCTTCAATGTCTCTGGATGCTACAGCTTTCCCTTTATCAAGCTGACACTACCTGGCTTCAGGCCTCATGGTCCTCCACCCAGAGTAGTGGATCAACCTCCTCTCTGGATCCCTGCCATCCACGCTCCAGCCTGCAGCCAGAGGGAATTTATGAAATGCAAACTACACCTCTGATGGGAAGGGCAGAGAGAGAATGAACTGAGGCTGTTCAAACCCGAGGGTCTGGAGCAGGCCCAGCTCCTGCATGGAGTGCGTGGGAACTTTGGGCAACACTGACAGTGTCCTCGCCATCATCACTGCTGTTACTATAATGGCCAGCAATAAATGATGAGGGGAGGGCAACCGCTTAACTCCGGTCACACCATTTAATCTCTCTCTGTGACTCTCTCCATAGCAGTAAAGCAGAACCCCTGGCTACCTGGTAGAATAAAGTTGAGGGTGGGGAGCTGGACATGGGCAGTGTTGAGTGCTGTGTCTGGCTGCCCCCTCCATCGATGGCCAAGCTTGTTGCTGCCACTGTCATCAGCCTTTCTGTAGGTCCAGGGTAGTGTGGACATCTCCCCTGTAAACTGTGAGTTCCTGGAGAGTGTTTACCTCCTCGGATTCTGTTCTGGGGCCTGGGGTGCAGCCCAGGGCCTAATGAGAGTCTGGGTTTGCTGAGTGAACAATCGGAGGATCTTGGTCTCTGGACCAGGACCATGAGTCCTGGTCACTATCACAGCAGATGGTGGGCACTATCATGTAGGGACTGGGGAAGTTAAGCACGCTCACTCCAGGGCCGTCCTTTCCTCAGTCAACAACTGATGGGCACTCGCTACATGCTGAGCCCTTTCACATACATTGCCTTAAGCAGTCTTCGACAAGGCCCCCAGAGGTACGTATCATCCTTTCCATTTCCAGCAGTGGAGACTGAGGCCCTCAGAGATTCAGTAACTTGTTCAAGGTCACACTAGTCAAGCTGGTAAGTGGTACAGCCATGATTCCAAGGCAAATCCCCTGAGTCTTCCTCTAACATTCTTTTCTCTGCTTAGACAGACCCTATAGGCCCAGCCTCCTGTCCCTCCCTGGTCCACAGCATTCTTTAGAGCACTCATGTTGGCAACAGAGTTTGGCAGACCCACTGGGATTAATTAATGACAGGCCTGTCTTCAGGGTGGCCCTGGTGGCTATCGAGGCTGCTTCATACCTGTTGATTACATAATCCATAAATATATTTGACATCTTTAATTGGAATCAGGCCCCCCCAGGTCCTGACCACAGTTGAGTTATGAGCTCCAAACTCCCTGCTGGCAGCACTGAGCTTCTGCCTGAAGTGGGGCCCAGGGAGAAGGAATCAACTTGGGGCGTGATGACATTTCTCAAGGATTAAGAAAAAGAGAAAAATTTGCTGCTTAAGTTTAAGGATGGAGATTGTCCTTAAGCTCTGTGGCTGTAGCTCACCTGCCAATTCCATCTCCCCTCCTCCAGAAAGCCTTTTTGACCTTCTGAACCCTGGGCTGCTGGACCCATGTGACAGGGAAGGAAAGAGAGAGAGAATGAATGAAGCCTATTCAAACCTGACAGTCTGGAGCAGGCCTACCTCCTGCGTGGAGTGCTTGGTGACCTTGGGCAACACTGACAGTGTCCTTGCCATCACCACTGCTGTTACTAAAATGGCCAGCAATAAATGACTGACGAGGGGAGGGCAACTGCTTAACTCCTTAACTCATTTAATCTCTCTCTGTGACTCTCTCTCCATAGCAGTAAAGCAGAGCCCCTGGTTACCTGCTGCCTGCACCCATTTTGGTTTTGCTGTAGGGCCTTTGGACTCTCTTGCTAGAAAACTGGGTAAGGCACACAATTTGCCTTACCTGTCTTGTCTCCTAAGGCAGGCCAAGGCTTTCCCCAACCCAACACACATACCAGATGTTGCAGCAACAAGATAAGACTCCCTGCTCCCCTGGATACAAGGTTTTCACCTGTTCCTATATCTGCAGGGGCAGCCAGGCCAGCGCCTGAATCCCTGAACTGTCACACAACCCACCCCTATCTTCTTTCACTCACTCTTTCACTTATTCATTCATTGTCACTGAATGCTTACCACTTGCCAGGCTCTCTGGGAGGTGCAGGAAGAGGCATGGATGGGGAGTTACACTGCCGAGGAGCTCCTGGTCTAGAGGAGCCCACAGCCCGGTGGGAATCATGTCAGCAGAGAAGCCAGGGGAGGCACAAGCCAGGGACTAATGAGCTCAGCTTGGGGAGGGGCAAGGTGGAGGAAAGGCAGGTTCCCAGAGCCAGGGGCAACCAGTTGAGCAGTCTTTCTGGACAGGTCTTGCAAGGATGACCCAACCTTCTCCTTTTCTTTTCTTTTTCTTTTTTTTTTTTTTTTGAGACAGAGTCTCGCTCTGTCATGCAATGGTGTGATTTCAGCTCACTGCAACCTCTGCTTCCTGGATTCAAACAGTTCTCTGCCTCAGCTTCCTGAGTAGCTGGGATTACAGGCACCTGCCACCATGCCTGGCTAATTTTTTTGTATTTTTAGTAGAGATGGGGTTTCACGACCGTGGCCAGGCTGGTCTTGAGCTCCCAACCTCGTGATCCACCCGCCTCAGCCTCCCAAAGTGCTGGGATTACAGGCATGAACCACTGCGCCTGGCCGAAACCAACCTTCTCCTTTGCCTTGTTTGATAACAAAGCTGGCTCCTGTGAAAATTTAGACAAAAGGTTTGTAGAAAGTGCCGGGCACAATGTAGCTCTTTGATTTTAGCTTCCCTTTCTGAGCTTTTCCCCATCTAGACTCTCATAGAGAATGGTGATACTGGCAGGGTGCACTAGGGTAAAAGGCAGAGGCTGCCCACGGTTGGAGGCCACTGATTCAGGGGCTCTGGCCACCTCAGAGTTCGTTTGACCACCCCCAGGGCTCAGGGGATCACATTTTGGCTCACCTTGCCTCAGGGCAGTAGACTCCATCTGTCCCCAGGCTCCCTCCTTTGCCTTTCTTATTCTGCCTGGTCCCTGCTGGGGCTATACCCTCCCAGGGGGGAGGATACTGGTCCTACAGACATCTGCCTTTCCTCTCCCTCCAGCACCAGCCTCGGTGGAAAGCTTCCAGGTGACATGGTTTGGAAGTTCAAACTTCAGGAAAGAAAAAGCATGCTCTATAACACAACAAGTACGCAGCCAGGACTAGATTCAGTCCCCAGTGTGGGCACTCACTTGGGCAAGTGGCTTACTTCTCTGAGCTTCATTTTCCTCCCTGCAATGCTTCTGAAATAGCTAATTGGATGATTCATTCCTATGGATGCGTCTGCCCCATTCAGAAACTGTTTATGGCAGTGAACAAAACTAACTCTCTAATGTGTGGAGATTTCATTGTAGCAGAAGAGAGGAATTAACAAGTGGATACTTGGTGTGTAGGGTGGTGATAACCCCTGTGGACAAACATAAAGCAAAGTAAGGGAGGTGGCAGGAGCTGTTCTGTTTAGTGTGGCCAAGGACAGCTTCACTGGGATGGGGATGTTGGAGCTGAGAACTGAAGGGGCTAAGAGAGCTGTCCTGGGGAGATCTAAGGACCATTTTAGACAGAGGTAGTGTCATGATGAAGGAGCATGGCAGCTGCCCGAAGGACAGCAAGAGGCCAGTGTGGCTGCTGTATAGTGAAAGGGGGTGGAGGAGGGAGGTGTGAGATGAGGTCAGTGGTGACAGTAGGGGTGGGGTGATTGTCAAGCAGGACCTAAGGCCATCCTGAAGACCCTTTTCCTTAGAGCAAGGAGGGAGCCACTGGAGGGTTTTAAGCCGGGGGCATAAGACCTGATTTGCATGTTAAAGGCTCCCTCTGCCTGTAGAGTGGAGGAGAAAATGCCAGGGTGCAGGGCAGACGCAGGGACCCTGGTCCAGCGGCTTATGAGAGAAGGGGAGAAAGTGAGCAGGGGTGTTCTGGATGCAGACTGAAGGTAGAGCCAATAGGGTCTGCTGACCAACTGGACGTAGGGCGAGAGCAAGAGGAGTCAGCATGAGCCCCGTTGATCTGGCCTGAGCAACTGTCGGAGTGGAGCAGGCTTGGGAGTAGGGGAAGATTTGGAGTTTGGTTTAGGGTATGTGCATTTTGAAGTGCCTGCTGAACAACCAGACGGAGTGTCAGGAAGGAAGTCCAGGATGGAGTTATACATTTGGGAGATGACTTTTTAAAGGAAGGAAGACAGAAGAGAGGTTTATGGGTAGAGACCTTAATGTTTAGAGGTCAGGGGCATGAGGAGGAACCAGCTGGAACACTGTGAAGGAGTGGCCAGCCAGGCAAGCAGTGAAGACAGAGGGGTGGCCCGAAATTCAAGTAAGAACTGTTTTAAGAAGTTGCCAACTCAGTCAAAGCCTGCTGACAACAGGACTCCCTTGCAGGAGAAGGCAGATGAGTGGGGTGTGGAGCCTGAAAAGAAGAGGAAACCAAACATGGGGTAGTTTATCCCCTCCCAAGATGCCAATTCAGAATAGATCTTTTTGGAAATGGAATGGCCAGGGCTGTGGAGCCTCTCTCGATGGGCACCCAGCCCCAGGCCCGTAACATGTGGAAGAAAGCCCCAATAGAAGCTGACTTTAGCCCTAACTCCTGGAATGTCTTTGAACCCCACAAGGAAAAGCTGGAGCTCGGAAGCAGGTAATTTCAGCCAAGTGCACTGTGTTTGCTTAGAGTTTGGGTGCAGCAACCAGTTAATTACTCAAGTAAATCATGTCACCGTCCCCTGCAGCCCCAGTGCAATAACACCGTGCTGACCACACTTTAAAAAGTGATATAAGCCTCTGAGTGCAAGCTAAGAGGTTTTATAGGCCACCCTTTGAATAGGCCTTTTTCTCCCGGAGCCCACAAGAGTCGTGTGTGTCCATGCCTGCCCAGAGTTGGGGAGGGAGGGTGGCTCTTGGGGGCCACCTTCTTATACGAGGTCCATATGAGTTGGGGCCCATCCAGGGCTGGCTGGCAGCCCAGCTTGGAGGCGGGAGAAGTTCATCTTTTCTGTGTCCTCTGATCACATCAATGTGATGTGTTTCTCTCATTGCCCAGATGCCGTTAGCCCTCCAACTCCAATCCCTATGATCTCAATGAACATCTTTTGGGCCAGGCTCTGGCCTGAGTGCCTGGGACTCAGGTGTGCTAAGGTACAGTGCTTACTCTCTGGCAAACCCAAGAGATGGGCAGACGCTCTGCTCCAAGGGTAAGGCAGAATGAACTAAATTCTTCACAGGAGAAAAAAGCATAAAGTGATGTGAGTCCCGGAGAGGGAATGATGGATTCAGGAACATCTGTTGGGCCTACGAGGATAAGATTTCAACAGACAGGATTCATGGTAAGAGAATTACAGGCAGTGAAAGCAGCATGAGTAAAGGTCAGGAACTTGGGTAAATTCTTCAACTGGATATTAACAGAAGCTGAGATCCTTTGACTTAGACACTCAGAGTCAGACTCTCAGGTGGCTTGAGTCACAGACTGATGGGCCCCTGTAATGTAAGAACTGCAGTTCTTTGAGCAAGACAGAAGTACACCTGGTCACATCCCTCCCCCAGGGCAGGAGATCCTCCAGCAGTCACCAACAGGTAGCACCTTCCAAGACAGGTGGAGACAGGGTGAGGATTCCATCCTGTGCAGGCATCCACCCAGCATCACTGTCCCCCGTCCATCAATCTCCAGACGCTGGTCAGGTGCGTGCTCGTGACCAGCTTTGGCCCCTGTGTTCCAATGACTATGCCTTGCCCCTTCCACCTCCAAGAAAAGCTCACCTTCCCACCCCTTTTTCTGCCACGTTATGGAAAGAGCATGTCCGTTAGCATGGTAGTGATTGATAACTGGAGATGATCTCATTTAGGAGCTTGGTCTCAGGTCTAACCCTACCCTGACATATTTTACCTCCTTAATCCACACTTTCTCTTCTTAATATTAGGATAATAACAACAAAAATAGTGAGTAATTATTTTGCTCTTACTAAGTGTCTGGCACTGGGGTAAAACCTTGACAGCCATGATCTTTGCTAATTTTCAAAACAATCTATGCTACAGGCACTATTATTCTCCTCTTACATATTAGGAGACTGAGGCACAGAGAGGTAAAGTAATTTGCCCACAGTCACCCAGCCAGTAAATGGTGAAACTGGGATATGAACCAAGGAAGTCTGACTTTAGAGACTGCTATTAATGACAATGAGAAGAAAAATTATAATTATAATCATAATAAACTATCTCTCCTCAGGCATATGTGCAGCAAATTCATTATAGAGTGGGTGTTTAAAGTCTGCTTTTAGGGGCTTTAGATACAAGGTATGTGAATATATGACCACAGACAATGTGGCTGCTGAGAGATTATTTTTGTATAATAAGGAATGTATTTTTATAATCTGAATAGTTACCTCCTAATGTGTTTAGTCCTCATTGAACTGTGGGCTTCTTAAAGGAAATGAACACGTTTTATTCTATTTGAAATCCCTAGAACAATGCCTGGCACATAGTAAGTGCTTAGTAAATGCTTGCTGAATGAACTGACACACACAGTACGTTTCCTCTTTCCAGGGCTGACCTGCATGCTGGGAAAGTGAAAGGGTGGAGGAAGTGTCTCTATCTTCATAAATTTGCAAAGGGGGTCTGCGTGAGTAGCCAGGCTTAAGGACTTCCCATACCTGGCTTTATGGCAATACTTTAATAGCTGCTATGCAAAGACTGCTAGAGCTTCTCAATGAAGAAGTTAAAAAAAGAAAAGAACCAGCATATAGCTAAGATGTGGTTAATACATTCAGCATGCTTCCCCCTCCAGTTAATTAAAAAACTTGATTACAGGAAAGTTGAAGTGGCTTTTCTTTCCAAGGGAAATGCACCAACTTCTGAGGAATGGGAAAGAGGGATGCCAAGAGCTGCCCCATTGCCATTTCCACCTGCTCCAACTGCCCATCTGGCTCATCTGTGAAATGAGCTAGACTTACTCCTGGGCAGTGAGAAGGAGCTGATGTGGTAGAAGTGATATGTGCTCATCCAAGAGCCGAAGGCCTGAGTTCCTAGCCTGTTTCTCTAATTCTCTGTATGACCATAGCTGGGGCTGTGCCTGTTTGGGTCTTCATTTCCTCACCTGTGGAGGGGATTGATTGTGACCCTCACGTCTGAGGTGCTGGGGAGGTTGAGTGAGACAGTGAGAGTGAGGTACATGAAACATAGAGGCCAGGTCTCAGGGAAGGCAAGGCATCTGGTCAATTCAGGGAACAAAAGGAAAAAAATCCCTGCAGGGGCTCACTGAGTCCTGTAGACGAAACATCTGGGGGACTTACTGTATTTTTCAGTTTGAACCACTCTTGAGTTGGAACATGGACAATGGGTGAACATCCATATAGATCATCCACCTAGACTGGGAGTGATTCACACCTGTAACACATTCTGGCTTAACATAATGCAGGCCAGGTTAAGTTAAAACATGCATACACACACACACACACACACACACACACACACACACACAAATGAGGGCTGGGTGCCCTCTGACCCTCAGCTCGATAGCTACCTCCTGGGCAGTGATCTGCGGGAGATAGGAGTGTCCAGATCAAAGGATGGAGAGGGGTAGATTTATGGTGTGCAGGGATCCTCCCAGGTGTTTCTTCTCTGACCTCCTCCCCACTGGAGCATCTGGAGAGGAGGTGTTGGCCTTGGGAAAGGAGAAAGAATAAGGGCTTTTCCTGGAAACTGCTCCTTCTTGGGGGAACTTGGAGGTGGTCTTGCACTTGGGGAGGCTGGGCCTGCCGCCAAGGTCTTAGCTAAGGTTAAAGAGGACACTACCTCAACTGAAAAGCTCTGCAGTGGGTCATTCCTAGCCAGGTAAAATGGACTTATCTTCCATGGTGCGCTGCCACACCACCCCCTTCACAGGAAGGACTGGTCGCCTCTATGTTCTGAAAGCATGCAACTCCTTTTGGAGAGTTCTTCCATCTTGGAGGAAGGGCCCATATTGATTATCTTCGTGTCTCCAATGGCCAGCACAGTGGCTGGCATGGGTCATTATGCATGGAAATATGTCGGGTTGCAATGAATTGAATAGTTTTGACATTGTTATGTCAACTGACATTGAATGGTGCCCTCTCACTGGACTGATGGGGAAACTGAGGCCCAGAGCTGGAAAGTCAATTGCACACAGTGGCTGCAGGAGTCAGCAGCAGATGCGGAACTGAGCTCAGTATTCCCTCACATCTGCTCCAGCGCCCTGCAGCCCTTGCACATGGATCTGGGCCTCAGAAAAAAGCTCTCCCTCTCCATCCTGCCTTAATCCACTCAACTAGGTTGTGCACAGCCCAGTCAAGAGGGGGAAATGTCCACATTACCAAAATCATACGAAAGAAATTATGGATGGAAAAATCATTACCTTATAAATCGGCCGAGCTGTTCAGAACTTGTAGGAAACGGCATATAAAACTCATATGGCACGTTAGGGCTTTGATAGCGCCTCATTACAGCCCTCAGACTCCAGTGAAAAATGTCCTCACCCAGAGGGGGCTAATTTTCCTTTATTAATGACATGGGGCGGGGCTGACGCCATAAATTCCAGCTACCTGAGAGCCCTGAGCTTGAGACAAACTCTTCTAAGAGACGTCTCTCTCCAGGCTAGGCTGCTCCACCCCGTTTTACTCTGCTGTATGCAAAGGAAGCAAGACTAGAGAAGACAGCCTCCCCTGACTCAAGGACCCCAGCCCCTAGACTAGAGAAACACATGGAGAGACAGCAAGATCTTTCTTTTCTCTATGAGGGCCAAACCCAAAATGTTAAGTAATTCAGGCACTTAATAGAAAGTAGAGGGCTGAGAAAAGGGGGATACACATATTACCCCCAATTTTAGGTGTGATTTCTATAATGGAAGTTGTGTGCATTCTACCATCTACATTCCTCACAGCCAGTCTGTGACCAGGGTGAGGGGTCAGCTATGACCAGGATCAGGGCTCTGGCTGTGACCAAGATTACGGCTCAGGCTGTAACCAGGATCAGGGCTCAGGCTATCCTGAGTGGGCAGAACTAGACCCTGCTCACAGGCCCACAGGGGATTTAAGAATGTAGTCACAGTCATCATATCAGAAAACACTCAACCAAACCTGGACCCTAAAAGCAAACGTGGCTTCCAGCCCATGGTTTTGCCTTTGTTACAGATGCATGAACCCCCAGAGTGACACAGCTTAGCATCTTCTAGTTTAAATTCTCAGCTTGCCCATGACACAAACGAGGAAACTGAGGGCTGCAAATATTCCCTGAATGTTGGGTTAGTAACCTGGAAGGGCAGGGAAAGTTTGTCCAGGTCACCAGACCCCCAGCCGAACACAATTTCCTAGCTGCCTTCACTTGCTCCACAGCAAAGGAATAATGGGAAATCATGGCCTGTCAAGTCTGGCTGTATGGTTCTAATCCTTGACCATGTGTCCCCAGGAGAAAAGAAAAGGGAGAGTTTGTCTGTCTTCTCAGGTAGTCACATGTCCTTAAGGATATTAGGCTATCTTCCCTATGGACATGGCTCCCTGAAATGCCAGAGGCCTTCATCCCTGTGGGTCCCCATCGGCAACCCTTCCTGTCTATATGTGGCTATTAAAGGCTTCATGCACATTGCCTGATGTGAGCTCTGCAGCAGCCTTTCAGTCTCTGGTACAGCTGAGAAAATAATTGAGGATCACAGCAGTTAAGTGGCTGATAAGGCTGAATTGTGTCCTACTCCCTCCTAATTCATATGGTGAAGCTCCCACCCCCAGGACCTCAGAATGTGATGTATTTGGAGATAGGGCCTTTACAAAGGTAATTAAGTTTAAATGAGGCCATTAGGGTGGGCCCTAATCCAATCTGACTGTTGCCCTTATAAAAAGAGGTGGATTGGGAAACACAGAGACACCAGACATGTGTACAACTGGACAATCACGAGAAGAGGCATCCAGAACACTGCCATCTGTGAACGAAGGAGGAAGGCCCCAGAGGAAACCAATGCTGGCAGCACCTTGACCTTGGACTGTGCCTCCAGGACTGTGAGGAAGTACATTCCTGTTGCTTCGGCCACCCAGTCTGTGGTTCTTTGTTACGGCAGTCTCAGCAGATGAATACAGTGGCTCACCTAAGATTTGCCAAAATAAGACAGGAAAATCTTCCCAGTGCTGAATTCTTCCCTACTGTGAGTGGGCACCTCTCAAAGCCCCAGCTAGCTAGAATGTAAGTTCTGAGATGGCAGAAGTTGTGTCTTTACCTCTCTGTCTCCATCTGGCATTGGGCATTGTCAGTCTTTGTTGTTTTGTTTGACCTGGTGTGAGCCGGTGGGATTGGCTGCTAAGTGAGGGGATGGGGTGCGGGAGGGAGGACAGGGCAAACCTGGCCCCTGAAGGCCAACGTGGCTCCCGCCCAAGGTTTTTGCTTTTGTTACCACTGTGGTCAGCACCCTGCCTTACACAACTGCCTTCCTGCTCCATCCCCACCCACTGCAGCCCAAAGTAGAATCCCCTGATGGGACATTTGGCTTAACCTGGCATTTCACAGGCCTGTTCCTTCCAGAAGAAGCTGCAGCCCCAGCCAGCACTGGCCCACAGACTCACAGGAGAATTGCAAAACCAAGGCATGCACCCCAGATCAAATTCCCCTGCCTTGGGTCTTCGAGCTACTTGTTTATACAAAAGAAAATCTATTTCCCACCCTCAGCTGGGAGGTGGCTGGACCACAGACAATCCTGTCACTGGGGCCTGCATAGGAGGTGTGGCTTCTAGGGAGCTTTCCCCTAGTCACAAGTCCTAGAGGATGCTGTAGACTTCTCACAGGAGCTGGCCCAGTCCCTCTCAGCCAGGACAGGGGCAAAGGCCTGAACACAGAGTCAGTAACCAAGAGGACGTGTGATGGAGGACTTTCTCACAGTCTGTGCTATCTCATGATGGAGTAGGCTGTCCCAGGCAGAGCTGAGCTCACCAGGAGGAGTATATGCAAGCTACTGTCAGAAACTGAGGAAAGGCCCCTAACACCATATGGAAGCTTGGCCAAAATAATCCGAAAGGCCTCTTCCAACCTTGAAAGAGCAGGGGTCTAAGAATCTAGATTCATGCATTCAATGAACATTCATAGGTGCTCTCCACCCTAAGGGCACATTGCATGGACACTGCAGAGCTAGAGCTGAGCCTTGACCCTTGGTCTCCCACACTCCAGCTTGTGCCCTTCCCTCCAGGCCAAGCCACCTCCCCATCTTGGTGCCCCAGTGCCTGACTTGGGATTTGGCCTGGACCAAGGGGTGAGTGAGTGCTGCCTGGCACCACTAAGAAGGAAGTGCAGACGGGAGGGAGGGAATGAATGAATCCTGCAGGTGGGCCCCTGCCCACTCTCCGCCTCCTCTGGCTCATGTCTTCTATATCAGTGGTCCCCAACCTTTTTGGCACCTGGGACCGATTTCATGGAAGACAATTTCTCCACAGACTCGGGGGTTGGGAGATGGTTTAGGGATTAAATTGTTCCACTTCAGATCATCAGACCTTAGATTCTCATAAGGAGCACACAACCTAGATCACTTGCATGCACAGTTCACAACAGGGTTCATGCTCCTCTGAGAATCTAATGCCACCGCTGATCTGACAGGAGGCGGAGCTCAGGTGGTAATGCTCGCTCACCTGCTCACCTCCTGCTGTGTGGCCTGGTTCCTAACAGGCTATGGACTGGTACCAGTCCACAGACCAGGTGGTGGAGACCCCTGTTCTATATGAATGTTCTACCTGAGAAGGAGGGCAGAGTCTGGGCTCACTGAGGACTGACTGGTGACAGGCCCCATTCTCCTTGTTTCAGGCTGTCTTGGACTCTGCTGCACACTCATGACTCTCCTTCTTCCCACCCCATGCTCCATGGCCCACCCCAGCCCTTCAGAACTAAAGCAGCTCATCAGCACATAAAATATAACAAATTATAAATAATCAAAATGGGAAACCAGCCTTTTAAATATCAAGGCCTCTTGGGATAATAACTATGTCCCCCAACCTAAGGAGAGTCACAAGAATGTATGTGAACCTGCGGGGTGGTGTGTGTAGTCACAGAGTGGGACATGGGTGAGGAAAAAGAGGGAGGAAGGGAGGGAGAGAGGGAAAGAGATTGATTTTTGACATTATGCTCAGTAAGAAATTTAGATCTTCTTTTGAGTTATACTGGAGCTGAAGAAATGTCAGAGAGTTTTGTAGAGTCAGAAGTTTCTGCTCCAAGTCCTTCTCTGTCATTTGCTCGGACAAGTGATATTCAGTGTCCCAAGCCACAATGGGAGTGACAATCCCCACTTCCCAGGGCCACTGTGAGAATTAGTTGAGTGTGTGTGTACATATCCCACAGAGGCTGACCTACTAAGTACTAGACATGAGCAAATCGCACCACATGCATCACTGTCCTGGGCCTTCCCATTGGTTCTGTGAGCATTATCATTTTATTGGCGAGGAACCCTAGGCTTAGAGAAATTGCGGAAATAGCTCAATATAACTCAGCTAATATGTGCCAGAGGTGGGATTTGAACCCAGACTGTCTGGCTACAGAATTTGTGCTCTTAATCAATGTGATTCACAAAGTAGGCTCTTGACAAATGTCTATGAAATGACAAAAGGGCAACCCAAAGGCAGAGTGAGCAAAAGCAAGGGAGGCTAGCAAGAGTCATTCTAGAGCTCTGTGCTAAGGGAAAGGAAAACAGAAAGCTAGAAACTGTCCAAAGAATAACCCCAAACCCAAACACCCACCAGCCACCGCCATGGGCCCTGGGGGACTAGGCTCCCGAGAAACCTCCGGGGCTCTGGAATGAGAGCTGGGCCCAGACTGCGGCCTGAGATAGACGAGGCCAGGCGGAGGTTTGGGGCAGAGTCCCTTGGTAAGGCGTGCGGAGCTCCTGGCCCCATGGAGCCACACACATAAGGATTCTAAGGCAGCCTTTGTTGCTGTTGGAGGCTAGGAATTCCAGGCCAAAGTAATCTAACCGACCATGAACAGAATTAAATTTCTGCCTCCCCCACTTCCTGACCCACTATGGGATTCATTTTCACGATCCCCTTTCAATGATGTGAGCCCGTTTCAGAGAGCTGGAAGCAGGCCCCATGTGGCTGCGCAACGCCAAGAATCTGAGCCTTCCCTGCAGCCCACCAGGGCCACCATTGCTGGTCACGTCTGGCCAGAACTCTCCGGGAATGTCAGCTCTCAGCAGGACCAGCAGACTCTCAAAGCACGCTGTGATTGCCCGAGCTCCCTCTGAGCCTATCCATTTCTGCTGTGTTCCAGGCACTGGTTACATACTATTTCAATAATCCCAGAGGAGGAGGTACCATTGTTATCCCCATTCTGCAGATGAAGAAATGGGGTGGGTGGTGGTGGTGCTGCTGAGGTTAAGTTATTCATCCAAGCTCATTTTCCCAAGTGTCTTCGACTGAAGAACTCTTAACAACCATAATACCTGCCCCAAAGTTGAGTATTTCAAAGTATATATATATTTTTGGTCATCTTTAAAACAGGGCGATGGTGACTAATACCTCTTTGAAGGCCCAGCTGAGTTCTCATATTCTCTTTGATTGGGTTTAAGAGTTTCACTTCCACGGCTCCCCAAAGGCAGCCAGGGCTGGTGGGGCAGGTAAAGGGGGGTGGGTGGGAAAGCCTCCCCAACATCCTGGAAGCATGCCTAGCAGAGAAAAGCCTTTTCTAATGAATGTTGGCTAAGCAGAGTGGCCACTGAGCAAATACCCTGAACGGGGGCTTGGTTGATGCTAGGGCCGAGGGCCACTCACTGGGAGATGGTCAAGCTGGGGAATGTCAAGATCTGGGAGTTGAGCAAACACATATCCCTGGGACTCCACATTCCTCAGTCTGCAGCCTGGGGCCCAAACCCACCAACGCACCCCGGCATTGTCTAGCAGTGGCCCGAATTAGCCAAGGGGCAAGATCAATATTTGCTGGTACATATTGGGTCCCACCTCCGGCAGCATCTGTGTTTGGACAGTGCTGCCTCCCACTGCCCAGAATCTTTTCCCAAACGCACTCTGGGCCCAGCAGGTCTCCACAGGGTGGTGGTCACTGAACTTGGAGGCTGAGGGTTGGGGATAACTCTGGTGGGATTTCTCATCATGTCTGACCTCAAACCTTTCCACATATTTCAGAACCAGGAAAGTCACGCAGGAAAGAGTCTAAAAGGATCTCTGGGAGCCTAGCTCAGGGACTGTGTGGAGACCATGATGGTTAATATGGGTTATCCTGGGAGAAGTCATCTTTGATTCCTCCCCTACCATCCACTCACCCATCCATCCATCCACCTATCCACCCATCCAATATTTATTAGATTTTGAATAGCTCTGTCAATCTGTCTTCTTCTCAGCTGTCACTGGCCCTACACAAGCTTAAGCCCCTCTGGCCTAGAAAACCATAACAAGACTTCTAACTGGGGTCTCTGTTTCCCACCTCTTACTCTGCAATTATTCTCCAAGTCGTAGCTAGAGTGGACTTTCTAAACCACAAATATGATCACATCTCTCCCTGTTTAAACCTTGCAATGGCTCCCACTGCCTGCAGCAGCAAGCAAGCCTAGCTCCTTAGATGGCTTACAGAGAGACTATAATGATTTCATTACTGTTTCCTTCTCCCACTAGCCTCATTCTGGCCTATCTCCCACAATTCATATGACATAATAGTTACAAGCAGAGCTTTGGGGTCAGAAAGACATGGGTTTCAACTCTGCTACTTACTAGCTATGTCATTTTGGGCAGGCCACTTCAATTTCTGAACCTCTGTAAAATGGGGACGGTCTCCTGGGTTTGAAACTAGGAAAATATATGTCAGATTCTTAGCACAATGCCTACTGTCTAGAGTTGGCAGGGTCAGTCATGCTACCTCTTGGGAAGGGGTTACTAGGAAAGGTTGTGAATGACTTACCCTCCTTTGGCCTCTCTCATGAGGCTGTTGCAGCCCCTGTTCTCTTCCTTCAGCTGATCTCCAGAGTCTGGTTCTGTTTTGATCAGGGAAGGAAGGTATTGCAGATGATGCTTCAGGCGTCTGAATTAAGGCTTTTTTCCTTTGAGGTCACATAATCAAGATGTAACTGGAGCACAAATGTTTTATCCAATCAATGAAACTAAATCACTTTGCTAATTGCCTGGAATAAGTCATAGTCCTCTGTGATTTGATGGTGAGGGTCTCAAAACAGAGTGTAGGGTGCCACAAGCCACTTTAGCAAGTAATAATGACACTAACGAAGTGCTTTAGACCCTGCTAGGGAAGTGACCTCGCAATTTGCATTTTTTTACATTTAGAGCAAGTAAAGCTGAAAGAGGGAAAGTAGTTCACCAAAGGTCACAGATAGGCAGTAACAGAGGTAGAATTCAAGGTCAGGCTCTGCCCCTGAGCTTGTTTGCATTTTGTTTGGTGTTTGTTTATTGAAGTTTGTAGTATTTTATTTAAAAAGGCAGCTTGTATAGGTGGTGAGAGGTAGGGGAGAGAGTATGCCTTTGGAGTCACATGTAAAAAAGTTTGGAGCTCACATTTTTCAAGTGAATAGCTGTGTGATGTAGGGCAAGCTGCTTACCACCTCTGAGCCTATTTCCTCATTTGTGAAATGAGGGTAATAGGCCTTCTTGGGATCATCAGCAGATATGATATAAAATGGCTCAGAGTACCTTGGCACTGAGCTGAAACTTCAGAGGCCCTTAGACTGTGGTTCATGTGGGTTTTTGAATAAGACTGGGTTTTGTTTAAACCTTTTTATTTAAAATGAAATATTTCAAAAGAAGAGTACAGAGAAATCGAATAAATATCTATGTATTTGCTACTGAGAGTTAACACACATTGATCTTCCAATATATTTGTTTCCCATATTTTTTAAAATATTGATCTTCTACTATATTTGTTTCACATGTTTTTTAAAAACAAAATGTATAGAATCATAAGTTCCCTTTCCTCTCCTTAATCCCAGTCCCTTCTCTTGTCCTCCAGAGGCAATCACTTCTGAGGCTGGAGTGTATCCTTGTCTGCATTTTTACTCTTCTATTACATGCACATATGTGCATAAACAGTATGGGATATCGTTCTGTTTTTAAATTTGCATAAGTAGAAGACTGCACATATTGTTCTGATTTGCCTTTTTAACCGGATATTATCTAAGTAAGATTTACCCATGTTGACACGCATAGGTCATCCATTCTGACAGCTGTCTAGTATTTCACTCTGTGAACATAGTATGATTCGTTTATCCATTTGTCCACTGCTATGGATGGAATGCTTGTGTTCTCCCAAACTTCCTATGCTGAAATGTGATGGTAATTGGAGATGGGGGCTTTGGGAGGTAATCAGGTCATGAAGGTGGAGCCCTCATTAGTGCCCTTACAGGGAAAGACACAGAGGGCTTACTTCCTCTCTCTTTCCACTTTGTGAGGGCACACTAGAAGACAGCCATCTGCAAACCAGAAGAGGGCCCGCATCAGAACTTGACCATGCTAACACCCTGATACGGAACTTGCCAGCTTCCAGAACTAAGAGAAATCAATATCTGTTATTTAAGCTATCCAGTTGGTGATATTATGTTATAGCAGCCTTAGTGGATGAGGGCGCTTGCAGATGAAAAATGCCCCAGACCCTGGCCCCTAGTTTTTCACTGTGCTGTCATGAAGAAGAGAGATGTGAGGAGAGGAGAAACCATTTTCCCTGGAAGGATGGACAAGCCACTTTCTAAGCATGAGATTGGACTCAAAGAAAGGCCCCTGAAATGCTGTTCAGCCTGGATGAGTGGCACAGAGATAGCTCCCTTTCTGCCCACCATGTAAGCGGGGTCTGCGGGCAGGACCCCTGCCTGCTTCCAGGCACCCCTTCCACACACACTGTGGAGTGCTTCCTGACCCTACTTTGGGATCTCTCTGCCTCCCTTGCCATGGATCCTGCTCTACCCTCTGCTGTCCTACTGCTGCCATGGTGCTTGGCACACAGTATGTGCTCAGTAAATATTAGTGAGTGAACGCATGAGAGTGTGAAGTGAAAATGAATGTGTGTGTGAATAATGAAAGGGCTGGGTGGATGAATGCAGTTAGTTCTTGGATTTAGGATATGTTTGGGCTTAGAATACCATCTCCCTCAACTTTGAAAAGGCATTTTGAGGTGGGCTGAGAGTCCCAGTCCCTGATTCTAGGACCAGCTTTGCCATCGTAGGACACAGCATGGTGCTTAGAGAGGCTCAGAGTTTTTCCAGTCATGATGTCCTGATGGTCTAAGTGGACCACTTCACTCCAACCATGCACCCACCCTCAAGCTCTGGTTACACACTGTCCACACACAGCCTCTCATTTTTCAAGAGCACAGTCTGGGATGAATTCCTTGCTCACCACCTATGCTAAAAGAGATTTATTACTCCCACAAACTCTTTTTATCCCACTCCTTCTCAGAGACTTTGATAGATCTTTATCTTGATAAATGATGAGGCCTGGGCCCCGCAGGCAGAGAGAGAGGTGAGTGGTAAGATGTGAGCCTGGAAAGGAAAAGGAAAAGGAAAACGTACTAGAGGCTGTCAGCCATTGATGTGCAGGAGAAGCTGTCACTCAGAGCTCCTCCACAGCCAGCTGAGAATAGCTGAATAGGAGGTTTTTTGACAGTTTCAGCAATGGTCCAACAACTTGCCAGGTGACCGCAGTAGCACTGCCTTCGGTCCTTGAGCCTGTTGGGAGATGGCCTTTGCAGCCAAGCAAACTGTGGCCTCTGTTCACCTTTATGTTTTGGAGTTGACCATCATAAAGGCACTTTCTGCATCCAAGTGGGCAGTCTTGGTGCATTGCAAGGATTTTCCTGAAGTGGCTTCCCCTTCCCTCAGCCCCTGGGCCTTTAGTAGGTGCTCCCTAATCAGGGAAACCCTAGTATCCTGGACCCTCCCCCTTCCTGAAGCCACTCCCAGAGCTTGCTGCCTGAGCTCTCATCTTCTTAGCCTGCAGACTTGGCAGGTGCTCCTGTTTAGGCACAATGAGCCGGGCCAGCCACCGTTGCTGCATTAGCCCTGCCCCACCGTGTGCCTACCTAGCAACCTTCTATGCCTCCTTCCAGGCACAGAACCATAGACTTCTCCTTGGGGAAGCCTTCCCTGATCCCGTGAGCAAGGGGGTTAAGGCCCCCTTCTCAGTACCTACCTCTGGGTGTCCCTCTGAATTCCTCCTGACTGCTGTGCCCGAGGTCTGTCTGTTCACTTGTCTGTCCTTTCAGCTGACCTCCTAGGGCAGCATTCTGATCAACATCAGTTTCCCAGGGCCCTGCCCAGGCTGGGCACAGAGAAGGCCTCCAAGAATAATGAAAGAGTGAGGGAGTGAAGGAACTCTCCCCAGATCCCACCCCTACTTCTAGGTGGTCTACTCCCTGGATGTAGCCACTGGCCCTTGCTTCTCTTAGCATCATTTTGACACACAGTAAGTCCTCATTGAGGAGTAACTGCTAATAATGTCTGTGTGCAAGGACTGTGCCAAGCATTTTGTATCTTAGTTAATACGGTACCCACCCCCCACCCCTTATCCACAGTTTCACTTTCCATGGTTTCAGTTACTTGCAGACAGGTGAGTACACACAATAAAATATTTTGAGAGAGATAGATAGAGATCCCATTTGCATAACTTTTATTAAAGTATATTGTTATAATGGTTCTATTGTATGATTAGTTATTATTGTTAATCTCACTGTGCTGAATTTATAAATCAAACTTTATCATACGTACGCATTGGAAGAAACAGCATATACAGGGTTTGCTACTATCTGCGGTTTCAGGCATCCTCCGACAAGGGGCAACTACAATAGTCATTCATTCTTTATTTTACTTTATTTTATTTTATTTTATTTTATTTTATTTTATTTTATTTTATTTTATTTTATTTTATTTTATTTTTTTGAGACAGGGTCTTGCTCCATCACCCAGGCTGGTGTGCAGTGGTGCAATCACAGCTCACTGCAACCTCAAAATCTTGGGTTCAAGCAATCCTTCCGCCTCAGCCTCTTGAGTAGCTGGGACTACAGGCATGTGCCACCATGACTGGCTAATTTTAAAATTTTTTTGTAGAAACAGGGTCTTGCTATGTTGCCCAGGCTGATCTCAAACTCCTGGCCTCAAGTGATCCTCACCCCTCGGCCTCCCGAAATGTTGGGATTACAGGGGTAAACCACCACACCTAGCCACACTATATTCTTAATAGCCTTACAAAGTGAAATTTATTAATCCAGTGTCAGATAATGACAGTAAGCCTCAGCAAAGGGAAGTGACTTCCAAGTTTCCCACAGCTTACAAGTACAGTCAGGATTCAAACATGACTGCCTTATCCCCAAAGCCATGTGCTTTAACTCTGCCTCATCCTGAATGGTGGTAGGCAGCCAGTGTTGCTGTCTCTTCCAGAAGCCTGCCAGACAAGAAGAGGCCTTTGCCCTGCTAGAGTGGCTAAGCCTGCAGATGCCTCTAGAGAAAGGTCCTCAGGATGGCGGCCTGGTGGACTAGTGGGATAACTGGGCACAGCAGAGAGCTCCTTTCTGGGCATGGGAACCATGGTGGCTTAGTCAAGGTGGGCAAACCTGTCTGCTCCTTAAATCAAATCCAGCCACAGTTACCACCCCTCCTCACTCACATACACATACTCGCAGGCTGGTCTTTGAGCCTGCTTAGGGGTGGTCTTTGCAACCAAGCAAGCTGTGGTCTTTGCTCAGCTGGCAAGGAACAGAGGGGTACTTGCTGAGAGTTATCATTTTCTGGGACACAAAGCTGCCCCTCTTGAGGCTGGCATGGTGCTTCATTCCAGCAGACTGAAGCTTTGCAGCCCTGACCCTTTTGTTTCCCCCATCCTTCCTTTCTTTTTCCTGCCCTCTCTAACCCATCTGGCCTGCTCCTCCCACCGCCTTTGCTGTGGTCTGGTGGTTACCCACAGCCAGCCAGCCTCACACTGGCTGGGAAACGGATAGGGCTAACCAGGTACTCACCTGGCCTTTGTGGTTCATCTGAGCTCCAGTTGGACCCCAGCCCTGTACTCAGAATCAGCCCCACAGCCCTGTCCACCCCACACCCTCCTTTTATACTTCTTCCCAACAACTGTGTGTGAGGATAGTCTCATGTAGCCCCTGGGCATTACCTGCCTTAGTTTTGACTTGTAGAGCTCTGGCCACAGAATTCAGAAGTCTTTCTGCAGCAGCCCCTTTCTGGCCTGACCCTGGAGTTTGGGGAGGTTTGTGCATGCACCAGCAGGCATGTGGCCAGAGCATGCCTTAGCTGCTGCTCATCGTGGTGGAAGAAGCAGTGATCACATCTCCTGGCTCAGAGTGGCCCCCACTTCCCCACCATCTCCACCTGCCCAAATCAGACCAATCTGACAAGTGTCTGTCCAGCTTCTCCCTTGAGGATGAAGTCCTTAGCACCTTCCAGCCTTGGCACCTCTATCACAGGGCTGACGTCATTCTATTTTGTATAATAATGATCACTCCTCACATCGACAACTCTTCACGGTTAACCAAACCCTCAGATTCATGAGCTCACTTAGCCCTTACTACAACCTGGTTAGTCCTGTTGACAGATGTGAAATGAAGCTCAGGGAGGTGACGTATCTTGCCCAGGGTCACCCAACTGGAGATGCAGTGGAACCAGGGTGTGAATCTGCTTGGTCAGACTGCACTACCTTGTGTGCCTCCCAGGTGCTAGACAGTGCAGGTACCAGGGCTGTGATGGCGGACAGGGCAGTCACTGGCCCTTGATGTCCTGAGGCTTTCATTCCTGGAGAACTAAATGCTGGTTGATCTAAACCGACTCAAATCACCACCTGCACTCCTTCATTCCTGCTGTTTCCCTCTCTTAAAACTCTCCTTCAAATTCCTGAAGGCTCAGCTGAAGGCTGCTTTCTCCTATAAGTCTTTCCCACCTAGTTGTTACTAAACACTTGCCCTCTTCCAAGCTACCACAGCTGCACAAGCTCACCCTGATGGTGTGCAGCCATTACTGTGACCTATGTGAGTTGGGTCTACCTGAACATCTCTGTCTCCTCCTTCTCTTTGTCTCTTAATGAGTGTCTCCTGGCATAGGACTGTACACTCAGAAAACATGCCTCACAGACCACCCAGGGGCTTGAGTCTGCTTGAGAAATGGTCCCAGGTGCCAAATCCCTGTTACAAATGACATAGGGACCTGGGTGAGTCCTGGATTCCTGAATGACTTTTCTCCTCTGGGCCCCAGCATCTTATTAGTAAAATGAGGCTGTGCTATGGTTTGAATGTGGTTTGTCTTTGCCGAAATTCATGTTGAAGTTTAATTGCCAGTGTGGCAGTATTGGGAGGTGGGCCTAGTCAGAAGTGTTTTGGTCATGGGGGGTCTCTCAAGAATAGCTTGGTGCCATTCTACAGTAATGAGTTCTTGCTCTCATGGGTTGTTATAATGCAAGGTTCCTCCTCCCATTTGGTTCCTTTTGCACATGCCTGCTCCTGTTCTGTCTGCCATATTATGATGTAGTATGAAAGCCCTTGCTAGAAGCCAGCACCATGTCCTTCAACTCCCCAGCCTGCAAAATCGTAAGCCAAATAAGCCTCTTTTCTTTATAAATGACCTAGTCTCAAATATCCTGTCTAAGCAACATGAAATGGACTAAGACAGGGTCTCATAGACCAATGGAATGTTAGCCTTGGTGATCATCTCTTCCAATTCTCTTGTGCTACAGGGGAGGAGATGAAAACCAGAGATGTTTACTGGTTCCCAGAAGAACCAGGACTACATCTGGTCTGGCTTAGGTGACCTCAATAATCCCTTTTAGGTTTAAATTATTTGATTATCTATAGCAGTGGTTCTCAAACTGGGGATAATTTTGCTATTTCCCATCCCGAGGAGACATTCAGCAACACCTAGAAGGCATTTTTGGTTGCACAAATGGTGGTGGTGGGGGTGGCGGGGGTATGTTATTGGCATCTAATGAGTAGAGGCCGGGAATGTTGTAAAACGTCCTACAATATACATGACAGCACCCCCCACCCTGCAACAATGATTATCCTTCCTAAAATGTCAATAATGAGAGGACAGAGATAATTAACATCAGAAATAAAGGAGGGTACTTCCTACAGATTCCATGGACATTAAATGGAAAATAATAAGACACAACTTGATAACCTAGATAAAATGGGCCAACTCCTTGAAAGACCCACAATCTGCCAAAACTCACACAAGAAGAAACAGACAATCTGAATAGGCCCATTTCTACTAAAGAAATTGGATCGATAATTAAGAATCTTCCAAAACAAAAAGCACCAGGCCCTGATGGATTCACTAGTGAATTCTGCCAAACATTTAGGAAAGAGATTATACCAAGTCTCTAAACCTCCTTCAGAACACAGAAGCAGGGGGATATTTCCTAACTCATTCTGTGAGGCCTAACCTCAGCCAACCTCAAACCAGACAAAGACATTACAGGAAAAGAAGGTTACAGACCAATATTTTTCATGAATATAGGTATAAAAATCCTCAGCAAAAGATTAGCAAATTGAATCCAATAATGTATAAAAAGAATTACATACCACAACCAAGTGGGATTTATCTCAGGTATGCAAAGCTGGTTCAATATTAAAAAATCAATTAACATAATTCATCAAATCAGCAGGTTAAAGAAGAAAATACATGTAAAAAAAGTATTAGACAAAATCCAACACCCATTCATGATCCAAGCTCTCAGTAAGTAGGAATAGAGGGGAACTCTGTCAAGTTGATAAATAATAACTACAGAAAACCTACAGTTAACATCACACTTAATGCTAAGAAACTCGAAGCTTTCTCACAAAGATCAGGAACAAAGCAAGGATGTCCTGTCTTATAATTCCTTTTCAACACCGTACTGGAAGTCCTAGCTAATGTAATTAAGAAAATGAAATAAAATATATACTTATTGAGAAGGAAGAAATACATCTTTTTTCACAGATGACATGATTATCTACGTAGAAAATCTGAAAGAATTGTCAAAAAACTCCTGGAACTAATAAACAATTATAACAAGTTTGCAGGATACAAGATTAATACACAAAAGTCAGTATATTTCCTATTTACCAGCAATAATGATGATGAACAAGATGAATGTGAAATTAAAAACACAATACCATTTACATTAACACCAAAAATATGAAATGCTAGGTATAAATCTAACAAAATATGCACAAGATATATATGAGAAAAACTACAAAACTCTTATGAAATATAAGAACTAAATAAATGGAGAGATATTCCATGTTCATAGATAGGAAGACAATATTTTCAAGATGTCAGGTCTTCCCAACTCAATCTACATATTCAACACAATCCTAATCAAAATCCCACCAAGTTATTTTGTGTCTATCAACAAACTGATTCTAAAGTTTATATGGAGAGGCAAAAGACTGGATAGTGAACACAATATTAAAGGAGAAGAACAAAGTTAAAGGAATGACAGTACTCAATTCAAGACTTATTATAAAGCTATAATCATCAAGACAGTGTGGTGTTGGTGAAAGAAAAGACAAATAGATCAAATGCAACAGAAAAGGGTGCCCAGAAATAGACTCACATAAATGTAGTCAACTAATCTTTGACACAGGCACTATGGCTGCCTTTTCAACAAATAGTGCTTGAACAAATGGTCATTCACATGTAAAATAATGAATCTAGGCACAGACCTTACACTCTTCACAAAAATTAAGACAAAATGAATCACAGCCCTAAATGTAAAACACGAAACTATGAAACTCCTAGAAGGTAACATAGAAGAAAATCTAGATGGCTTTCAGTTTGGTGGTGACTTTTTAGATAGGACACCAAAGCATGATCCATGAAAGAAAGAATTGATAAGCTGGACTTTATTAAAATAAAAAATCTGCTCTGTGAAGGATACTGCCAAGAGAATGAAAAGATAAGCTCAGATTGGGAGAAAATATTTGCAAAAGACTGATAAATATAAATATATATATATATATAGGATAACTGGATAATTGGATATATCCTATATAATTTTATATATATATATATATATATAATCTCTTAAAACTCAACAATAAGAAAACAACCTGATTAAAAGATGGGCCAAAGACCTTAATAGACTACTCACCAAAGAATGTACAGATGACAAGTAAGTATATAAAAAGATGCTCCACATCCTATGTCATCAGGCAAATGCAAATTAAAATGACAATGAGATACCACTCAACTATCAGAAGGGCAAAAATCCAGAACACTGATAGTGCCCAGTGCTGGAGAGGATGTGGTGCAACAGGAACTCTCATACATTGCTGATGGGAAGCAAAATGGTACAGCCACTTTGGAAGATGGTTAGGTCTTACAAAATTAAACACACTCTTACCATGTGATCCAGCAATCATACTCCTTGGTACTTACCCAAAAATTTGAAAACTTATGTCCATACAAAAACCTGTACACAGACATTTATAACAGCTTTGTTCATAATTGACGGAACTTGGAAGCAACCATGATGTCCGTCAGTAGATTAATGGATAAATAAACTACAGTACATCTAGCCAATGGACTATTACACAGCACTAAAACGAAATTGGCCATCAAGCCATGAAAAGACATAATGGAAACTGAAATGCATTATTACTAAGTGAAAGAAGCCAATCTGGAAAGATTAGTTACTATATAATTCCAACTATATGACATTCTGGAAAACGCAACAAAACTATGGAAACAATAAAAAGATCAGTAGTGGCCAGGTGTTGTGGGGAGGGAGGAATTAATAGGTGGAGCATAGATAATTTTTAGGGCAATGAAATAATCTGTATGATACTATAATGGTAGACACATGTCCACCATTTGTCCAAACCCACAGAATGTACACCACCAAGAGGGAACCCTAATGTAGTCACTAATCTTTGGACTTTGGGTGATGTGTCAATGAGCTTAATCAGTTGTAATGATGGACACATGTCCATCATTGGTGGACACGTGTCAATGAAGGTTTGTCAGTTGTAACAAATGAACCACCCTGGTGGGAGATTTATAATAGGGGATGCTGTGCACATGTTGGGCAGCGGTTGTATGAGAACTCCGTAACTTCCTCTCAATGTTGTTGTAAACCTAAAACTGCTCTAAAAAAAAAAAAGTCTTACAAAAAGGTCAATAGTGTTGAGAAACTTTAGTCTACACTAAGGAAAATTACTCAGTTTTCTCAAAAATTCATTCTTGTGATATCTGTGGCCTTTTCCAGAGTGATCTGAAGTAGCCTTAGTTTGCTTCTTAGGAACAGATGGTGCCTCACTGGGTTTTCCTCTTGAGTTAACTTTTCCTTCTTCTGCATCAGGCTTCCTGGGAGCCTCTTCCAAATCCACATGGCTGCCTGATGACATGCTGAGGGGCCTAGGTGGGGACACTGCTCCTGCTGTGGGTGGTAGTGGGGAGGGGGCCCTACTGCCTGAAAACTAGTCATCTGCCTGGAATCCCTGCCTTTCTCATTTCTCTCTGTGCGTTGGGTGGACGATCAGGGCTCAGTTACCCCAACAGCACCCAGGTTTCTCCTTTTTTGTCAAATAGCCACTCCTAAACCCTGCCCTGGATGAGTAGAGCCCCTGACTGCCCTCTGCCCTAGGCACACCACCACTGGCTGGACACCTGGCCTTGGCTTCTGCAGCTCTCAGATCATGGGGGTTGGGGTGGGGTGGGGTGGGGTAATCTCCCAGGGAGGCAGATGGGACTCTGCAGAAAACCTGACTGCTGGCGGGAAAGGAGGTTACAAGTGGGTCCTCCCCAAGAACTGGGCATGAGGCCTAGCAATCTGCTCCCTTCTTTTGAGCAACACTTCTTTGGGAGGTCATTGCCCATTTCTGCCTTCAGCATCACAGTAGGGCCCAGGCCTCCTCTCCGCTTGCAGCTGGGACCAGGAAGCCAGGAGCAGGAAACAAGGCCTCGTTTCCTTCTGGTTGGTGGTGTCTTACCCCCACCATTCCTTCCTCTGCTTGCTACTTCTATTTTACAAGCTGACCCAAAGGCCCCACCTCTCGCAGTACTGATTTATAGGGACTGAACTTCCACCCAAACACTGGGATATGGGGCCTGCTGGTGGATGCTTTACCTGACCAACTAATGCTTCTGACCAAGTTTCACTGAAGGTTGAACAGTTACATGGAATTTTGTTAGACATCTGTGGTTCATTTTTATGGAAAATAATGCAGTTTCATAGCATGGGCACTTGTCCCAGGGTTCAGGAAATATGGTTTGTGGAAATACAAAAGAAAAGTTAAGGCACTGGATTCTCTGCCCAGCTCCAGAGAGGTTCTCATCCTCTTTCTGAGCCTGTTTTCTCACTTTAAAATAAAGGGTTTAGACCTGCAGGTTTCTAATGATCCTCTGGCCTTGCATCCTAGGCGCTTGTCACATCCTTCCAATGGTGATGATAATTCACACCAGACTACGGCTCTTAGTCAAACATGCAGACAAGTGAGAGTGGCAGACACTTCCAGGAGGCAGAAGGATGTTACCATGCACTCAGTGGGTTTGAAATCAGTTGAGCCTGGGTTCCCATCTCAACTTTCCACTTATTCTCTGTTGCCCAGACAGGCTTCTCCATTCCTCTGTGCTTCAGTCTCTTCATCTATAAAGGGAGAGACTCAGGACTGCTTTAAGGATTAAAGTCTGAACATAAGGCTCTAGTAGAGTGCATGAGTAAGTACTTTGACTCTTGTTAATCATCATCACAGGCCAAAGAGCGCATTTGCACTGCCACTGTATTCTGCTCTGTGCGCAAGCAGGAAGGTGAGCCCTGTCCATGTGCTTGGCAACCCCCAGTCTGGAAGGAAATCAGCCTCGGCATATAAAACATCAGGAACAAGCAGGAACGAGCAGACCCAGGCTCTAAAGTCGATGTCCGAGGGGCTCTGTCCCTTGGAAGTCATAGTCCAGGGAGGCAGACACAGGACCAGTATCTCAGTTCAGGGCTGGCTAAGACAGTCAAGAGCAAAAAGCAAATTTCTGTATTAAAAGGGAGCCTTTAATTCCTGGAAGATCAGAGAAGGCTCAAGAGATATAATTTGACTTTAGGCATCTTGACCATTTCTCTACACCCTACCCTTTTTCAGAGGGTCACTGTGAGGCCACAGGGAAGCCCCTCCTGACTGCTTCCCATGCTGTGAGAGGGAAGACACTGGCTCAGTTTCCTTGATGCTTCTGAACCACTGAGTGCCCAGCCAGGGCAGCGCTCCCTGTTTGCCAACCCTACTATCACCAGCACAAACTTCCCAAACCCTTCCTAGTCTAGGAGAGTCCTGGAAAATTCCCAAGGCATGCGCTGGAATGAGGGTGAAGGATAAGCCAGAGGAGGCCCCTTGGCTGTGTTCCTCCTATGATGTATAACTTGGCAGTGCCTGTGATGCAATCCAATGGTTGTGCTCCCCCTTGGACCCCTCTCCATCCCACTGGGCCTGTCCAAGCCTGTTATTCCCTGACTTTCTAACAAACACCCAAATGAAGGCAGGCTGAAAGGCCTTGGGCGCCCCAAGGTCTAGAAATGAGCTACTAATGGATTTCAAAGGCCCAGATTTGATTGCAAAGCTGCAACCAGCTAGACCTCCATTCTCAGGCCCTGTCACAGCCAATCTGCCCCTTACCTGCTGGTAGGAGGAGGCCGCCCTACACTCAGCTATACAAACTTCACAGCCACCCGCCTGTCTCCTGCAAGGAAGTGAAATGTGTAATGACAACTGCGTTTACAGTGCTGCCCTGGATTGTGGACCCAGATGCTCTGAAATCACTCTTGGCTGTCATGTTTGCAGTGGCACATCTGCTTACACATGAGAAAACATGGACTTTAGCCAAGAGGGAAGGCAAAAATGTTGGTTCTTTTCTAGCTTGTACCAACATCCGGGCTTCCATATCTATATCTTTTTCTACAAAGTGGGGAAAAAAATGGTGTGGCATCAGGATGTGAAACTAGGAGCTGGTGGTGGTAGGAAGGGAGGAAACTGATAAAAATGCAACAAAGTGTGGGCTGCACGTGCTGCTTCCTCGTGGGTGACTTGAGTCAAGTTAGCCAGCTTGTCTGAGCTTCAGAAGGGGCTGCTAGGAGGATTAAATACGATAATGTTTGCAAAGTACTTAGCATTACATGCGCTGGCTTCCTTCCATTTTTCTGGAAGGAAGGTGAGAAGGACAGAGGGAGTGAAGAAAGAAAATGGTGATCCCTTCCAAGGACAGGCAAACATGCCCAATGGACATCAGAAGTGTAAAATTGTGTTTTTGCAGCTCCAGAGTAACTTTCTTGTGACATTTGGGGTTTTAATGGATTCCAGAAACCTGAAAGTTTCTCTGCAGTCAGAACAGGATGTTTAACTTTCGTCCTTTATGAGAAAAAAAAATGATGCACTCACTAATCTCTTCATTCACTGGAAATACGTGGGAAACAATGAGAAATGGGCTCAAAAAAGCAAACATGAAATGTGCTATTTTAAAATACTAGCAACCAACAGAGTGTTGCAAAATGTGGCTGGAATCAATAACAAAACTTTTGGAGATGAATCATTGAAATCGATGCTTTATCAGGGGTAAAATGCTTGGGAAGCTCCAATTTTGGAGGCCTGAAATGGAGTTTGGACTTCCTTTATTACCTCGAGGGCAGGAAGAGGAGATCCATTTGTTTGAAAGGGGTAGGAGGTGAACCTGATTGCTGAAAAAACACCGTCTCCTTGTTTGTTTCTCTTGAATTCCTACCTAATGTGAAATGAGGAAAAGGGAACTATTTTACAGAAAACCTCAATGTGGAGCAACTCAGAAGTCCCAAAGCACCATTCGCATTTGGTGTCTAGAGGGACAGGATCATTCTTCAATTTAAAATGACATGAATTCCTGAACTACATGCTTTATGAAGCCAAGGCCTGTGCTGACTTTGGATATCACTATTCCCAGAGCCTAATCTAGCATCTGACATATGGCTGGTAAACACTTTTCAGTGAAGAAAGAAAGGACAGAAGGAAGACAGCAAAGGAGGAAGGAAGGACAGAAGGAAGAGAGAATGAGGTCATGGTTGGGACTCTGTAGACTCTAAAGCGGGGTCCCCAATCCTGGGTCATGGACTGGTACATGTCCATGGCCTGCGAGGAACTGGGCCACACAGCAGGAGGTGAGCAGTGGGCAAGTGAGCGAGCATTACCGCCTGAGCTTCGCCTCCTGTCCTATCAGCAGTCTCATTAGATTCTCATAGGAGCAGGAACCCTATTGTGAACTGCACATGTGAGGGATCTAGGCTGCATGCTCCTTAGGAGAATCTAATGCCTGATGATCTGAGGTGAAACAATTTCATCACTAAACCATCCCCTCCACCCTCCTCACCCTAGACTGTGGAAAAATTATCTTCCACCAAACTGGTCCCTGGTGCCAAAAAGGTTGGGAACCACTGCTCTAAAGCACGGTCCAGACTAGGGGGACATCACTCTACTCAAGCGCAATCTGCCTAGAAACATAAAGGAATTTTGAACTGTAGACTTCATCTTCCCCAGCTGGGCAAGTGTCCACAGTCATTTTTGTAAAAACTGAGATATTCATTTGTTGGTAAACTGGAGACTCTTCATCCCAACAGTCCCTTCTTGGGTCCTCACTCTGGACTCTGCCCATGAGCATCACGCAGCAGTTAGAGAAAGGTTTGATGCCTCTGGGAAGATTCCCCTAATTGGTCCCCTTCTTCTTTCCTCCCTCCCTCCTTCCCCCAAATGAATTATGCTCATCCTCTACCTGTGCTTCCCCCATAAGAATTCCATGTCATGGAATTGTCTCTTGAAGTATTCATTTCTCCCACCTTGAGGGTAGGAACTGTCTTACACATATTCCATTCATACACATACATGTATACATATATACAAAACCATTCATATTAGGTTGGTTCTCAATAAAATTTTACTAAATAAATGGACAGACATTGCTGATTAGCAGGAAAAAGAAAAGGAAAAGTCTCAAGACTTGTTGAACCTAAGACAAATAAAAATATTTTCTGATTTCCAGCAATAGGTCTGCAATGTGCTGGAAAGTAAACTCATTGTAACCACCAAATCAGTCAGCAACAACAGGTGTGATCACCGATTTAAGCAAACATGCGCCACGGTGGTCCGCAAAAGAAGATGATGCTGTGATGGCATGTGTCCTCTCCAAAGGGCACCCTGTTTTCCATTCTGGATATCTGCAGTCTCCCAGGTTCAGAGATTCAGCATGGGGAGGTAAGGACTGGTTCGCCAAGTCTTGGGGCTGTGGAGTTGACCAGTTCTTGGCCAGGGTTACTTCTTCTTCATCAAGGGAGAGGGCAGAGAGAAGGCAGGAAAAGAAGGCTTGAAGAACCTATTTCTGAGGCTCAATGGCCATCAGATAGCGCTCAAAATCGCATTGCCTTTGAGCACAGGAGAGCTGAATCAGAAACACATGGCACATTCCCTCCCAATCACATGCGGTTTGGGAAATCAAGGCAAATCAAAAGCAAAGAACATTTGGAAGCCACGGAGGCAGCTGGGGCTGGGTCCCAGCAGTTGTGCTATGGAAGGGGTATGAGGGTGGTGGAGGGGGAGATTCTCTGCAGACCTAACCCATCAGACCAACAAGAAAGTGGGAGCCCCTGGGTATCAGTCAGGATCCAATCAGGGAACCACACAGTAATTTGAGCACACCTAGCGTCCCAAGAGCTGGACTGAAGATCCCCATTTCTTACCTTGAATAATGATTGCCTTTGCCTACCTGGCAAGGAAACCTGCAGCTAAAGATTTAAAATTTCACCAATCAATATGTTATCTGGTATTTCTTGTACTCCCATCCCACCTGTAACTGCAAGGGAGAAGCAGGCCTTCATCTCAGAGTGGAAGTAGAGATGGGGGTTAGGGAGGGGAGCCTGGAGATCAGTGGATAGATCACTCCCCATTAGAGATGCAGACCTGAACCCAGCTCTGATGACGATAAACAACACTGTATGATGATGTTCTTGCATTACACAGAGAAAACTGATGGGAATTCTGTGTTGCTGGTAGCTGCAGAACAGTTTACACCTATGAAGCACTTCCACAACTAGCTGGAGGCTCACAGCCTTACCTCATCTTCCTCAATTTCCTACACCCCTTCCCCCTAGCCTCAATCAGAATGAATCCCTCTCCCAGGCACCCACCTATGTCTGTCTGTGTCTTTATGATGGCACTTGTCACCATGCATCAGGATTACTCATGCGCACGTCCCCTCCTGTTTTCCAGCACACACGGAAGGAAGGAAACATGCATTGCCCACATCACCTGCCTCAGGCCTTGTGCTTGTGTTAGTGACACAAAAATGAATCAGTTGTACTTCCTAACCTCAAATGGCTCAGGGTCTAGTGTGGGACACAGACATGGGAGGAGGTACATCACAAGCCAGCATGACCTACGTTAAATGGGAACAAAGTGCAGCAGGAAGCCTGACTGGGATGTGATGCACTCTTAAACTTAGTGTGTCAGGGAGGATGGGTCAGTTTGAGCTGAATCTTGAAGGACAATGGGATTGTCTAGGCAGATCAGACCAGGAAGGGCATTTAGGCAGGGAGAACAGCATATGAAGAATGTGGAGGCACTGAATTTTATAAAGCATCAGGACTGCAGGGAGACATTCCTTTGGGTTAGAGCATACAGCATAAAAATAATCATAATCAGGGTAATAATGATAGCTACACCTACATCTTTTCTTGTTTTCTATATGCCAGACTATTCTAAGTGCTTTACATGTGTTGACTCTTCTTAATCTTCACAAACAAGCCTATGAGGTAGATAATATTATTCCCATTTTACAGTTAAGGAAACTGAGGCACAGTCACTTGCCCAAGTAGTAAGGGGCTGAGAGTTATGAGAGTTACAGGGTGGAAGCTAGAGAGGTGGGCAGGAGCAGGAGAATGTGCTTGGGTGAACTGCAAAGGACCCAGGAAACCCCAGCATACGCCGTCAGTGTGGCCCCTCCCAGATCCTCCCCTGCCCTCAATCCCTGCAGTAACCAGAACCAGACCTGGATTAGGGTTTGAAATCTGACAGGAGGCAAGTTGGCTCAGAGCCAGCAAGGAAATTCATTCACTTTCAAAAACAAACCAGCCCCCACAGCCACCCCGCCACACGTACACACTGCATGCCTACTGAACAGAATGACTTGGAGCCCTGAATGAACCGCCCTGAATGGCCGCCCAGGGAGTGGAACCATTTTCATCCTCTGTGGGCTGGTTCCTGCAAGGCTCATACCTGCCGCTCACACACTCAGAGCCAGAGATGGTCGGGACAGGTGGGAAGATGTGTTGGAGGGAGCTAACCCTGCCCACTTCACAGGTAGGGAAAGCGAAGCCCTGAGAAGGCAGTGGTTCCCAGTGAGCTGGTTAGAGGCAGAGCCTGCTTAAGGATCCTGGTGCTCTGACCTCCATTCCAGTGCTCTGTCTTTTCATCGCTCATCCATTTCCTCCTGGCCCCCCCAGGAAGTGACTAGCTCTCTACACCAGCAACATGGGGATCTTGGTACAAACAATGGCCAAATGGCCTCTGCAGTGATCAGGGACTTCTCCAAGGAAGGAGAAGGACCAAGGGGGCCAACAGGTGCCTGTGCGTCAGTGCACTGGTGCACTCCCAAGGGATATCTGGGATATGAGTCATCTTGCATCTGCTCTGGGGAACAAGAGTCTATTAATGAGCCATTGAACTCTGGGCTCCTGCAAGGCAGGGCAGTTCCATGTTCAGGATGGACCAGGTGTGTGATGTGTCGGTCTGATGCACCTTGGGAGGACAGCAGCATGCAGGGTCATGGCAGCACTAGTCCCATCCTCTCTGGGGACCCTATGTCTGTGGGCTCAGGCCTGTTTTGCATCTACAGTCTAATTCACTCCAGTCCCTCTGGACCTGTGTCTGGCCTCCCAGGATAACATTCCACTCCCTTTCTGGGTCATGGCTCAGGCTTGCAAGTCTGGCTGTTGTGGTTTCAGATGACCTTGAGCAGGCTGCTTGTATTCCTTAACCTCATAGACCTCACTGGCTGCCACTCTCCCTGCCACCTCCGGGAGACTGAAAAGAATTAATGAATGGAGGAATGGATGGATGGATGAAGAGGTAAATGCCAGGCCCCACAAGGAACAGGGGCAGCAACAGAGCTAGCAGCCTGGGGTCCCAACTCCCAGCCCAAGTATTGCCTTTACCTCTCTGGCTTCAACTCCCCATGTGCATGTGGGGAGGCAGCTGAGCAGAAGTGGGTGGGCAGCTGGTATAGATGGTGAGAGAATGAAGATGGAGTGAGGGAGAAGTAAGGCCAAGGAAGAGTCAGAGAAGGACTGAGATGTCTACTAAGAAGCTGTCCCATGAGAACAATCCTTATACGTTATTTACCTTATCTTGGGGAGAATCTGGCTCCCTGGAGGGATAGGGAGTCCCTTGAGAAGACTGGGTTGGTGGGGAAGGTCCAGGGAGTGGGGGGAAGGCTGGGAGTTTGACCTGGGCATGGCTGCTACCTGTGGGGCCCTCAGGGCTCCTGTGCCTGACAGACAATGATGTCTCCTATCTTTGTCCTTTGGGGCTGCTATAATGAAATACTATAGACTGAGAAATTTATAAACAATAGGATTTATTTCTCACTGTTCTGGAGGCTGGGAAGTTTAGATCAAAGTGCCGGCAGATTCAGTGCCTGGTGGGGCCCACTTCCTGCAATCATAGATGGTGCCTTCTTGCCATGTCCTCACTGGTGGAAGGGGCTAGCTAGCTCTAGGGGGTAGCTTTAATCCGATCATTAATCATTAACAAAATTAATCATTAACAGCATTAATCCTATCGTGAGGGCAGAGCCCTCATGACCTAATTGCCTCCCAAAGGCCCCACCCTAATACCATCACCTTGAAGGTCAAGATTTCAACATGTGAATTTTGGGGGGATAGAAACATCTGGACCATAGCACCTCCCATGCTTAGAGCCCAGAACCTGAGTGAGGGATGAAGCTGGTGTGTGGCTCACCCAAGTACCAGTAAGGGAGCTTTTCCAAAGTGTCCACAATGTTGATGTCAGGTAGTCTTTATTTGCCTCTCTTTACCAAATTTATGGGGTGGATATATCCATTTCTGGCTCACTGTCTAAAGAGCTCCAAACATACACTCTTTACAAGCAAAAGTCAGCAGGGGCAGCAGACAGCATGTGGCTGGGGCGAGGGCGTGTGCTACACAGAGCAAGCTCACAGGACCAGGACAACGAGGGAAGCAGGGTGTTGGCTGCATCATCTTCCAGATGTGTCTACACCAGCAGATTTTCCTGTCTAGACCATGCGACTGATTTTCCACTCCCAGTGGAGAAGGTCTGAACACGTGTCAAGCCATGCACGGTCTTGGTGGCCCTGTGAAGCCTGAGAGAGGACCACACCAAGAATCTATTGTGTGCCAGGCCCTGGGGACTAGAACATTGTCCAGCACATTATTTTACTATGTCAGAATCTGCATGAATTAATACAAAGGACTAAACACCAAGAGTCGGTTTGGGAGTCATTCTGACACTATATAAAGTAGGTGTTTGCTTTTTTTCTCTCCTTTTAAGACAAAACACTGGCTTTCTGTGTAAGAACATGGGTTATGAGAGGACACAGATGCTAGGAGAAAAATGTGTGACTGGAGAACTTGCTGTCACTTGCCTCAAAGCTAACCATGGCCAGACTGTGACCCTGTCTTAGAGAAAGAAGACTACCTGTCTAGCAGAGGTCAGGATAGAGTGAGTAGCTTGTAAAAATGGAAACTTGCAAAGAGAGCCCCATCTCTAGTGCAAGGGGTAAGTGGGTGAATTCCTGATGGGCAAAGTGGCCTAATGAGTGAGCAACTTGGGAACTTAGAGATAAAAGAATTCAATTCTGTTCCCTAACTCCCAGACTATTTTATTTTTAAATTGATTAATTAATTTTTTTTTTTTTTTTTTTTTTTTGAGACGGAGTCTCGCTCTGTCGCCCAGGCCGGACTGCGGACTGCGGACTGCAGTGGCGCAATCTCGGCTCACTGCAAGCTCCGCTTCCCGGGTTCACGCCATTCTCCTGCCTCAGCCTCCCGAGTAGCTGGGACTACAGGCGCCCGCCACCGCGCCCGGCTAATTTTTTGTATTTTTAGTAGAGACGGGGTTTCACCTTGTTAGCCAGGATGGTCTCGATCTCCTGACCTCATGATCCACCCGCCTCGGCCTCCCAAAGTGCTGGGATTACAGGCGTGAGCCACCGCGCCCGGCCTTTTTTTTTTTTTTAAGAGACAAGGTCTCCCTGTTGCTCAGGCTGGAGTGCAGTAGCAGGATTATAGCTCACTGAAGCTTTGAACTCTTGGGCTCAAGGGATCCTCCCACCTCAGCCTCCTGAGTAGTTGGGACGACCGACATGCACCACCAGGCCTGGCTAATATATATATATATATACACGCACACACACACACATATACACATATATTTTTAAGAGACGGATTGGTCTCCAATTCCTGGTCTCAGGTGGTCTCCCTGCCACAGCCTCCCAAGTGCTGGGATTACAGGAGTGAGCCACTGTGCCCAGCCTGCACTCTCATTTTAGACAGGAAAAAACTGAGGTCTTGAAACAAGAAGTGGTTATTCTTGTCTCCTCACTCACTGCTTCTGAACCCAGGAGCTCCTCAACTCAGTCTGTCCTCACACACTTGCTCATAGTGACTTCAAGATCCTGGTGGGGTTTTGGCGAAGGATGTAGCGCTTTCACCCAGGACTCTATATGGGTGACAAAATCAGTGCTGTAAGGCTCATGGGCTCAGACTGAGAGGTTTGGAATATGTCTCTAGGGCAGGCTAAGCCTTAGGTGTTAAAAGGAGATCAGCCCCTCCCAGATAGGAAACAGTCTGTTCCAAGTTGTTAAAAGCATGTTAGCACTCCATGGAGACTTCTTCCTGAGTACAGTGGAAGACTGAAAATTTCCTACCACAATAGGAGCTGAGAGTGTTCTTTAGTATTCACGCACAGCACGCGGCAACACTAGATATGCTGCCCTTAAAGCTAAAAAGTCCTAGATTTCAATAAGCTTTCTCTTAAGCTAAGAAGGACAAAGTGGGCTGGGCGTGGTGGCTCATGCCTGTAATTCCAACACTTTGGGAGGCAGAGGCAGGAGCACCGCTTTACCCCAGGAGTTCAAGACCAGCCTGGGCAATATGGCAAAACCCTGTCTCTACAAAACATATAAAAATCAGCTGGGTGTGGTGGTGCATGTCTGTGGTCCCAGCTACTCAGAAGGCTGAGGTGGGGGCATCACTTAAGCCCAGGAGATGGAGGTTGCAGTGAACCATGATCGTGCTACTGCACAACAGAGTGAAACCCTGTCTCAAAAAAAAAAAAAAAAAAAAAAAAAAGAAGAAGGAAAGGAAGAAAGAAAGAAAGAGCAGAAAAGAAAAGGACAAAGTGACTTCTTCTACCTGCAGGGAGGTCATTATACTTCCTCAATATCCCAAGTCCCCTGAGAGTTCTGATCCTGGCCCCCAGGTGAGTTCTCAACCCAGCCACAGATCAGTGCTGGCTGTGGCCACAGCCCTGGCCTCTCTGCACACTCACATCTATTTATATTTGTGTTTCCCACTGAACCTTCCACAGTGCTTTGTGCTGCATCAGCACATGATGTATATTTACAAAATGAACATGTGAAAGAACAGTGTCACAAACAAAGCCAAGACAGACAGATATATTTTCCACAACCAAAGGAAATGGTGCTCCCTCCAGCCCACTGGAGGTCCCAGCCTCCCAGAAGGTCCACTCCACTACTCTACAGTAACAGGAATGAAAAGAAGTGTCTGGAGTCACACAAGCCTGACTTGTCACTGAGCTTGAACAAGCGCGTCACCCTCTCTAAGCCTCAGTTCAGTCAACTCAAGTGGGGAGCATAACCCTGAGATCACAGGGCTGCTGAGAAAAATCAAATCAAATAACTCATGGGAAAAAGCCACATAAACCCGAACATAGAACAGTGTGATGTCGTCATTGCCCTGACTTGAGAGAACAAAGCACAGATCCAGTGAAGGGACTTCCCATGGCAACCTGGGAACCATAACTGTCTCTGACTCCTGGCCCAGAGCACAGACTCTAGGTTAGCCAGCCAACCCCATCTCTGCAGCATTAATCATTAAGTCAAAAGGTCAAGAGGCCTCTAGCTGGGAGACAGACTAAGTACCTACAAGTGGGGCTTGTGTATGGTGGTGGGGAGGGGCTAGGAAATCCCCGCAACTTCAGGATTCAGAGCTCTCTGGAGAAGTACAGGTTCATGGAGAAGGAAGCCATAGCCCTGTTCCTCAGAAGCCTACCTGCAACATGCCAGAAACTTCCCCTGGCCCAGCCGGGGGGCCCACAGCCTCCAGCAGTGCTGGGAGGGGTTCCGGGAGGGAGTGAGTGCTGCCCCACTCAGAGAGCACTGACAGCAGCAGGCAGCACTCCTTCATGTCTCTGTTTACTCTTTATATACGCACATACTAAGCACCAACTGTTTGCCAGGCACTGGGCTACATGCTAGGTCATTCATGCATTCGTTCATCCACTCATCATTCCTTCAATAACAACTGTCTGTCAAGCTCTTCCTGTGTGCCAGGCACTGTGCTAGGCACTGCAGATCTATAATAGTAGCTAGTAAGTCATGCATGGCCCCTTTCACATTAAGCTTACAGTCAGGTAAGGAAGAGAGACAAAGAAATAAACATTGCAAATTGTGATAAGTATCATGAAGGGCTCAAATTGGGGTTAGGGAATAATGATGGGGACAGGAAAGAGGCACTCAGAAAGGGACATCTGAAAAGGACTCTTTGAGTTTGTGAAATACAAGCAGGGGCCCAAAGGACTAGAAGTCAGCTCTGTGTATATTTTGGCAATGGGGCTGGGGGGTGGGCAGGTGAATGTTTCAAGCACAGCAAACAGCCTGTTAAGGCTGTTGGGAAGACAGCTTGGTGTGTTAAAGGAGCTCACAGGAGGCCAGCTCCAGGGCAGCTGGAACAGAGGGAAGGGAGAGAGTGGCCAAGCAGGGGATGGTGATCTACTCTAAGTGCATATCCAGCTTCAAATGGCAAAGGCTTGGGTCCTTTGAAAAAGACAAATACATCCGTGTCCTCCCTTACTTCCCTCCCTCCCTCTTCTGTCCCTTGAATAAATGATGGTACCCGATATTGGCAGGTGTTGTGAACACAGGGATTAGTGGAAACCATCTGAAAGCATCTCGCCATCTCTATTAAAAACCTTAAAAATGTTCAAACTTTCTGAGTAGCAGTTGCACATCTCAGAACTCACTTGAAGAAAAACACACTTTGGAGGCATGAAAAAATTACCTGAAGGGATGTGTGTAGTAGCAGCATTTATACAATTATAAATAACCTAAAAGTCAATTATAGAGAAGTGATTTTAAAAAGATGCAGTCTTCCATAAATAAAATATTATGCAGCTACTGGTGGACTGCCTGAGGTTAGGAGTTCAAGACCAGGCTAACATGTTGAAACCCTGTCTCTAATACAAATAAAAAATTAGCCGGGTGTGGTGGTGCACACCTATAGTCCCAGCTACTCGGGAGACTGAGGCAGGAGGATCACTTGAACCCAGGAGGCAGAGAAGTTGCAGTGAGCCCAAGAACATGCACTCCAGCACTCTGCACTCCAGCCTGGGCGACAGAGCAAGTCTCCATCTCAGAAAAAAAAAAAAAAAGAACGTGTTTGTGGTCGGGCACGGTGGCTTACGCCTGTAATCCCAGCACTTTGGGAGGCTGAGGGAGGTGGATCACCTGAGGTCAGGAGTTCAAGACCAGTCTGGCCAACATGGAGAAATCCCATCTCTATTAAAAGCACAAAAAATTAGCCAGGTGTGGTGGCGAGCACCTGTAATCCCAGCTACTTGGGTGGCTGAGGCAGGAGAATTGCTTGAACCCGAGAAGCGGAGGTTGCAGTGAGCCGAGGTCACACCACTGCACTCCAGTCTGGACGACAGAGAGAGACTCTCCCCTGCACCCCCCAAAAAAAGAACATGTTTGTAAAAATGTTTTCAGTGAGTAGGTTATAATGAGACAACGTGATGTGCCTAGACAGAAGGGATTACACTGTGGTGATTCACACAATGTGGCATCACACAGCCACGAACTAGAAGGGCCACCAACACAGGCAACATCAGGGAAGATTTTTAGTGACACCATAGCGAGTGAAAAAGCAAGTCTCAGACGTCTACGCATACATCATTCTCTCCTTAATGATGTCAAAAAAGCAGGCACAATCAAGCAATAGCATTTATATGACACTACTACATTTTTAAAAATTAAAGGAATGACAAATACAAAATCTAGAATTGAGCTATCTCTTGAGAGGCAGGGGCCAGGAGAGCAGGTGAGCACACAGGTAAATGTGAGTTACTGGTAAGATTTTACTTCTTGGGTTAAGTGGTAAGTTCAGAGTTTTTATTATGGTATTCACAAATAAATAAGCAAACAAGGAAAAAGAAATAAGGTTATGGGCCAGGCACAATGGCTCCTGCCTGTAATGCCACCACTATGGGAGGCTGAGGTAGGAGAATTGCTTGAGTTCAAGAGTTTGAGACCAGCTTGCACAACATAGTGAGACCGCATCTCTACAAAAGATTTTTTTTTTTTTTAATTAGCTAGGTGTGGTGGCATGCACCTGTAGTCCCAGCTACTGAAGACACTGAGGTGGGACAATCACCTGAGCCCGGGAGGTTGAGGCTTCAGTGAGCTGTGCTTATGCCACCACACTCTAGCCTGGGTGATGAAGTAAGACCTTGTCTCAAAAAAAAAAAAAAAGTTTATGCATAGACCAGTGATGATAGTACGACATGTAGGAAGCATTACGATAAAAAGTATTCACCAGTATATGGCCTAGTCTCAATTTTATTTAAAAAACACACATACATATAAATATATAATCAGGTGCCACATACTGATGTTTTTGTTCAATACAGTCCACATATGCAACAGTGATTCCGTAAGATTATATTTTTAATATGTAAAATTTTTATTTTATTTTACTTTTTTATGTTTAGATATGTTGAGATACACAAATATTTACCACTGTGTTACAATTGCCTACAATATTCAGTACAGCAACATGCTGTACAGGTTTGTAGTCTAGGAGCAATAGGCTATATCAGACAGCCTAGGTGTGTAAAAGGCTACACCACACCTTCTAGGTTTGTGCAAGTACACTCTATAATGTTGGTACAACTATGAAATCATCTAACGCGTATGCGTGTCATTAAGTCATGCATGACTCTATACCTGTGGAAAATAGGTAAGAAAGCAATACATTGACATGGTAACAATTATTTCAGAATGATTTTTATATTATTTGTACTTTTCTATTTCTACAATAAATTTACATTGAACAACTAGAACAAAAAGTTGTTTAAAAGAGACAGCTCATTTAGATGTCATCTATAACTTGTTCTTAAGGAGGCCAAGAAGGGCCAGAAGTGAGAGTGGGGAGACCCCAGAGTCCAAATGGTTGATGCAGTGTAGGGCTGTTACTGATGTGGCTGAGATGTAGACAGGGAGCTGTGGGGAGGCCACCCCTGCCAGGCTGACCCCTCTCGTGCTTTCTCCCTCCCATTTTAGTCATCTGTGTTGATTCTTTGTCTGGAGTAACAACTGCTTCACTCCTTTTCCACCCTTAGCTTCTAGGAGAGAGGAGGCTCCTTAAAGATGTAAATACAGGCCAGGAGCAGCGGCTCACGCCTGTAATCCCGGCATTTTGGAAGGCTCAGGTGGGCAGATCACTGGAGGTGAGGAGTTTGACACCAGCCTGGCCAATGTGGTGAAACCCATCTCTACTAAAAATAAAAAAATTATTGTATATTTGGGGGTGGTCGTGGGCACCTGTAATTCCAGATACTCATGAGGCTGAGGCAGGAGAATTGCTTGAGCCCAGGAGGTGGAGGTTGCAGTGAGCTGAGATTGTGCCACTGCACTCCAGCCTGGGTGACAAAGTGAGACTCGGTCTCCCCACCAAAAAAAAAGAGAAAGAAAAAGATGTAAAAACAGAAATGAATTGATCATCAACCAATCGATCATTCAGTCAATTCCTTTTGGGTGAAGGTTTTTATTTTTATTTTTTGAATCAGGAAACAATAATTACACAGAGACTGTGAGACAATCAGTTTTGTTTTAAGTCGTTAAGTGTGTGGTCATATTGTGACACAGCATGGAACGCGGATACCAGGTCAAAACAGGGGCTATGAGAGAACAGAGTGGGGAGTCGCTAGGTTTTAGACATCAAGGGGAACTGTCCGGGGAGGTGTCATGGGGAAGCAATGTGGAGGCACAGCGTGTGCACAGGTTCTCCTCTGCCCCTCCGTGTTCTAGGTCTTACCTGGGGAGATGCTCCATGGGAGGCCTGCTTCCTCTGGCACTGTCTGAGTCCTGGGACTGGGTCTAACCAATTCTGGGATCCAGTTAGCAGGCTTCTCCGCCTCTCACAATAAGATATGAGGGCCAACCTGAACTTTCTCAGTAATAAAGGTTATGCTTGGGCCCCCACTTGCTATCATTTGCTTTTTTTCCTCAATTGCTGAGAACTAGAGGGTACTGTTCATTGGGGGTCCCCTCGCAGCAGTGAGAACAGCAATCCAGCGGGGAGGAGTGAGGTTCGGAGAGAGACGAGAGCACCCCATGGCGGTCCATAAATTCAGGCTCGAGCTTAGATCTTGTCCTGTAGGCCATGGAGAGTCACAAAAAAGTCTGTGTGTTTCAGTGGCTACAGACTACACCGCAGGGCATGGGCCTCCACAGCCAAGAATCTGGTTTTCAGTTTTCCTTAATCCTGCATGGTCTGGTCCCATGCCCATGATCAACTTGGGTTGCAGTGGTGGTGGTGGTGGTGGGCCCGGGAGTGTGTGTGTAAGCACAGGCCTACATGAGGCAGGTCCATGCAGGCTTGCTGTGAGCTCATGTGAATGGATCTGTTGTCTCTCTGTGTGCCCCTGTGTCACTTGGTGCAGATGTGTGTTTGTGTGTCAGAATATATTTGAGTGTCCCATGTTTATGTGTAAGCCCATTACTTGGACGGTGTTAAGACAGAATAATACCAGTTAATGTTTGTGGAGTGCTTAGTATACACCAGGAACTCTGCTAAGAACTTGACATCCATTTTCCCATTTTTATCCTCATAATGACACCATGAGATTGGTACTATTGTTACCGCACTTTACAGTTGAGGAAACTGAGGCACAAAGCTTTACGCTAAGAAACAAACCCAAAGGCACAGTTCTAGCAAAAGGCAGATTCAGGAGCAGACTGAAGCTTTCTGGTTCTGAAGCCATGTCTACATGTATCCTCGTAAGTCTGTGGGTATGTGACCAGGTGCTTGGGTGACTGTGTTCTCATGGGCTCTGAAAGCACGTGTGGCGGGCTTATCTGAACCTATGTGGCCAGGCTATCTTTTTCACTATGTGCTCATAGACACCACATGTCTGCATGGCTTGTGGCATCTGTCTTTGTGTCTGCATGTCCTGATATAACTGTGCATCCTGGTGGCCCATGCTTATTTGCATGAATCAACATGTCTCTGTGTTTCTGTGTGTCTCTGGCTGCCTGTATGTGGCCGTTCATCTGCACACCCCCATGAGGAGTTGGGCAGGGCTCAGAGCCACATCTGGCTCTGACGCATTGCCTGTGGGGAGAGGGTGACTGCAACAGTAATCCCTGCCATGTGAGCGTGTGTGCCTTCTGCCCTCAGAAGCCTGGAGAAATCCAACAGACGCCCCGCTCTGCAGCAAGCAGGCAGGCAGGCTGCGCTGCTGGGGGCCTGGCTGGGTTTATTTTCAGCAACCGAGGAGGCCCTGTGGCATTTAATTAATTCCATTCCTTATGTAAACACCAGCAAACACAGGGCTTCAATGGCAGAAGCACATCCTGCCTCATGCTCCCCATGCTGCCGTTGCATGGGACTTCACTGTGGGGACTGCACGTGTGTGCCTGACCACCCGCCACAGTGATCTCGTCCGTTCTGCCACTGCATCACCCCCAGGATCTGCCCCCTGAGTCTGATTCCTCATCCCTCTCCTCCACCCTGTGACATCTCCCCTGGCTCAGGCCTTGACAGCTCTAGCCCAGACCTTTGCAAAAGTCTTAGGGTTGCGGGTGAGGGGGTCTCTGTTCTCAGCTCCATCTGGTGGTCCCAGGGTGAAGGAGAAACTTATAAAATGCAGGTCCATCAGATGTTTGGTTCAGATAGTCTGCTGACTTTGTCATGCACATAGGGGTGTTTGTGTATGCAATAGTCACCTTGTATCTAACACAGACAGCACCTATGTGAGCAGAAGCAGAATGCCCACCATAGCCACCAAGGCCCTGGGTTTCAGTCCTGGCCTTAACAGGAGAGCTCTGTGAACGCTAACATGCCATGCAGCTCTGGAGGGGAGCAAGGGTCACAATAACCTCCAAATCAGGTCATCAGGAAATAGCCATAAGTTGGTAGCTTGTGGGGAAATTTTTTATTTGAGGAACGAGGAAGGTAACAGTGAGGAAGGAGGCACCTGGAGGGGCAAAGCAGACGATGCACCCCAGGAAGGAGGCAGGTAAAAGGATTGGGAGAGGAGTCCTGGAGAAGCTGCTCATTCCCACAACCCCCGGCAGGTCTCGCAGTACCATGTGGTAACAGCATAACCCTGGGCAAGTCACTTAATAACACAGAAATCTTTCTCCAATGTGAGCTTTCCTTGAAGAACTTACAAATAATAATTATCATTCTAGTAGTTCTCACTTTTCAAGACACACTGTCAAGTGCCTGATTTGTCTTATCTTACCCACTCTTTACAACATCCCTATCAGCTCTCTGCCTCCATATACCCAGCTTGTAGGCCAGGAAACGGAGGTTCAGAGATACTAAATACCTTGTCCAAGGCCACACCTGGGTTAAGCAGCAGAGTTGGGACTTAATTCTAAGTCAGGCTTCTCCCAGAGCCCTTGGTCTTGACATTGTCTCAAAATTGAGTTCTCTAGCTCAAAATGCTGGTATTTGAGTTCTGTAGCTCAAAATGCTGGTATTATAGGCTTGATGTTCAAGTTCATCTCAGTCATCATCAGAATTTTAGTTCCACTGAAACTCATACCTCTTGGCAACAAGACAGAGACATAACTAGGGGGTAGGGAGTAGAAAAAGAAGGCTGAGACAAGACAGCTGGAGGAGACTCAGGGATGGAAAGTAAGTGTGGCCCTGAATATGGATGTGTCTTGGGGCAGCTTCTCTGAGATCTTAGAAGGACCAAGAGCCTGAAGCCTTCAGCTGTGTCACAAGTCAGGACATCTGGATGGTTAGCCAGACCCAGAATAAATAAATGCCCCAGTGCATATGTACTGTCTTCACCAAAACACATTTACAATCTTCTTGTTCCAACTACAGGGAGGCAGATGCTCAGAGGGATGGCAAACGCAAACCCACTGTTCAGTCTCCATGATGTCTCACTTAGATGTGTAAGTGCCACTGGCTTTCTCTTTATTCAGCAAGTTGCCTGTATTGCTCATTTTAGTGAAAGTAAAAAATGTGCTCAAAGCATCTGGGAGGTCCATGCCTACTCAACTTTACCAAAAGCTCTGAGGTTCCTGAGCCATGATCTCTCTCTCCATGGGGATTTTAGGAAGCTGAGCCTGGTGTCTTGGAAAGGATGATTGTGCTTGACCCCCAGGGGATGTGGGAGGATAAAATGTGGCCAGGTACATGGAAATAAATTCTAAAAGCACTGGATCAGCATTTGTGACAGTTAAATAATGGGAAAGCCATAGAGCCTCTAGTCTCACAGTGCTAGTCATTAGGTGCCCAGTCCATAAATAGTCTGGTTCTGCAATCTTCCCAGAGCCCTGTAGGGTGGCTCTTTCCTATGCTCTTTGAAAACAGCAGTGGCCGTGTGATTTGCTTTGGCCAATGACATGTGAATGGAAATGGTGCCTGTCACTTCTGGGTGGAAGCTTTAAGAACCAGTGTGGAATTTTCCTGTCCTTTTTCCCTCTCCAAGTTCTGGACAGTGGCTGGTCTGAGGCCCCCAGCAGATCTGTGGTGTTCACACAACACGGTAGAAAATAACTCTTTCTTGTTTGAAGACACTAAGAGTTTTGGGGTTGCTTGTTCCAGCTGCACACCCTGGCTATCATGATGGTAACTCCTTACAACCTACACACCGGCTGGTAAGCCCAGAAGCAAAGTGTGAAGAGCATGTGTTTCATCCTAACTCTTCTAATGGAGTCCAGCCTCAGTCTCAACAGTCCATTCTCCACACAGTAGCCAGGGTCATCTTTTTATTTATTTATTTTATTTTTATTTTTTGAGACAGAGTCTCGCTCTGTCGCCCAGGCTGGAGTGCAGTGTTGCGATCTCGGCTCACTGCAACCTCTCTACCTCCCAGGTTCAAGCGATTCTCCAGCCTCAGCCTCCCAAGTAGCTGGGACTACAGGTGCGCGCCACTATGCCCGGCTAATTTTTGTATTTTTAGTAGAGACGGGGTTTCACCATGTTGGCCAGGCTGGTCTCGAACTCCTGACCTCAGGTGATCCACCCACCTCAGCCTCTCAAAGTGCTGGGATTACAAGTGTGAGCCAATGCACCTAGCCAGGATCATCTTTTTAAACTACAAACGTTATCATGGCACTCTGCCTCCCACTTTAAGTGCCCAGACATTCAAAACCTGAACATAGCACCCCTCCCCTTCCCCTGCCACCCAGCTGCTCAAAACTACAAAAGATAAGGCTCAAGGATATCATGGACCTGGTCCAATTCACCTCTCCAGCCTCAGCTCTTGCCACCTCTTGCTTCATACTCTAACCCCTATTAACCAAAATTACTTCATTACAAGGTGCCATGCTTTCTCTCACTTCCAAAACTTTTGCACATGCCATTGCCTGTACCTAAAACACTCTTCTCTGTCCTACTCACTTAACCAACTCCTACACATCCTTTGGGCCTAAGCTTAGTGTCCACCTCCTCCAGGAAGCCCTCGCTGACTCCCAGGCCAGGCTAGGTGTGTTCTCAGTGCCTCCACTCTTACCATGTGTATCACTGTGGACCGTCTTATTTACTTGCAGCACCCCCTTTCAGGCTGTGGGATCCTTGAGACAAAGGGCTGTGTCTGCTTTTTTCCCCATGGTATCTCCAGTGCCCATCACTGCATCGGCCATCTGGTAACTGTGGAGCATCTTCTGAATGAATGGATGATGAATCCCTCCACATACAGGTCCTCTGTTGGTGGCAGGGGACCGTGATTTAACGAAGCAAGGGGAAGTTTCTTTATGTGCTCTCCCCCCAAATCTCTGGGTTGAAGCGGGAGGCAGGGAGTTCATGGTGATAAATGAGGGCCTTTCAAGTAGCTCGGTGGCCGGGACACTTGGAGGGCAGCAGCCTGGGGCCTCCTAGGGAGCTAATGGTTTTCAGGAGCAGTTTGGGAAGGCATCCTGCAAATAGCCAAAAGAAAACATAACCTCTCTAGGCTCCTTCTGTCCTGAGTGCTCAGCTGAGATAGAGCTCAAAGGAGCTTAATGAATTATTATGTCCACATTGCTTGCTGATAAATGACAGTCTCATGCTCCGTTACCAAATGCTGGTTGTAATATTTAATCAAAGTCTAGTTTTATGCATCAGTTGGTTTTGAAAATAATATTTATGGGTCTGGAATGCCTTCAACCTTCAGGCATATGGCTGAAGAGAATCTTTATTTTGTAGCTATTGGATAAGAATATAGGAAGTGAGATAGAGAAACTGCGAAGTTCACTGAGATGGATACTAATTCCTTCATGCCAAGGATTCATCCTCAGGTACAAACTTTTTCCCTAAGATCCTTCCATCCTCACCCAAACCTGGTTCATTGTCTAACCCATCAGTTCAAACCTGATTCATCATCTAACCCACCTCCTCCAGGGAGCCCTCCATGACCAACCCAGTCCCCAGGGATCTCCACTCCTCCAAGCTCTACTTGGTCTCGGCCACTATGCAGAGCATATGCACTGTTCAGCATGATGGATGAACTTTACCCGCTGAAGTGTTGGCCGTTCCACTCGGCTCGGGCTCCCGTGGGGCAGGCGGGGTTTGCTTCTTGTTCCTCTCTACCTCTCCTCACTGCTGGACACCTAGCTGGTGTTAGGGAAATTTCTATCAAATGGTTGATAGAACTGAATTTATAGTCTCTGGGCTTTGCACACATGAGAAGTTCAAAAGTTATCTGAGATCCTATTATAAACCACTCCCTGAATTTTGTCCTTTTCCCTGTTCTCTCCACCTCAGTGAACATGCCAAGCCAGACACCTGGAAGTCATCCATGAGTCCCCCAACCCCTCTTTTAATCATTTGTTCATTCGTTCATTCATTCATTCTTCTATTCCTTCAGAAATAACAACAAAAAATATTATGTTTACTCACTGCCAGGCCCTGTGTTAGGGGCTAGGGACAAACAGTGGTGAATTGGCCAGAAATGGTCTAGGGGGAATTTTAACTTCTAAACAGTTTTTCAAACAGTTTTTCTCTTGTACATCCAAAGGGCCTGCCTTGGTCCGGGGCCATTTCATCTCTGACAGGTTTCTAATGTGTCCCTGGCCCCCTGCTCCAGCCTTCTCCACCTCCACACCATCATCATCACACTTGGTAAACAGTTTTGAGAACATGGAAGTGGGAGTGGGGTGGCGCAGAGAAAGCACTGGTCAGGAAGGCTGGGTTCTAGCTCCCTGTGAGAAGCTGGATAAACCCTTCCCTCTCTAAGTCTCAGTTTGTTCAAAGGTAAAGTGGGCTAATAATCTACAACTTGAGTGTGGCTTTACCTTGAGGTAAATCTAGTGATAATAATTCCATTTCTGAGCAGGCCAAACACATTACATGTATTAACACAATCCGCTCAACAATCAGGGACAGGCAGAAGTTCCTATTACTGCTATTCCCATTCTGCAACATAGCAACTGAGGCTCAGAGAGGTTAAGTAGCTTGCCCAAGGTCACACAGCTATAAGTGGAGAACTGGAATTCCATATACAGGACTGACTGACCCCAGAGGACCCTGATCTTAACTTCGACATGCTACTAGCTCTCTCAGTCTGTGGAGGATGCCCTTATGCCTAGTGGTTTTATCTGTGGCTTTGAGTGGGGTGGGGCTTGGGAGTCATGACTCAATTTCCCCTAAGCAGGGACCAAGAGACATCCTATGTTTTGAGATAAGCACACTTAAATCTCCCACTTGTTAAAACATTTTCAGGTTCTTTGCCATAAGTGAAGGATGTGAAAGTCCTGGGGTGGGGGCCGGCGGGGGGTGGGTGATTACATGACAAAGCCAATGAACAGTCTTAACCTGAGCAAAGCATGTGGATTGGGCCAAGGGCACCAAGTGCAAACAGTGTTGCTGCAGGCAGGGGTACCCGGGGAAACCAGCCTGCTTCCTATTAGCGCTGAAGAGCAGCGAAGAAAGGGTGTAAATCAGGAGAGGACGGGGCCAGGTTCCTGTCTCCCAGAACCGCCTTTAGTCTTCTTCCCCAGGTCCCTCCAAACCAGTCCTGGGTGCTCCCCGCCACCCCTGACAGCTTCCTCTCTCATTAGGATCTCTCTGACAACCCTGAGGATTTACAACGTGAAATGTTTCCATTTCCCTGACAAGGTGTCTCTGCTTCAAAGCGCCTGTGCCTGCCCTCCGGAGCCCAGGATGAAGGTGACTTCACAAGGGAGACAAATGAATCAAAGGGCTGACACCCATCCCTTTCTTTCCCCCCATAATACATCTGTTTATTATTGAACGGGGGCTTGCATGGTTCGTGATGAATTGTCTTCTCCTCCATAGCCATGTCCCCAGACGGCTGGGGAGGCTAAAGTGTCTTCCAGGAGCATCTGCTTTTGATCTCTGGTCCTTTCAAATCTTAGGTTAAAATCTTTAGCCTGACGGGCCTGAAAGGCAGCCTCCAGCAGCAAAGCAGGGGCAAAGGAGTGTTAAAACCCTGGAGAGGATCATCTGGGTTCTCCCGTGGAATTCCCTCTGATGGGCTGAAAATAGAGCAGGGGGCTTTCTGTTTGGAGGGAGGCCCCTGCTTGGGTTTGAGGGCAGGGTTCTCATCTGCAGGTGCAGTGCCCTTGGGACCCTGGGAGAGGAGTGGAGGCTCAGGCTGTTCACCCCATACAAGGCTGGGCACTGGCTGCAGAGAGGAGGAGCCTGTGGTCCTCTGGTCAAAAAAGCACCAGTCACCTGCCATCGCTACCTCCTGTCCCTTCTTCAGATCTCCTCTGAAATGTCACTTCTGTAGGGAAAATTCTCTTGATCACCTCCAAACTGGGAGTGACAGTGACTGTCACCTGCTTACCACACCCATATCCTCTTCTTTCCAGGCACACAATTCAACTGCCTTCCCCTAGCCTCCTCTGTAGGTAGAGAAGGCCATGAGACTGACTCTGGCCATTGGAGCATGAGGCCACTTCCAGGCTTGGCCCCTGAGACCCTCCCAGTGTGATCCTTGTCCCTTCCCACGGACGCTGACTGCTGTTTCTGCCCATGAGAGAGCTTCTGTCCACCTAGGGCCCTGAGTTTTCCCTGGCCCACTGGGAATACTCACATTGGAGCTGTGAAGCTACTGAATGATGGGGGCTTGTTGTCACAACAGTTAGCATCACCCACCCTAGGTCAGGTGCCTGTGGCCCGCGCTCCCCAGCCCCTGTACTTCTGGGTTGTACTTGGCGCCCTTGCTTACACTGCACTCTCTGGAGTAATTTGTATGATGTCTGTCTGTCTCAGGAGACAGTGTTCTCCCTGAGGGTAGAGACCGTCTCTCTTCTTCACCACTGAAAATGTGGGCCTAACACAGCCCAGTGCACAGAAAGAACCCAATGAACAGCTACCAGATGACTGATGGACCAGGTGATGGTGAATCCTTCTGAGATCCACAACACACCTTAGCCTCATGGAAGCTGCCCAGAATGGGAGGTCAGGATCGCTGGCTTGGATCCCAGCTCTGCCCCACCATGCAGAAGCCGAATGTCCTTGGTCATTTCACACCACTTCTCTAAGCCTCAGCTTTCTTATTTGTCAATTGAAACAATTTCTCACCTCTCAGGGTTTGGGGGGAAATAAAGGACAGAGAGCCTGTGCAATTGCCAAGCACGGTATGTGGCTTGTCATGTCACATTGTTCATGTGTTCATGTCACATTGATGACAGATACCTGAATCTTATTGCCAGATGTGGGGATAAGACCTTGGAAGTGACTCAAGCCACTGTTGACTCTGCCAATAGCAAACTGTGAGGGCAGTGAGGCATATGTCACCAGAAGATTGTAAAAATAAGACCCATACAGGGTTATCTATTAGGTCAAAGATGCATAGCTGCTGAGAGTTGGTGACCAAAGGATTCAGTGGAAGGATTACTCTCCAGGTATCTAGAATCCTGGACTGGGGCATTTCTACTCAACCTCCAGTCCTTGGCCCCTGAGGCATGAGATCTAGAGCCAGGCAGTACCCTGCCACTGCCCAGCTGGGCAACCACAGGCACAACCTTTACCCTCTCTGAGTCTCTCGTTCTCCATGTTATAAACGAGGAAGACAATACTTAATGTCTTGAGGCGCAGTGTAGATTACATGGGTCAGAATTTGTAAATGTGCTTAGGACAGTGTCTCATCTAGAGGAAGCCAAAGTAAATTATTAGCTCCCTTTGTTCACTGAGCTTTTTGCTACCTGGATGGAATGAAGTTGCTGAATATCTCTGGCTGAGTCTCCTTTTTCTCATCTGGCACAGGTTACCCTGCCTGCCTCACCCACCTGCTGTGACAGTCAAAGCAAGCATGGATGTCACTCTGCTTTGTACACTGCAGAGTATGCTACACAGGTAGGTTGTTAATAATAGCTACAACTATTAGTACTAGTAATAATAATATCAGTAGCTGTGGTTGGAAATGGTAGAAGTAACTACAACAGACTTGGGTAACAGGATCGGGGTCAGGTGGTAATAGCAGCAGTGGCTGTGATGGATGTAATAGCAGTGAGGGTGGCCAATGCCTAACACTGCCCCAGTTAGTAGCAATGGCCATGACCAGCGTGGTCATGGAGGTGGCAGGTACAGTAACAGTAGCAGCAGTGATAGGCTGGTGGCAGAAGAGGTGACAGAGGTAGTCATTGTGCTCAAGCCTTGCTGGCCTCCTTTCTGTTACCAGGCCCATGGAGCCTGCTGCTTGGGGAGATGCTGCAACTTCCTGGGCATCAGTGTTCTACAGGGTGACCAGGCAGTGAAAGAGCATTTCTTCAGCTTCCTACTGCTGGGGGGGCCCAGGTGTCCACAGGTGACTGAGCACTGACAGGTGGGCCAAAGGATCCACAGACCTGATGCTGCAGGCCTCTCATCTGCCAAATGCCTTCTCACATGGTCACCCCTAGGAGCCTTTGAGAATCTCCTGAGCAAAGTTAGGTGTTTTTTCCTCCATTGTCCCTTTAACGTTCATTCAACAAATATTCACTGGAGCCTACTGTAGGCCCTGAAGAAGAAGAATATAATTCCCAACTTCAAAAAGGCAACAGCTTCGAAAGAAATCCTCTGTGCATCTTCATTACAGCAGGTAGGTTGCTGTATTAAGGACGTTTATGGGGCTGTCCTTGGCACTAGTGCCGGTTCCCATCCCTATCTTGTTTGGTATGGAGTCTGGAGGTGCACAACAGCACTCGCTGGATCCCATTCATCTAAGAGATATTTTTGGAGTAGTTACCCAAGGAGAGACATAGGGAACAGTGGCTGAGTTCCAATCCCGGCTCACTATAACCTTGGACAAGTTGCTTAATCTCTGCCTCAGTTTGTTATAAGGATTAACTGAATTATTATTACAAGTAAACTGTTTAGAATAGTGCTTAGTGTACATAATAATGCTATAGAAGTATTAGCTGTGAAAATGTGCCAAGGATCATACTAGGCACTGTTCACATAGCAATGAGTCAAACAAAGTTCCAGCTGTCATAGAGCTTACATTTTAGCAGGGGAACAGATGAGAAACACACAAATATACACGCCATGTAGGAAAAGGTGCTATGAGCAATAAAGCAGGGCGCAGAGACAGAGAGTAAGCGGGGCTACTATGCAGGCAGGGGAGGCTTCTCTGGGCAGGTGATACTTGAACACAGGTTTGGATGAAATGAAGTATATATGAGCCACGGGACTACCTTGGGTAAAAAGGGTTCCAGGCAGAGGCAAGAATATGTTTTGTGTGTTCAATAAGAGCCAGGCACGGTGGTTCATGCCTGTAACCCCAGCACTTTGGGAGGCTGAGGCAGGAAGGCTGCTTGATCCCAGGAGTTCGAGACTAGCCTGAGCAACATAGTGAGACCCCATCTTTACAAAAAATAATTTTTAAAAATTAGCTGGGTGTAGTGGTGCACGCTTGTAGTCCCAGCAACTTGGGAGACAGAGATGGAAAGACTGCTTGAGCATGGGAGGTTGAGGCTACAGTGCACTGAGATCATGCCACTGCACTCCAGTCTGGGCTACGGAGCAAGACCCAATTTCAAACAAAACAAAACAAAACAAAACAACAACAACAAGAAAAAACAAAAATGAAAGAAAAAAAAAAGAAAGAGCAAGGGACTAGTATGGCTGAAGTGGAGTAATGGTGTCAGTGGTCCAAGATGAGGTCAGTGAGGTAGCTGGGGTCAGATTATGCAGAGGCTCTTAGGCCACATTAGGATTTAGCTTTTGCTAGGAGTAAAACAGAAAGCCAGTGGAGGGTTTTCAGAATTAATGTTTTGAAGGATGGCTCCAGGCTCTGTGAGAAGCACAGCCTCCTGGAGTGGGAGAAGGCAACAGAAGGGAGACCTGTTACAGGCAGCTTATTACACGCAATTGTGGTGGTGGCTGAGGCCATGGTGCTGAACAGGAAGGGTGGGGAGAAGTAGTGGAATCCTGCTGTCTGTAGGATGTAGACATGACAGAAACTGCTGACAGACTGGATGGAGGTTAAGAAAGAAAGAGAACAGTCAAGGATGACTCTAAGACTTTTGGCCTGAACAACTGGCAGAATGGAACTGCCATGTGCTGAATTGAAGAAGTCTGGTAAGAATCAGGACTGGGAACCCATGAGGGGGAGAATCAACTATTGGTTAAAAGTTGTTAAGCTAGAGATGTGTATTTGCCACCCAAGTGGAGATTCTATATCACATCTGGATATATGAATCCAGAGAGTTTGTACGAAGAGAGAATTTGGGCTGCAGATTGAAATGATGGTCTCCTCGGTACAAAGTAAGAATGGATAAGTACAGAAAGAAGAGGACTGAGGACTGAGCCCTGGGACCCTCCAGAGTTTAGAGGTCAGAGAGGTGAGAAAGAAGCAGCAAGGAGACTAACAGAGGCTACTGAGGTAGGATGAGTGAAGGACATATTTCAAGAAGGGGCATGTGCTGATGGGTTGAGAAAGATAAGGACTGAAAATGACCCTAGGATTCTTCTATGTGAATGAATGGTGAGGAGGTGATAACAGCTGAAGAATGTATCACACACTGGAGGAAATGGAAGCCATCATCGGAATTCAGGTTGACCATGTGGCTCTGGGAAGGCCAGCACCATGAAACAGCAGGTACAAATCCAGTCTCCAGTTTTAGAGCCTTGGGAAGTGCAGTCTGACATGCAAAGCTTTTAAAATTTTACGAGGGCATCCAGAGGAATAGGAAGAGGAAAAAAGGTAAGCTGGTGGGGAGTGATTTATACACATTACAGAAGTACATAAATGGTGCTGAGGGCTTCCAGCACCCTGCAGAAGCCATTGTGAGGTCAGTGGTGAGACAGGTCTATGTCCAGACGCAGTGTCATCTGGCCAGATGGCCCCTCAGCTGGTGGGTGTGTTTCATCTCCCCTGGGTTACCAGGAGAAGTGGATAAAGTTAGTGACTTATTTATTGTTTTCTGTTTCACATTTCAATTCAGTTGATTATATATAGTTTTCAAATATCTAAAAAAAAAAACAAAAACAAAAACTGATTTGCTTCCTAAAAGTGTCCTCCTCATCCCAACTCCTGGTGTTCTATGGGACAGAGTGCATTCACAGAACCTCTGGGGGGCCAGGCAGAGGGAGTGGCCAGTATGTGGAAAGAACATCCTTTGAGATCAGACTTAAGTAGAAACCCTCACTCCATCACATACCATCTGGGGGATGTTGAACAAATAAGAGCCTCCCTGAATTCTACTCGGGTTTCCTGGGTGTTGCCTTTTTAGGAAAGCCCTACTTTTACCTGCCCTTAGCCCAGGCTGGTGTAGGTTCTCTTTACAGCCATGCTCTTAGCGCACCTTGCCTCACATTTCAATGCTTGAGAGCTTGTTGACACTTGGCTATGAGCTTTTAGAGGGGAGCCCTTGTGTTTGATTTGACAATGAGTACACTGCACAGGGAAGTTGCCAAACATGCTGTTGTTGATTAAATGCACAGTCGCTACCTTCCTAGCGTTGTTCCAGGGACTAAAAGAGAAGAGTTATGAAAAAGTTCCCTGCCCACAAATCAACAGAGGGCTCAGGCATGTCTGCAAACTGCCTAGATTCATCAGAGGGGCAGGCTCTTGGACTCTGCGGGGGCCCAACTTCTCGGGCTGCTTCAGGATCCTGGCTTTGGTGATGGAATCACCAAAAAGCGATTTGTGAGACAATGCTCTTCCAGGCCTGGCATTATCCCGAAACCCCCAAATAACCTGCTGTGGATCCTCCCTCTGATTGTTGATTGTGCTCCTCCTTGAACTTACTTATATTGTCAGCCTATATTCATTCATTTATATTCTTTCTTTACTTCAGTAATTCAAATACTATTATTGAGGGCTCGGCGCATGGGGAGGCACTGTTCTGTATGCTGGGGATACAGTGATACACAGTGTGGGTGGGGGTGTTGCGGATGCAGCCTACAATAATACTTAGGACTCTGCCATTGAGAGCCAAGCCGCCTTGGTTCACATCCTGGCTCTGACACTTAGTACTGTGACCTTGGGCAAGCTACTGAACTTTTCTGTGCTTCAATTTCCGTATCTCTGTAATGGAGATATAATGGTACTTGGTTACTGAGTTTGGGAGGATTAAATAAATTCATCACATAAAGTGCTTTGAACAGTGCTTGACACATGGCAGGCACTCAGTAAGTTCTTGTTATTCTTATAGCAGTGAACACAGAAAAGTCACTAGCCTCACAGGGATTACATTCCAGTGGGGAGACACACAACAAGCACCTTGACAAGGAGCTACCTAATACCAAGTGCCACGAAGAACAGCAGAGTGAGAAGATGGAACAGAATGGGACCAGGGTGTGCTATGTGAGATATGGCAGTCAGGAAGGCTTCTCTGAGGAGGTGATATTTCAGCAGGGCACTGAATGCATTTCGGACCACATGGGACCAAGTCATTGTGTCAATTAGCACCCCACCAGCAGTATGTGTGAGTGCTGGTAGTGAAGGAGGACACTTCCAGTAGCAGAATGAACAAGCCAAGAGTGAAGAATAGGGACAGGGAAGTGAACATGACGTACCACTCCTTCCACAAAGAATCTGGGGCACCGTGACACATGCTCTGCAACATGTGCTGAGGACACAGACATGACTCAGATGGCACTCCTGCCCTCAGGGGAGTGGCCAGACGTGGCCACAGACAACCAGAATACTGGGTAGGAAGAGCTCAGGAGGAAGAGCTCTGCCAGTACAAGGGCAGGAGCCTCCTGCCTCCTCCTCCACCACCCCAGTCCTGGCTCAGCTTCCTGCATAACAAGGGATCTAAAAACGCATCTCAAAGGGTTGGGAGATATTCAAACAGCCCTCAGGACAAAATCATATCCTGCGGCCCCTGCCTCACCCCAAGGATATAGATTTGACACTCAACAAAGGAATTCCCCAGGAGACGGCCACAGGGAGGAAGACCTGAGTTTCATAGCCTGAGCCTACACTGGACACAGAGGATGAGCGGAGGGGACGTGGATAGTCTCTTGCAGCCCACTCGCCCCACCCCCCAGCCAGGAAGCCCAGCCCAACACCCGCTTCTCACTGAAGTTACCATAAAGCACAGCCTGTATCTGATCACTCTGTGTGAGCACTGAGCGAGCTGTGGGTTGCTCTGCTGAGCGGAGGGAAGCATGTACACTTCCAAGTTCAACAACCTTGATGCCTGGCAGTGGGTGCCCTGGGACTGCCCAGCCTGGACCCCACTGCCCCCCTCCCACCACAGTTAAAGAAAGGCTCCTTGTTGAGGAGAGGAGCTGGTCAGGTTGCCCTCAGGTCTCGCTTCCCCAAGGACCAGGTGTTTTACTCGGCAGCAAACCAGAGCTGTCCTGGAACCAACCCTGTTCAGACTTTGTCACCCTGTCCATCACCCTGGCTTGGCTGCAGGGCCCAAGGTGGCAGGAGACAGAGTTCACTCCTCATTTATTTTCAACATCCACTCTAGGGAGGTTGGATTAAAAGTCTCCTGGAATGACAGTGCCAGAAAGCCCTTGGGTGATCCTCTGGGCTGAAAGGGGCCCATAGGGCAGAGATTTCCTCAGGTCGCACTGCTGAGGAGGGAGGGGCAGAGATGGTGCTGGCACAGATCCCATGCCCACCCCACTCCCAGGCCTGCCTCCTCGTACTAGTGTTTGCTTTCCCCCAGGCCTGCGCATATTCTCCATCACTGGGACTTGTCCCACCAGTGAAGGGGGGAAGGTTCCTGTGTGCCTTGGCCCCAGTGGCAGGACTCATTCCAGCAATGGCTGCCGGGGGCATGGTGCCCAGCACTGGGCTTCACAGGCACACATTGTGATCTCCAGCCCCTAAACCACAGGCTGTCCCTGCATCTGTCAAGTGCGATCTCTCCTGGCCCCTGCTGGCCCCTCCAAACAAGCTATCTTTATGAAATGCAATGACTGCCCTCCATATATTAAAATAACACCTCCCCAGGAAGGACCTCACGTCAGGGCTGCCGCACAAAGGGACATTCACAGGATGGCAGAGGGAAGCCAGCGGAGGCTTGGCCCAGGGCCTAGAGGGAAGAGAGGATGAGGAGTTTGGGGGTCTCGGGTTACAGAGAGAAGGGTGGGTTAAGGGAGGCAGGGATGGGGCTGTGGAGGCTCAAGGCTAACAAAGAAACTCTGGGTTCAACAGAGTCACGCAGCCCACTCCACACTGATGATGCAGACCCTGGGCCTGGCTATTTCCAGCCTGGGTCCAAATGCCATGGCCTGTACTGCCCAAACCTCCCTCTGGAACCCAAGCAGAGACCCTGGTGGGAAGTGGGGATGGAAAAGGCCTCAGATATTAGGATCTGCTTCCCAAAGATGTTGTAGCGAGAGTGGGCACAGAAGCCCAGTCTGTGCGTCACTAAAATCAGGCAGGCTTGGGGAACTGGGCTTGCCAGGCTATGTGTGATCTGCCCACGAGCTGAGCTCACCCTCTCTGAGGTACCTCTACCTCTCGGCCTGGGGAATACAGTCTAGATTCCGACTGGCCTGGGTTCTGATCCTGGTACTGCCACTTCTTGGGCAAGAAACTCCAACTCCCTTGGCATCAGTTTCCTCATCTGAAAAGTGGGAATCATGACAACTCATCTAAAAGATGTGTTATGAGGATTAAGCAAGATAGTGTCAGTAAAAGTAGTTGCACATAGTAGGCTCTCTCTCCCTCTCTCCCTAACACATATATACTGAGCCCCTAGTATATGTTGAGCACTGTTCTCAGTATGTGGGATATTCAGCATGCAACAGGCCCAAATTCCTGCTCTCCTGGATCTCACAAGGTATTGGATGTGATAGGGTAAGATGGACAGTAAACAAAAAACATAGCAAGTAAATTATGTAACATGTTAGATGACAGGAAGTGTTATGGGAAAGGAGAAAGTGGAGCAGGAACAGGGGACAGGTGCACTAGGCTGAAGTTTTAAATGGAGCAGTCATTGAGAAGGTGACATTTGAATAAAGACACATAAGAGATGAGGGACAGCAAAGACCCTGAGACAGGATCATGCTTGGCATGTCCCAGAAACAGCAAGGAAGACAACGTGGCTGGAGGGGAGGTAGGAGACGATCAGAGAGGAAGCGAGCTGGGGGCAGCTGATCATTTTGGGCCTTGTAGGCTGCTGTACTGCACTTCCTAGGCGGCCATAGAAGGAGTAACCTGCGGAATGGCCCTGATGGATGAGGAGGAGTTCACCGAGCCAAGAAGCAGACAGGCTCAGAGGTGTATCCAGAAAACAGGCTCTTCCACACGGGGAGGACCCTGGAGGGCAGCTGCAAAGATGGAAGATTTTTGATGTGTTTTGGTAAAATGTGAATTGCATCTGAGGAAGAAATAGCTCTTCTTTTAAAAGGCAAGGTAGGGCCACCATATCTCAGATCCTGTATTCATCACCTTTCTTCGTAACTACATACTTGTCCTTATCACAGCTCAATCAGTTTCCTCCCTACCCCTCATTTGCACCACACAGGTGTACACACACACACACATATACAATCTGACCTGCCCCTGCCCAGCTAGAGAGCAGGTACCCAATGGGCCAGACACTGCAGCCGACCTACTCTACCTCTCTGAGCTTCTGTATTCTTAAGCTGGAACTGACCATATCTTTTTTAGAGGGTTGATTATTGGTAAGGATTAAACTAACATGTAAAAATCCCTTGCAAAGGATAGCGTTCTATACAAACAGAAGTGTTAGCTATTTACCTGATACAAGAAAAAAATAACTGGAAGTTACTTTTATCCTATAAGAATTTTCCTTCAGTATCTACACTGTCCCAATTCACTGATAATCACTCCAACAACACAGGTTGTTGGGTGGCACAGAATACTGGCTCAGAACATTTTTGTTAGATGAATGAATGAGCAGATGAAGGAAGGGAAGAATCTAGGCATAAAAGGCATAAAAGCAGGCAGGTAAGCTACTGGTGAGGAATGTGGAGGAGGCAACTTGTCAAGCAGGGGCTACGAAGGCTGGAACCCTGAGCCCTAACAATGGCAAGAAAAACAGTCACAACCTCCCCCATTCCCAGAGGCCTCCGCCCCAATCTTTGAGCCCGGGCTGCTCTGGCTCTCCCTCTGATAAAAGTCACTGCCCTCTCACTTAGGTGCCATTAGGATGCTAATGATGTGTGATTAGACCTGCTCTGAGACTCCCATTTGACTGACCTCAGGATGGCAGAAGTTTGCCTGGAGGCCAGGAAAGAAAAACACACAGAAAAGGAGAGGCCTAGGCTCTGGAGGGAAGCCAGGGAGGCACTGGGTGGGAACAGTCAAGAGCAAGTTAGGGGCTCTGCATCTTCAAGGGGACTTTTTTGAAGCCAGAAAGAACCTTGATGGTCATACGAGCTCTAACTCCCTTATCTACAATTCTGAAATCCAAAACGCTCTGAAGAATGTCTTTGGTAACTTGACCTGAACTTATCCAAGGCTATATATAGCCTTGATCTCTCCCACGTTTTGTGAATATTCATGTTTTGCTGCACAAATGTTAATGTATTTGATTAAGAATGCTGCTCCAGGCCACAATGGGGTGTTAAATGATGTATGGATATATACCATATTTTGCCATCTAACATCCAAAAAATTCTGAATTCTGAATTCTGAAACAAATGTGGCTTCAAGGGTTTTGGAAGAGAGACTGGAGATCTACTCTACTCAGCTGTGGATTTCTTTAAATTGCTTATTCCTCCATTGACTCATTCACTCATTCATTCATTCATTCATTCACGCATTCAGTCTTCACGGCCTTCACCACCTACATGTATCCTTTTGCTGTTGGAGAAGGCCTTACATCCATATTTTTCCTCAGCAAGTGCCCACTGAGTCTTTCTGGATGTGAGACCCTGGCCTGGGCCCATAAGGGCTCATCTTACATATCTTTCTGTCTCTGCATTTGTCCACTGGGCTGTGTCCTCTGTTTCCATCTGACTTCCACTCCAGGTGGGGGTTCTTATGTGCACAGGGCATGATCTTCTGCTTGCCCCACAGATCTTGGCATGCATGTTGGTCTCTGCAAGTGGAGTGCCCTCAACAACCTCCTACAGACATGGAGAAGGCCCAGGCCCTGTTCTCTAAGGTGCTCATGCACACCTGGAGGAGTGGGCCACCCAGAGTGGGACCTAGAGAATCACAGATCAGTAAGGCAAGAAGGACCTGCGAGCGCTTCTGGTTTAGCCCCTTCTGGTGCTTTGGTCCCCTGAAACAAGGCCCTGCAAGGCCACTTGGACACTGCTGTGGCCCACTCCATTACATACAATGCCACCTCTAGAAAACTGCTGTCTGATAAGAGGATATCTGCCTACGTGGCACTCTGCCCATGAATCTTGGGAGCAGTGAGAGATGCAATCATTCAAAGTTGGGGAAACCATGGAAGGCTTTCTGGAGGAGGTACTATTAGAACATTTTGAAGAAGAAAAAGGATTTTGGTAAGTTTTGTGTGTTTGTGCAATAGTGGTGGTGGTGGTGGTGTGTGTGGTGGGTAGATACAGCATTCCAAGGGAAGCCCTTGGAAATGATAATGAGCCCTGGTTGTGGTGGACAGGGCGATGCAGCCCCCAGGTCCCATGTTAATGAAGGACTTGTTGCCCCAGCTGCTGTCAGTGCTGTCAGAGTGCAGCCTTGCACTGTCAGTCTCTTTTGCCCCAGTTGCAGAGCCTCTTTGCTCAAAGTTGGGCCCTTCAATGCACGACCCATATCCAATGAGAGTCAATTCAATGAGGAATAAAGGCAGGTATGCAAAGGCCCAGCCAGCTATTTCAGATCCAAGTTTCCCTGTGGAAAGTGCTTGGGCCTGCATCTCAGCTTGACTTCTCCCTCTGCTCCATTTGTTTTCTCCACCCACCCCCAAGGACCTCCCTAATAAATATACATGGAAACCACCTCAGAGTCGGCTTCCCAGAGAACTCACCTGCCAGACTGAGGGGGTGTGGGGGAGGAGGTCAGAAGAGGGTGCTGTTGGCAGATTGTTGTTGGAGGGACTGTTGGAAGATTGGGCTGGAGAGGCAGGACCTGGCCAGCCCACAATACTCTCTCTCCCCGTTTGGGTTTAGGGTTCCTAAGGCAGGGCCCACTTGCTCTCACACGACTTCAGGAGAGAGTGCTAAAGCCATGAGTTGGCAGGAACCGAGCAAGTGCCACCTGCCAGGCACTCTGTTGGGTACTTAGTGCCTGTTATTTAGTGGGATCTTCACACCGACTTTACCTGTAGGTTGTATAATTATCTTATCCTTAATAGATGAAGGAACTGAACACTGAAGAGTTTCAGTCATTGCCAAGGTCATGCAGCTAGAAAGTGGGAGCACCTAAAAGTGAAGTCTGATGCCAAATACACAAGCCTGTGTATTTCCTCCAAGAGGCCCCCACCCCTCCATAGAGCAAGAGCACTGTTATCTCTGATGGCCAAACCTGTTCAAAATTTCTATGTTTGCTAAATGAACGAAGTAAAAACCTAGTTTCCTTTTCTTGGTGTCAGCTAAGTGCTCCGACTATGGCCGGGGTCGGGGCTCTGTGCCTCACCTGATGCCAAGGCCTAGTTGTGTGTGTGATTTTGGGTTCAGTCTGAGACCACAGGACAGCATTTTTGTCTTGGTAAAATTAACTAACCATGACACTATTGGAGGGCCATCCTGCTCTCTCAATCCAAGCACCATCTTTTAAGAGACAAAGAAAGCAGAAAGGGCTGGGAGTGGGCACCAAGGAGTAAGGAGACGGATTTGAAGGGGTTCTATTCAACCTTTTATCTATCATCAAAACCCTCCATCATTAGGTTAGTTGTGCCCGTCTGTCCCATAACATTTACAGACAATCATAAAAGGGTGGGTAATGACTGCAATTACAACTGAAGGACTGGTTTAATGAATATTAAACAGCTTTGAACATCAAAGTACTGGCTAAAGTGGAAACCTAATATCTCTCCTCTCAGCCCCTGCCGCCCTGCAAAAGGGTAAGGCAGATGGCCTGGCCTTCTGCAGGGCTGTCAGGAACAATTTGCAAGAGTCACCAAGTGGCACTTGGAACAAGTTCTTCTGCCTGGAGGCCAGCCCAAGAAATAAAGGGATCTGCCATTATCTTCTCTGCAGCAATCAGCAGGGGAGAACAGCCATCTCACAGAGGAAAGGAAGTCCACAAGAAGCAGAGTCTCCCTTCCTAGGGAAGTCTGCTCAGGTGGGACCACAGGGAAGCTCTTGCTCAGCCAGCATGGCTCAGCGGCAGGGGGCATGGACAGCCTGCTTTCACCTCTCCACCCCTCCCAGTCCCTTTCCTGATTCTGTCTGCCTCCAGTCCTCTGCCTCCAGGCCAGCTGGTATTCAACAGCCTCCACCTCCCTGACTTAACTCATTCACTCAGGTATTTAGAGAGCTGAACAAGACGTAGCCCCTGCACTCAAGGAGTTCATGGTCTAATGGAAGCAACAGGTACATAAGAAGTAACACTGATATAGATTGATTACAGCCATGGGGGCAGACTTCTGGAGAAGAGTGGTTCAGGCTAACGGAGCAGCATAATTAACCAGGCAGGTCTGTGTCCTCAAGGAAGCCCAGGGTCTAATTAGGGAGACAGGCACGTTGGCAGTCTGTGGGACAAGTGTCATGTGAAAATCCAGGATGAGGGGCAGTTGGGGCTCCTTGAGCAATCAGAGAAGGCCTCACAGAGGAGGTGACATTGAAACTGAGCACAGAAGAGGAAGAAACTCACCTGTGGGGCAAGGAGCCACAGGGTGCCCTAGAAACAGGCAGCTACTGTCCTGGTAAGTCTCCTCCTGATCCCTCCACCCACTCTTCTGCCCACTCCCCTAGTACAACCTTCAATTGGCCAGCACCTCACAGTTGCCCCAGTGTTTACTGTTCATGAACGGCCAAATATTTTGACCAAGCCTCCCACAAGGTGCATCTTCCCTGGTTGGCCCTGACTGGTCTTTACCAAGAGTTTACATGGGACACGTGATGTGCTCACTGCTTTCTCATAGGACCCTTGGAACCTCATGGCTTGCGGTTCTGAGGAGGCTTCTAACCCTTCTCCCATAACCAAGTTCTCAGGCATGTGCCTCTCTTGAAAACCAGGGGCACAATAGGTGTTGATAAAATGGTGGGATGAAAGAGAAGCCTCTGAGTTCCCAGGGTGACTGCCAAGTAGATGGGCAAACAGGGGGTCCAGAGAAGAACCGAGACCCACGAGAAGGAGTCCAGGGTCCTCAGGCTCTTTAGGATCCACAGTGGCTCTATACTCTAAGGCCAGCACTGGGCAACTCGACTTCCTGTGGATGGAAATTCTTTCTTTAAGAGACAAGGTCTCACTCTGACACCTAGGCTGCAGTGCAGTGGCACGATCATAGCTCACTGCAGCTTTGAACTCCTGGGCTCAAGTGATCCTCCTGCCATATCCTCCTCAGTAGCTAGGACTACAGGGTTACACCACTATGCCTAGTTAATTTTTTATAGAGTCGGGGTCTTACCATGTTGCCAGGCTGGTCTTGAACTCCTGGCCTCAAGCCATCCTCCCACCTTGGCCCACCAAGGTGCTGGCATTACAGGTATGAGCCACCCTGTTCGGCTTGATGATGGACATTCTTTAGTACATGTGGCTGTTGAGCACCTGAAATGTGGCTATTGAGACTGAGGAATATAATTTTAATGTTGTTTAATTTTAATTAAATAGCCACATGTGACTAGTAGCTATCATATTTGACAGCACAGGTCTAGTCATAAATTCATCCTGGTATCTTAAACATGCCAGATTTTTTCATGCCTCACAGCCCCTTCTGCCTGGAAAGTCATTCCCCTCTTCTCTGTCTGGGTTCATGAAGCCACTCAAGAGTCACCTCCCTGGAGGAGTGTTCCCAAGGCTGAGTGAGATGCCTCCTCCTGTCCCTCAGAGCTCTTGGGCTTCCTCTGGTCATGGCACTCACTGTGCACAGTGTTGCTTATTTATGTGTCTATCTCAGCTTCTAGACTGGTGACATCTGTTGGAGGGCACCCTTGAGAGTGTACGTCAAATTGCCTTGGGGCTTCTATACACCCTCTCCACCTGCAACTTCTGCACACCCTACGTCAGGGGGCTTCTGACACCCCTCTGCCTAGGGGCTTCCAACCATCCCCTATGCCTTGCCATTCACAGAGACCCAGCTGTGCCTCTCCTACTGCCCAGCTGTGCCTCAGGGTCTTGGTGTGAAGATCTCGCTGTGACATAGTGCATAAGAAAAACGGTTGGGAATCATTTTCTGAGCAGGGGCTCCTTGAGGAGAAGGAGCTTTGTCTGCACTGTGTCTGTGCCCCCAGGGCCCAGCAGAGCCAGGCACAGAGATGGGGTGAAGATTGTGTGAGGAGGGAGGCAGTGGGAGTTTCCTGCGGGGTGGAGTCAAGGCTTGAGACCCTGAGAAAATAGTTGGAAGGGAAGCCAAAGCTGAAGCTCCACTACCACAGGGCTTCCTGGGCAGGGGCAGTTAGAGTCAGTGCAGTTCTGAACCCAGATTGCAGGCAGGTGGAGGAGTTTCCTTTCCAAATCCCCCAGGGTGGCAATGCCTCTCATTACCATAAATGAGAATGGCTGCTAAATCCTGCATTAAGCTAAAAACTTAACACCCAGTAAATATTTATTGATCACATGTAACCCTGATTAACCCCAAGAGCACTGGGGGCTCACCAGGCCAGGCTACAGGATCTGCCTGCCTGCTCCAGTTTGGTCAGATCAGGTCACTCTCCTGCCTCTGCCTCCTGCTCTGAGGTGTCTCTCCTTGACCACACCCACTGAGCACAACCTTTGGGCCAGGCCCTATGTGATGAACCCATGAGCTCATCCTGGGGAAGAAAAGAGATGGGCATATTTCCTCCAAACCTAACTTGAGCACAAACTAAAATAAGGCCTGCAGAAGGAGCTGTAACAGGGCACTGATTGTGAGATTTGGAGAGTGGGATGATGTTTGCAGAGGGAAAATGAGGGAAGGCTTCCTGGAGGAGGAGTGATCTGAACCTAACCTTGAAAGATGGGTGGAAAGAATGTGGTAATAGGTCAGGGTCTTGGAGGCCATTAAAAGAGATGGAAATAGCATGATCAATGGCTGGGATGGGGGAAGCACAGAGTGTGGTGGAGGAAGCCCTGGGGGCTGAGAAGCAGGCAGGAGAAATCGAGTTTAGATTTTACTCAGTAGGTGAAGACATTTATATGATGGTTCCTTTCCCATCCTGGGGCAACTCTTATAGGAGCAAATATTCAACCCCTGATGGAAACCATGTTACCGTGTTACAGCAGTGGAGCAGTGGACAGGGAACAAGTAACTGGAAAGAGGGAGAAATCATGACTGCTAAAGCAGGGATTCACAGGACAAGGGGTGCTTGCGAAAAGCCCCAGGGTCCTGGGGCTCTCGCTGTTCACCTGAGAGAATCTCATCTTCACAACAGGATCATGCACTCCCAAGGGAGAGACTATGCAGCCTCCTTTGTCTCCTGCAAAGCCTAGTACAGGAGAGGAGGAAGGTCCTGGAAAGCCATGTTGATTCACAGCCCAATTCCTCTCTATCACACTTGCCTCCATGCCAGAAATTCCACCATTAACACTGTTCTTCTAATTGAGTTAAGCATTGCCCTCCATATATTACATTCTCACTCTGCTTTCAAAATATAATATCCTCTGTGCTCTCTCCCGATATAGGCTGACTCCTAATGCTCCAAATCACTTAAATTATATTCAGTATGCCTCCCTAAAAATTAATCAGATTTAAGTTAACATACTCTGATTCTACAGAAACCAGCTGACATGTTGAGCCCATAGCCTGGGCTCTCTGTGGAGGAAACAAAGGTAGACACAGGCTGAGCCTGCTTTCAGGGAGCTCATGGTCAAAGAGGAGGAGAGGAGACAGGGAACAAGTAACTGGAAAGAGGGAGAAATCATGACTGCTAAAGCAGGGATTCACAGGACAAGGGGTGCTTGCGAAAAGCAAATGGAATGAGGTAACACATGTATAAGCATCTGGCTCATGCCTGGAGGGGAGCAGGTTCTCAATAAATAGTGGCTAAGTTTAAACTCCATTCCTTCATTTTTCTCAAAGGATCCAAGACCTGGGGACTACTATGGCGTGAGGAGCAATGAGAACCAACTTCCCAGAGGAGCCGTCCTGGCAGCTGGGGATGGGGAAGGGAGTGGTAGCTAGATGTCTGAACAGGGAAATGTCTGAAGGTTTCCCCAACCCAGACTTATCTTTGGGCCTGTTTCTGGTTGAGGTTCTCAGGGAGTACATGTTGCAACCTACCCCATCCCACTCAGCAGAAATAAACTAGCACCCTACATCTACATGGTTCCCTAGCCATCCCTGTCCCCAGCCTCCCATGGCTGTGCCTCCACTTTGGAAAAGAAATCTACATTTCCCATCCTTTGCACCTGATGCCACAATTCTTCCACTCTGCTGCTCTACATAAACTCTCTTGACATTCTCCTTTTCTCTCTCTGTATGTCTATCTCTCTGCCTCCTTCTCTCTCTCTCTCTTTTCTTTCTCTTTCTACCTCCCTTTTGTCCCCAGCCCTCAATCTCTATGGCATATGGTGTGAAAGAATACAGTCATACATATTTTGGAGGGGTCACCTCACTGGCCTCCAATACTGAACCAGCTGCAGAGAGAGCGAGAAGTGGAAGGCAAGGTTTTAATTCTGGGGAAGGGCTACCTGATGGTTGTTGCTTCCCATTTGGAATCTCACCAGCCTCTATCCCTTGCACCTGCCGCTCTTAACCCCAGCACTCCACATTACTCCTGGGCTTAGAGGTCTTCCAGCACTCCTGCCATGTCTCATTTTTTTATGCCCAGAAACAAGTAAACAATGGCTCAGAGAGTGGCACACCCTTGCTCAAGGTCATACCTCAGGCCTGCGGCAGAGCTGGGATCAGAAGCCAGGTTTCCTGAGTGCTCCCCACTTCAATGGCCCTCCTGTGGCACTGACTAAGGCCCCATGAAAGAAAAACACTATTGGCTACATCGTGTGTTGTGCACACAGTGTACCAGCCACAGGGCTTCGTGCTTTGAATGACTCATTGAAGAAACATAACTCATTTATAATGAGTTACAGTCTTGATAACCCTAGGAGGTGGACACTATTATTTTCCCTATTTCACAGATGAGAAAACTTAAGCTCAGAGAGGTTAAAGAACTTGCTAAAGGTCAACAGCAGTGAGTTCACGTTAGCATTTGATTCAATCCAGGCTTTCTTGCACCAAGCTCCACGCTCTTAGCCATGGCGAGATAATGCCTTTCTGAGAACCCAGGAATTCTGATCCCAGTTTTGAGGTTGCCTTTCTTCCCCTCTTCTCAGCTCCATTCTCCCAGATAGGATTCGAGCGTAGCAGGGCTCTGTCCAATCTCCCCATGGGATGAGACTGATTCCCCAAGCCTAGACGGGTAATACTGCAACCCTGCTTGGTAGCAGCCTGGCTGGAGGCTGTCAGCCGGCTGTCAACCACACCACAGGAAAAGCTGGATTTCTCCACAGCTGCCCCTGCAGTTCAAAGGAACAGGGGCCCAGAATCTTGGCTAGGATGGCCTGTATTATGACAGGTCTAGGAACCTTAAAAGCAAAAGACAGCTTAATAATGCAGCAAAGAAAACACAAGTCCTTTGGCCTGGCTCTTGAGGGCAGCCAGAAGCTTAGCAGGGGGACCTGCCAACACCAATCCCTTGTGCTGTCGGTCCCCCTCCGGCAATAGGCACAATGTTAGAAAACACAGTGCCTGCCCAGTTTCAGCCCCTTCCCCGGACAGTGATGGCCTGCTCCCTGGAATAGGCTTGGCGGTCTCCTGCCTGTACATGACAGGCAGCCCGTGCGAGCACCAGCCGGCCGCTGGCGTGGGGAGGGAAGGAAGTGGGGAGTCTGGCTCCAATAACACACACTTTCCAGGCACAAAAGTGTGGCTATTCAGGCAAAGATGCTATAAGCTCCAGCAGCTGGGGCTGCGGGCCCCAGGCTGCCTTCACAAATACACTTTCATGCTTATTAGAAACACTTTCTTTCATGACCAGGGATTTGTTCATTAGTCGGGCTGGGCTACTAACATGGCTTTTTACAAGAGAGTCATGGTCATTGAATTTGGTTTTCTAGCTCTCCTCAAGCCACTGAATAATGGAGATATTAATGCAAGAACAGGTGGGCCCACCTCTCTTAAAGAAAACTTCTGAGAACAGGAAATGATATAATATCAGAAAGTATTTGAGTATCTATTCTGTACCCTGCACCTACCAGGTACCTTTCATGTTTCCTGTGTTCCTTCCACTTAATAGATGAGGAAACTGAGGCTCCAACATGAGTTAGGACTTGTGGTTGCCCTGTAAATAGGGAGGGGAACTGGGATTAGAACCTGGTTTGTATGACTTTTGGGCCTGGTGCTTTCTCCATTATGCCATGTCAGGAGGGAGAAGCCAGTTGCCGGGTGCACTCATGTTTGTTCTCACTCTTTAACCATCTAAAGGAGGAGGATCCCAGGTCGCTGGAGGCCATGAGAAAAGCAAAAGGAGTCCTGAGTCTAGAAGTCAAATTGGTAGGAAAACCCTCACAGTGTTTCCTTTGACCTGCCTCCCTTCTGTGTAATAACTGATTGAAAGAACTGAGCTTTAACTGTCTTTCTAGCAATAATGTTAACTGCAGGATTCACTGGCATCACAATGTCGTAGAACCCACTTGGTAAGGCAAATTGAGGTACCTGGCTGTGGGTGGAACAAAGAGAGGGACTAGGTAAAGTTTTTGCCTCCTCTCTTCTTCCAAATTTTCCGTATTTCTTTTCTTTTCTCATTAAAAAGTAACCTGAGAAGTGTTCTCTCCCATGAAACTGTGGAAACCTGGAAATGACCTAAATGTGGTCTGTGGCCATTAGAAATGAGACCATGGATATGTATTTACCTTAGTGGGAAGATGTTCATGATATATGGTGAACTGAATACAGGAAGTTTCTGAAGAGTATGTATAATAATAATCCCATTTTTATAACTATGTATTCATCTATATGCACATATAGAGAGAGACACAGACTTGCAAAGGGAAATGTCTAGAAGGATATACATCAAATGTTAACAGTGGGTATCCCACCAGATGGTGGAATTTTATAATTTTTTTGTTTGTGCCTTTTACGATGATTACATAAAAAGAGAAAAAAAGAGGATTTTTAAAAAGAGGAAAAATTTTGCAATCAGATAATTGATTGGGAGAACTCAGGCCAATCAAGAAGTCCTCTGGGCCTCAGCTTCCTCATCTGTAAAATGGGCTTCTACCCCACCTCCAGAGTTGATGCAAGGGTTAGATAAATTCCATGGACGGACCTGGTGCCTGGGACTACCCAGTCTGCACAGGCTCCTATTCTCTCCCTCCTGTGCCTCTCCTTCACTCTCATTTCCTGTCTCTTGCCACCTCCTCTGTCCCTTTTCCTTCCTCCATTCTGTCTGCAGCTCTTTCTCCTCCAAGCCTCTCTGGCCTTTTCTTCAACCCTCAATGGCCAAGGAGCCAGCTCGGCCAGGCACACAAGTCCCACCAGTGTCCCATCTGGGAGGCAGCAGGCCATGGAGGGCTCTGGCTCCTCATACCATGTACAGAGATGGTTTTGGGAGGGGGCAGTTCCAGCATTCTGGAACACCTGCCCCTGAGGCCCTTCTGACTGCTCCTTAGGACAGTCTGTCTGAACTGCAGCTCCCCGAAGACATAGCGGACTTCCTTTACAGAGCTTCAGCGCATGAATCTAGGACGGCTGACAAGGGCTGGACATCAGGAAGGTCTTTCAAACCTCCAGGAACCTCCAGCAAAAGCTTCTGCTGAGCTCCTGCTGCTCTTGACTTTCTGCTTTCCAGGCCAGCCTCCTGAGTGGCCTGTGCGGTTGGTCACCAACTGACCTTGGCTCCTGCCATTCTTTTTGCTAGGCATGCTCTTAATAATAACTGACATCTATTAAATACGTGTGGACACGTTCTAATTTTCTCTTTAACTGTGCAAGGTAGTGTGTTAGTCTGTTTTGCATTGCTATAAAAGAATACCTGAGGCCGGATAATTTATAAATAAAAGGGGTTTACTTGGCTCATGGTTCTGCAAGCATTACAAGAAGCATGGCACCAGCATCTACTTCTGGTGAGGGCCGCAGGCTGCTTCCACTCCTGGCGGAAGGAGAAGGGGACCAGCCATGTCACAGGGCGAGAGAGGAAGCATGAGAGAGAAAGAGAGACAGAGAGAAGGGGAGAGAGAGAGAGAGAAGAAGAAGAAGAAGGAGAAGGAGAAGGGGAAGGAGAAGGAGAAGGAGAAGGAGGAGAAGGAGGAGAAGGAGAAGGGGGAGGAGAAGGAGAAGGAGGAGAAGGAGGAGAAGAAGGAAGAAGGAGGAGGAGGAGGAGGAGGAGGAGGAGGAGGAGGAGGAGGAGCCAGACTCTTTTAAACGACCGGATCTCATGGGAACCAATAGAATGAGAACTCACTCATTATCATGGGGAGGGCACTAAGACATTCATGAAGGATCCGCCTCCATGACCCAAACACCTCCCACCAGGCTCCATCTCAAACACTGTGGATCTCTCCCTCCCTCCCTTCCCCTCCCCTCCCCTCCCCATCCCCCCCCCCCTTCCTCCCTTCCTTCCTTCCTTCCTTTCTTGCTTTCTTTCTTTCTTGTGGGTTGTATTTATGTACTTATTTTGAGACACTTTGGAACTGTTACCCAGGGGGGGGGCTGGAGCACAGTGGCACAATCATGGCTCACTGCAACCTCCACCTTGTGGGCTCAAGCAATCCTCCCACCTCAGCCTCCTGAGTAGCTGGGACTACAGGCACGTGCCACCACGCCTGGCTGATTTTTGTATTTTTTGTAGAGATGGGGTTTCGCCAAGTTGCCCAGGCTGGCCTTGACCTCCTGAGCTCAAGCAGTCAGCCTGCCTTGGCTTCCCAAAGTGCTGGGATTGTACGTGTGAGCTACTGTGCCTGGCAGGGATCATGTTTCAACATGAGATTTGGTGGGGACAAGCATCCAAACCATATCAGGAAGGTATTCTTACTACCTTCATCTTATAGGTGAGGAAACTGAGGTTTAGAGAGGTTAAATAAAGTGTCCAAGGTCAAAGGCTAGACAATAACTCCAATTCATCCTCTAGGACAGACTTCCCTAAAACCTGACTCCTCAGAAGGCCTTTCCTGACTACTCAGCCAGGATCAGGGACTCCTCCTGTCAGCTTTCACAGCTCTGTCTGTCCAGGATGGTCTGCTCATTATTTGCTGAACGGAAACAGTCACAATTAACCAACAAAGTTCTAGGATGGCCATGGGAAGTAGTGAGTACCTTGTCACTCAGAGAGTGGGAGAATGAGTTGGTGACCCTCAGTCACAGAGCCATGCAGTGGACCGGCACTGGGTAGATGTACCCTCCCCCATGGGAGTCCAGGACACTTCTTGAAGCTCAAAGCCCTAGAGTGTAGTAGTTAGAAAAAGCACAGACCTGTATGCTGTGCGTCCTGGGCCACGCCATTTCTCTCTCGGAGCCTGTGTCTTCCTCTATAAAACAGAGGTAAAATACCTATCCTCATATGGCATAGATTGCTCTTTTACCTGCATGTCGATTCTCTCCTTTTTCCATAGTAATAAAACTCCTCATTTTCATCTGGGCACATGGCCACCCAGAAGAGACCCCATTTCTCAGTCTCCTCTCACAGTTAAGTGTGGCCAAATGACCAAGTTGTGGCCAATGGCTCATGAGCAGGACCGACGGGTCTAATTCTGGGCTCTGCCTTTCTCCTTGCCCAAGGCTGGAATGGCCAGGCAGAGGATGGAGCCACCTTTGATCGGAGGCAATTCCTGGTGATGGTGGAGAAGCAGTGAAAGGAGCCTGAACCCTCCATAGCTTCCTGGAGCAGAGCGCCAGCCCCAGCCAGGATTTTTACATGGGGGAAAATAGAAATGTGTAATAGAAAGCCAGCCTACCTTTAGATTGAATCTGCATTCCTTCTAACAGCCTTATAGGGTAATTGTGACAATTAAATGAGATAATGCACATAAAGGGACACCTCAGCAGGGTGTAATGTGCAGATGGCATTCTGGTGGTTAAATTCATTGTTTCCAGTGAGCTGACCCTTGAGGACCCACTCTGCACAGGCCTGGGGAGACACCATGCCAAGACCAGTCTCCTCAGAAACTACTGGTGCAAGTTACAACCTTTTCCCCAGGCCTTTCCTATGACAGAAAGAGTAAGATGTGATAGAATGATAGAAAGACACAGACAGGAGGCAGCAAGTGACTTTCTCCTTAGATAAAGAACAGGCCGAAGAACTCCTGAGTCACAGAAGTGGCTGGACTGACTCAGGCTAATGCATCGTCTGTCAGTTCTGTAAGCGACACTCACCTTGCGAACACCACCCTCATGTGGACGGGTCCCTGGACATGGGTCCCACATGGTCCTGCTCCAGGAGGAGCTTATGGGCTATTGCGAGCCCCTTGTGTCCCCTATGGAGCCACAGCTCCAGAGCGCAGGCCCTCGTCTCCTCTATCCCTGTGTTGTCTCTATGCTTTCTATGCTGTCTGTCCACCAGGACGGGCTACATAATTTGCAAGGTCCAGTGCAAAAGGAAAATGAGGAGCTCCTTATTCATAAATCATTAAGAATTACATAACAGCAACAGCAGAAGATGAAATAAGCACAGGGACTTGTGTGACACGCAGGTTTCATGCCTGTGAAGGAAGCCCTGCCACACTGGGTGCCCCGTGCTCTGTGCCACACACAGTAGGCAGTCATGGAGTGAATGTAATCAGTGTGGATCACGCAACGCCCAAGTACTAAGGCTTCATCATCAAAGCAGTTGGGATGGATGTGGTTTTGTTTTTCTTTTTCCCAAGCCCAATTCTTTGCATCTCTTGGAGGAGGGGGCTGAGGGAGGCATGGGGATCAGAGGCCAGAGGTCAAATAGAAAACAAACTTCCCTGAATGACTGAGTGGGCAGGAGTGAGCAACAGGCATTTCTGAGCCGTTCTCCTTGTTTCTTGCCACAAGATATAAACTAATCTATTTAGTTAGAAAAACATGGTTTATTGCAATTGAAGTAATTTGTATTTCTTTTTCTACCACAAGATGTAAACTAATCTAGTTAGCTAGAGCAAGTTGGTTTAACTGAATTCAAAGTAATTACCTTCCAAAGCAAAGCAATGTGTGCGTTTTTTCAGTTTGTCTGGTTTTTAAATTTTTTTCCTTTCCAGTATTCAAAGGTTGAGACATATATGTACTTATGATTAAATAAAACCCAGCCGTCTTTTGGTTTTGGTTTGTTGGGACCTTGGCCTTTCTGGAGGGTCTCAGCCTCCATCCCACCACCTGGGATTTCCCAAAAATGTGCTGGAGGTGGCATGGAAAATCCAGTATGTGTTCTAGTGGAAAAACAATTTGTAACAACATTTCCTGGAGTGGTGGAGTTTTAACTCATTGAGAGGATATTTACCATATGCTGGGAGGGCTTAGAGAGGGCAGCCCAGTGCTGGGGAGACACTGGGCTTCGTCTCGGTCACCTCAGGTTGGGGGTCCTCCGGGGCGGCCCTTCTGTGTATGCTCAGCCTTGTGAGACAAGGGACACTCACTCTTCTCAGGCCCACCTCGTCCCAGGAGCTGGCAAGGAAGCATCTCACTCTCCCTAGTCATTACCATCTCCAGGGCATGGGGGAAGCCTGAGGCTCAGTGGGAAGAAAGGACCTGTGGTGGCCACAGTTCTAGGAAGCAGCACAGGCCGCCCCTAGCACTCCTAATCCGGAACCCCCTGTGCCTTCCACCAGAGGCCACAGCAGGTTACTGACTGATTTCAAGTGTCTGGGCAGCTCTTGGCTGTGAAAAGGTTCTTTTACTTCTTCAGTTCAGTTCCCCGACCAGGCCCAGCTCCATGCTCTGTAGCCCTCTCTTTAGCCTCCACTCCAGGGCAGCCCAACAGACTTTTGGGGAAAATGACTTTGTCCTTCCCAAGCTTCTCCTCTCCATGCTTAGCCCCAGTTCTTACAGTTCCTCGTAGCTCCCAGGTTCACTCTCACCACCTTCCTATAGATCGATCCACTCTCTCCTGAGCACTCATGGGCACTGGGTGCTGCCTTTTATCCAAACTGTCCTGGGGCTGGGAACGGGATTAGGCTGGAGCAAGCCAGTATGGTTTCCATGTTAGCTCTCTGCAAGCGGGATACTTGGGCGCGACCTAAGTGTGCTCTGCACCCATCAGAAACAACACCATTTCTGATGGCAGAGAGGCACCCAGTCGGTTCTAGGAAACCCAGCTCACTGTTTACCCAGTGCCTATTTTGCACTTTGTCCCCAGACAAAGGTGTCTGACCTTTCCTGCCTGGCTTTCTAAATGATACTTTTGAATGGCTGCTTTGTTGTCCCTTGAGGTCCCAGCACATACCCAAGACAGGAATGCATGCAGCGGTCAGCACCCCATGAATACGAACCGCTATGAAAGCAGTCCGGGGCAGCATGGAGTTCCTGCTTCCCTCTTCCCTTCCTTTCCTACCTCATCATGCTGCCATCATCTGGCTCCAAGAGAAGAGCAGCCATGTCCTTTCTAGTTGAAAACATCAGGAAAAGTACAATAAACAATTAAATAAAGAAACTTAAGGCAAGGAGGGGAAAGAGCCTTCTATGTGCCTACACAGGAAAACTCATTTCTTTTAATCCTCCTATCAACTCCTAATGAGGGGTACTATTGCTGCCATTTTATAGATGAGAAAACTAAGGCATGGTTGATTAATTTGCCTAAGTTCAGCAACCGAATAAATGGCAGAGTCAGGCTGGGGCCTGTGTCATTGGCTTCTACAGCCCAAACATGGCGCCTGCCTTGGTAAAGTGCTGGAACTGCTCACTCTGTCGCAGCTTCTCGAATTCTTTGTAGACTTCCAATGTTCCCAAACACACCATAAGGCAAAGCCTGGATAACTGGAAATGGGGGCAAATTATCCACCTTTGAAATCAATTCCAGCACCTGGCAGGTGACGTCGTGAGCCCCAGTCCCAAAGATTACAAATACCTTCCTTTGCAGTTGCCTTGGTAAAATGACCCCTGGTTGAGAACTAGCCCAGGGAATGCAAGCATTGCGCAGACACAAGAGTAGCAGGAAGAGAGGTGTCTGACCTGAAACCGCTCACAAGCACAAGTGTTTTTCTTAGGGAGTTTCCTCCCCCTCAGCTATTTCAGGCTACCGTCCTGGTGACCTGGACAGATTCCGCGGTGCCCGCTGTGGGAAGAGCGGGGAGCTCCTTGGTGACAGGGAGGGAGCCAGAGCAATGTAGGGAGGGGCTGCTGGAATGAATGGAGTGAGGGCCCACAGCCAGCTCATCTGCCCAGGGGCAGTTTTAGCAGCAGTGTGCAATTGGATAACTGAAATCTGGGGTGAGTGCTGGTACACAAGGAGTGGCTTCCAATACAAATAGAGAAGACTACGCCAGCGCCCACTGTGCCTCTTTCCCTCCATTGCCAAATCTTCCGGGGTGTCTGGACCCGGCCCCCTCCATAGAAAGAGCTGGTCCATTGGCACTGCTCAGAAGGCCTGAGTCAGCAGAATCGGAACCAGGTCTTGGTAGAGGATGGAGATGGAGTTATCCTTTCTGCAAGGGCCAGGGAATGAGCAGAGCTTACCTGAGCCCTTCACTTATTCATCCAAAGGCACTGGCTTTAGGCTGAATGCTGGGGGGGCAAGGATGAACCAGATAGACACAGTCCTCTGTGGCCCGTGCTCTGGGTATAGACCTGGTTAGATGTCCCTGCCTTGCAGGAGCTCAGTCATGGGGAAGACAGACATGAAAGCAGCCCACTTCAGTACAGCGAGACAAATGCCATGAGGCAGATTCATTAACAAGGAGCAGAGGCACCTGAAGCATAAGGAGGGTCTTGCTCACTGGTGTATTCCAAGTATTTGCAACAGGGCCTGGCACACAGTAGGGGTGCAGTTAGCACATCTTGTTACTGCAAGGAATGAGGAGATTAGGTCGAGGCATTCTGGGCAGATGGAACATCATGCACAAAAGCAGGGAGGTGCAAGAGAGGGGTGACCTATGCAGGAGACTAGAAGCAACTCCAGAGAGCATTGCCTCGGTAGGCAACAGTAGAATGGAGGCTACAGACTCTTCTCAAAGGCCTCTGAAGTTGGGAATACCTTGCTGAAGTTCACGCAGTCTTTCAGCGATGGATTTCAGAGCCAGAGGCACGGGGACTTACACTTAACAAGTGTATTACACCCAGGCCCTACATTGGATCATTACCATTTGCATGTGTATACGCTGCCTGGCCCAGTCCCATCCCACTAACAGGCTGTGAGAGTCTTTACTGACCCATTTTACAGATGAGTAAAGTAAAGTTCCAAGAGGAAAATAGGTGCCTAGGTTCACACAGCTTATAAGAGGCCAGGCAGGGATTCAAAGCCGGTGATTTAGGACATTCCATGTTCCCACACTCCCTGGAGTGCAGCTTAAATCTGAGATGGTGAGGTAGGAACAAGGGCCAGGTCTTTGTGTCCAGCTGTTCATACAGAACCAGAACTCCCTGGCTCCTCTCGCCTTTGGGGGATGTGCTGTCAGTCACAGCCTCCTGTCACAGGGCATGAGGTGGCTGCTGCTCCCTGTGCCGGACCCTGGGAGCTGAACATGCAGGGTAAGCCCTGTCGTGCCCCCACGCTCCCCTACCCCCACCAGGCGGTGACCCCAAGCTGCTGCGTAGCCATGGCTGACAGGTCTCCGGGAGACACCTGTTTTTCATTGCTGGCCCCTGTGGCTCTCTGGCAGTGACTGTGTTTGTTTTGGGGAGGAGGGTGCAGGCTGGGAGGAAAAAGCCTTTTCTGCAGGTCTGCAAGGACCTGGGGTTGCTGAGGACGCCGCAGACAGCCCTAAAGGGGACAAGAGAGGGGAAGGCACCTCTGGAGCAGCAGTGGACAATGGCTGCTCGCCTGCTCCTCACTCCTCACTAGCTGGGCGGGGGGCGGGGTTTGAGGGGGAAATGCAGTCTCAGCAGCAGACGGAGATGAAATCTGCTGAGGCCCAGCCCTTACAGAAGCCTCCCCTGCTTCACCACCTCCCCTTGCAGCTGTTCACTCATTGGTTCATCCATTCATTCAACACTCCAACATCCACTAAGGAGTCCACTACTGTTGGGAGCCCTGGAAGCACAAAGATGGATCAAACATGCCCCTGGCATCAAGGGACTTCCAGACAGGTGGGGGAACACTGAAGGAGGGGACCAGGCGTGGGATGAGCACTGTGACTGAGGGCAGCAGCAGAGGGCTGGGTGAGGCATGCAGGGCTGGAACAGCTAATTACTGGGGACCAGGTCAGTCAAGGAAGGCTTCCAGGAAGAGGAAGCACTTTGCCAAATCTTGGAGGTCAAGTACAGGTGGAGGAAAGTAAGAAATAACATCTCACAGAGGGTGACGAAATGGAAGCAGGAGAAATTTCTGCACATTGGCTGAATGACAAGAAAATCCACACAGGTGGAGAAGGGCCCATTAGGGAAGCTGCAGGACATGGGCCAGCAGTGGGCAGGGTCAGACTGGGGGGGCTTGCACCCCCTCTTCTAACGCCTTCCCACCTGGCTCTTCTCCTTCTCTATTCAAACCCACTTCACAGTTGCCTTCTCTTGTCTCTTTTCTTCTCCCCATTCTGTTTCACACCCTCCCCAGTGTATGAACTGACTGTGATCCTGAGAGGCACAGTCGAGAAAGCTCCAACTATGTCTCAGGCACTAGCCAAAGCACTGTACACAGTTTAACGTTTGCACTTAAAACTGTTCTATGAAGCAGGTACTGTTTTCCCGTCTTGCAGATGAGAAAACAGACCCTGAGAGGTTAAGTGATTTGTTCAAGACCACGCACAGCTCCTGCAGAGCAGGGTCAGAGACGCATCCAGACCCAACAGATGGTGTTCAGGTGTCATGGACCAAGTCCAGCACGCAAGGACGGGCTCCAGGACTCCCCTGGAAGTTGGTGGGCCACAGAGGTGAGAAGAGAGAGTTCCACAGGCCCTGGGCAGGCAGTCCAGATAGGCCAGGAACCCCGGAAACCCTTAGAAAGTGAGTCTGAAATGCTGGGTGCTGAAGTCCAGGATGCTCCACTGAGATTCTAGCCTATCTTTCCTGCCACAGTGAATATCCATTCCCTCATATCTGCGGATGGGTGGGCGTCAGGCAGCAGGCTGAGAGGCTATTACCTCTGTCACTCATGGGACACTCCTCCCAAGTTCTAATGGGCTAGAAACCAGAGTTCTTGGCCAGGTGCAGTGGCTCACGCCTGTAATCCCAACACTCTGAGAGGCCAAGGTGGGAGGATTGCTTGAGCCCAGGAGTTTGAGACTAGCCTGGGCAATATAGTAAGGCCTTGTGTCTATAAAAAATAAAATAAAAAAAAAAAGCCAAGCATGGTGGCATGTGCCATGTGCCTGTGGTCCCAGCTACTTGGGAGGCTGAGGTGGGAGGATCCCTTGAGTCCAGGAGTTTGAGGCTGTAGTGAGCTATGATTGCACCACTGCACTTCAGCATAGGTGACAGAGTGAGACACTGTCTCAAAAAAGAAAAGAAAAAAAAAAGAGCAAGAGAAACTAGTGTTCTCACCTCCCTCTTGTCTTTTCCTGAACAAATACTCCCGGATTCTTTATGATCTATGACATGCATGTTGGCCCGCAGGCGTGTGCTGCTGGGGAAGGGCTTTAGACTCAGGTTGGCTGGGTTTGGTTGGTTGTTTTCATGAAGAAGTGCTCTTTCCCATTACAAAGCCTCTTAACATGTGCTGTCCTGTCTCATTCTTGCAACAGTTATTATTCCCATTTTGCATTTGGAAGAGCTGAAGGTCAGAATAAAGTAATCTAGCAGTCAGAGGTGCTACCTGGATTTAGAAAAGAAAGCCTCCTATGTACTCTGCTTTTAAGGCCCAGTCAGAACATCACCTTCACTCTACAGCCTGCTGTGGTTCCTTGAAGTGCCCTGAGTGGACCTGAGACCCTGGCAGTACCACACTGCATGGAAGGCAAGGGTTCACCTGTCTGTCTCCGTGGCTGGGCTGTGAATGCTTTATGTGTCTGCATAGCCAGCTCCTTTCTGGCAGTCCTGCACATGGCAACTGTGCTACAACTGTGTAGCAAGTAGATGAATAGGAAAACATTAGCCACCATATTTGGAGAACAGACTGTCTGTCAACAATGGTGACACAGAGAATGTGACCCACCCTCCGAGTTACATGCTATTAGCCACATTTTACAGAGAAGAGAACAGGCTCAGAGGGACCTGTCCAAGATCACATAGCTAGTACGCAGCACGGCAGAATCTGAATCCATGTCTATCTGATTCCAAACACAGTGGCCTTCACTGCTCTCCTGCCCATAAAGAAATTCTTGTTGAGTTTATGAATACCCCCTCCCTCCTTCTCTTCCTTTCCTCCAACTCAGGCAAGCAGGGGTAGAGGAGACCACGTGGAACTGTGCACCCAGATAATAATCAGGAAGCCTGGCCATAAGCCAAGACGGGGACGGAAAGAAAGGACTCCAAGCTCTTCCTGCCCAGCCAGACTCATACCATTCTATGCCTCCATGCAGACTGGGGAAAATCAGCGACCAAGGTCCAGAGTCAGGGCTAGAGGTAAACATATCCAAGAACTCGATCTGAGCCACAGTCTGGGCTGTGGTTCCTTCTGCCTAGGCTGACCAAAAGCCAAGGGATTTGGGAAGCTCAGCTCTAAGTGGCCCCAGAAAACCACATCAGGAGCTAACAGATGTTCCTTCCTCCTCTCTCACCTGGACAATCCTTGCTCATTCTTACAGGCCCTGTTGGGATGTCACTCCTCTGAGGTGTCTCCTTGGAGCTTAGTCACTCCCTCTTGGGCTCCCGCGGTCCGCCAAGCTGCCTACTGTACAATCATTGTGTGTTGTGGTCATCTGCTTTATTATAGGTCTCCCCAGTTCGTGCAGGCAGAGTGCTCTGTGCTTGTTAAATGAGTAAAGGAATAAATGGGTCAGTGAATAAGTGAATGAATAGACAATTATCTGAACAAATGAAAAGGGAAGTAAATAAATGTACAGATGGGAAAATAAAAGAGAGTGAATGGAGTAAGTGGTGGCTGGCTGGGCCAGTGAATGAACTGCATGCGCTCAGCCCTCCCCATGGTGAGCTATCCAAGGAGACTGAAACATCTCTTAGCCATAGAGGGCTCCAGAAATCTAAGGGGAGCCAAACAGCAAAGTCTATCTTAAAAGCTGCCTGGAGCTGTAGTACTATCCCTGTTGGGGGTAACAGGAAGCAGAGAGGAGCTTCCTGCCTTCAAATCTCTCCAAGGGAAGCTGGAAAAAGCAGCTCCGCTGCTGGTTGGGTTCCACCTTATCTGCTGGCTGACTGTGGGGAAATCAGCACCTCTTTATGGACTTTGGTCTCCCCATCTGTAAAATGAGAGGATTGGACTGGACTAGACAGTTTGTGAGGACCATCTAGTGGAGCAATGCACAGGGCAAGAGTTCTAAGGAGGACATCACTCAAGGGAAGAGAACTTGCATGCCCATGTCAGTTCCTGTGCCTGAGCTGGGTCACTGCTCCAGTCAGCTCCTGTCATGCCCTTCCAACAAGGCATGCTAAGTGCACAGCACTGCATGTCAAGTGCTCAGAAGGAGGGATATGGTAGGGCTTCCTGGAGAGGGGGGTGCTGGTGCTGGGGCAGGAAAGAGAGGGAGGATGTAAATAGGAGGAGAGGGGTTGAGAGGGCTCCTGGATGTCGCACTGAGCATTAGTGATTGTTCCTTTAGGTAATGGGACAGGAGATGAAAGAGATCTGGGAACAGACCTGCCTCAGCTTCCTGTACAGACTTTACACAGAAAGCTCAATTACCTTTGGAGACATTGGTCTGCTACTTTCTAGTTGTGTGTGAGACTTTGGTACATGTATAGTAAGATGAGACTCATTATGGCACCTGTATCATAGGGTTTTCCTGAGGATCGAGTGGTGGATGATGCCCAGTGCCTGGCAGAGTACTCAGTGGCTCTGTGAATCAGAGGCAGGTGTTATAATTATTCTTGTACAGTGAAGGCAGTGAAATTCAGAGAGGGGAAGTGATGTGCCCAAAGTCACATAGCAAGTCAACCCTAGATTTCTGGATGTCCTGTCCCTGGCTTAATCCCCGTCAAATTAGAGGTCAAGAGGGCTATAGGTTTAAGACCATGGCCTCTCCTGTCCTCAAAATGATGCATGACCTAGACCATGTGACTCTGAATCAGAGCACTTTCCATCCAAAAGAGTATTTCCCCATTCAAGGTGGCCCTGGGGAGGCTGGGTGTTTTCCCCTGGGGGCAGCCCCACTGGCTCTGCCCTGGGTTGCTGCCTCTTTGGAAGCCACTCTGGAAGCTGAAAAGCATTCTTTAGCATGGCTCTGAAGTGGGGAAACCTTGGTCTTCTGAGCTGGAAGCAGCCAAGATGTGCAGTCAAAACTCAGAGAAAAATGGAATTTAGCCACTGGTCAAAGGTCCCTGGCAGTGCCTGTCCCCTATCCTGAGCTGTAACTCCCTGCAGGGCAGAGACCCTCTTTTCCTTATTGGTGTTTCTACAGTGCTGAGCACAGGGTTGCGTGCTTAACAGGTACTTCAGGATGAATGAATGAATGACACTATGGGAGATCTGGAGGACCTCTTAGACATCATGTGGTCTATCTCTTGTACTTTATGAATGGCCTGGCAAGGGGAAGGGGCTTTCTCAAGGTCATACAGTCAGTGATGCACACAGAACTGCAATCCACCCTCTTGGACTCCTCTCGGACTATAGTGTTCCTTCTGCTGCACAACTGCCTTAACTATGGAACTACCCATTTTATTAAAGGAATTTAGAAACACCTTTGAGGTTTGCACTCTCAACTTGCTGCACCATACTTGGCCTAGACACACACTCACTAAATGTTTGTCAAACTGGACCACAGAATTTGATCTGTGCTTGGTGCTCACTGAAACCTTTCCCTGCCACATCTGCACCCTTGGTGGTCTCTTCCCAATTTCAGACTCCTTAGGAATGACAGGTCACGGTAGACCAACTGCTGGGTCAGAATGACCTGTGAATTTCCAGAAGTGGAGACGTTTTCTGGGCTGGAGATGATGATCTCCAAAGACACAAATATGCAAGTTGCCTCCGCTGCCAGGGCCAGCAGCTAAGAAAGACAAGTCCCAAGGTGGGGCTGGCGGGCAGAGCAGAAGCTTCCCAGGTCCTTTCCAGATTCCTTCCAACAACCATCAGACTTCCAAAGGGTCTCCAGACTGTGACACACACAACTTTCATGACAAGAGAGGAAAAATGAAGTCACTGTTTCCCTCCAGGCATCCCAGATGTCTCTCTCTTCCCACCCACCTATGTGACAGTGTCTCTGCTGTATTTTAGAACTGGATTATTCTATGTTTGTATTTTTGTTGTATGTTGCAAAAATGCTTCTGAGAATCTGATAATGCAGGGCTCAGCAAAGCCAACTGTCTCTAAAACCCTCTTTGGCTTCACGAACTTTTATTTACAAAGCACCTACTATGGATGTGTGCTATGTGTGCGATGGAGTGTGCTAGAAATTCTGATGCAATGCCAGGAGACTCTGGCCGTCACCCTTGCAACCTCGGCATCTAATAAAGGACCCTGAATCCAAATACATAGTAGTCACTGAATAAGTGACTGTAAAGAAAATTAGGGGATCTGATATGTATTGAGTACCTAATATAGGCTAGAGTCTATACAAGCTCACTAATCCATACCTCAACTAGAAAAGTAGGTCTGTGATCCCCAGTTGACAAGTAAGGAAACATGTTCAGAGAGGGAAAGTAAGCTGTCCATGGTCACACAGCTAATGAGAGGCAGAACTGGGGTGCAGGCTCAGGGCTGTCCATCTGCAAAGCCCACGCCATTTCTGCCATCTGTGCTGCTGCAGTCCTCCAGGTCTCTGTTTAGCCAGCGGGATGATTAATATCTACACTCTCTCATCTGGTTCCCTAGATAAGCAGCAGTGTGAGCTGGCCTGGGGGAGAGGGATCCACGCTGTGGCTAACATGTACCTAGCCTACTGCCATGGAGAGTGGTTACTTGCTATCTCTACCAAGAATAACAGAATCAACAAGCCTTGGCCCAGGCTCCACAAGAGGCCAAGAGCACGACTGAGTGGGTGACCAGGGTCAGGGCCTGGTCAGAGGCCAGGTAGGAATCACTGGGGCCAGGTCAGGGCTGAAGCTTGTGGTCAAGGACTCTGAGTGGTCAAGGTGGATCATAACACAGAGTCTAAACCTTGGCTTCATCAGCCCACACAGAATCTAGCACAATTAAAGAAAACCAGCCAGAAAGATGCCAGGGGTGGAGTTGCACAGGCCTGGGCTGCACTCTGGCTTCGCCTGCCACTGGCTGGGTAAGTATGGGCATCTCCCTGGGTCTCTCTGAGCCTCAGCTGTCATCTATAAAATAAGATAATGATATGCACCTTTGATTCCTTCCTTTCCTCACCTCCCAGATCCGATCACACACAATGCTCTGTTGATTCCACCTCCTCAATGCACTCAAATCTGTCCTCTTCTGTTCATCTCCACAGCACTTCTTCCCCTGGAAATCTAGACTTATTTCCTAAGTTTCCACATCTACTCCGACCTCCCTCTAGGCCATTCTCTGCAGTCCACTGATGGTGTGCTTTTCAAAAGAACAAATCTTCTCATGGGACTCCCCTGTTTAAAACCCTTCAAGGGTCCCTAGTGCCCTTCAGCTAAAGTGAAAGATCCTGAATGGCCTTATAAAGCTCAGGGTCTGGCCTCGGCCTTCCTCTCTGTCTCAAAGAGGACCTCCCTTCCTTGTGCACTGCAAGGCATGTACACAGCTGCTTCCCTCTGAGCCTCAAATGCGCCAAGGCCTTTCCCACCTTAGGTCTTCACACTCGTGGTTCCTTGGCCTGAAACCTTCCTCTTCACCACCTTCCCCTGCCCAACCTGCTCAGCCTTCAGGTTTCAGCCTGAGTGTCACCTCCTCAGAGGAGCCCCCTCCGGCCTTGGTCTCAGGCCACGCCCCATGCCAGTCATTCTTACATGCTCTGTACTCCTCCTTCTCTGAGGGATTCATCACCCTGGTAATTAGACAGTAATGCATTCAGGCAATTACTTGTTCAAGATGAGTCTCACCACTGGATTCTCAAGAGGGCAAGGAATGGGTGTGACTTGGTGGACGCAGTATCTTCAGCACCTAACTGTGCCTGGCATAAAGTCAAGGTTCCATGCAGCCAATTTACAGGATGAATCAATGAACCCTGCCCATCCCTGACCACTGCACAGGCTGCTAGAGGATCTTGGGAAAGGATGGCTGAGAAAGGGATTTTTCATCATAACTGGCTCTTTAGATGTGGATGATGGTTAATTTTATGTGTCAACTTGGCTGGGCCATGGTATCCAGATATTTGGTCAGACATTATTCTAGATGTTTCTGTGAAGATATCTCTTTAGATGGGGTGAATATTTAAATCAGTAGACTTTGAGTAAAGCAGATTACTTCTATAACGTGGGTGGGCCTCATCCAATCAGTTGAAGGCTTTAAGAGAAAAAGCCTGACCTCCCTCAAGGGAGAGGGAATTCTGCCAGCAGATAACCTTGGACTCTTCCCTAGGTCTCCAGTCTGCTGGTCTACCCTGAAGACTGTGGACCTGCACCTTTAAAATCTTGTAAGCCAATTCCATAAAATCAATCTCTCTCTCTCACTCTCTACACACATACACACATACACACACACACACACACACACACACACACACACACACACACACACACACACACATCCTATTAGTTCTGTTTCTCTGGAGAACCCGACTTATGAAAGTGGCCTGAGATTTATGGTCTAGAATGTTTCCGGTCTTTATTCAGCCTTCAGTATCACTCAAAGGGGCAGCTGTAGAGCCTTGGGTCTGCATCTAGGATTCAAGGGGAAGTTTTCACTCTGCCACGGAATACGTGGGTGGCCTCCCCCATACCAGAGTCCCTGTCCAGGTTCCCACAGGTGGAAAGGGAGTCACAGTGAAATTTACCGGCTCAAGCATCTTGGCTGCTTCCAGGAACTGGACTCAGAAGACCAAGGTTTACCCCCTTCAGAACCATCTGAGGAATGAAACAGGCTCTCAGGCAGATCAAAGCAGAACACAGTACAGCAGTGCATTGTGAAATGAAAAGTACAACTTAGGGCTGAAAAGCTCTTCTCCCCAGCCTACACCTGATGCTCAGAACGTGGACTCCTACCCCGGTACATGGTCCCTTAAGGAATTCAAGCCAAGGCTGCTTTCTCTGAGAACAAGAGGAGCAGTGATTGGGTAACACTGAATGATGTAAGATGATCCTATTAGCTGGAACAGATGCACCCAGCCCTTTCTGTCCCCTGTCTAGTTCCCACCTTCTCAGACTTGACCCCCAGCTGTGGAGGGTGCCAACAGAACCCAGGGTAGACTGCTGGACAAACGACGTGGCATTTTCAAAGCAGTAATTTTGCCTGCTCTTAGCCTGAAAGAGGAGTGGAAGTAAGCAAGCAGAGGACACATAAGTTCAAAACCTCTTCCCACCACTCTGCTTGCAGTCACTTCTCTCAGTGAAAGAAACTTCCTCTGGGGCCATCTAGGGCAGAGGACCGGTGCTCCCGCTGGCCTGCCTGGGGATGGGAAAGGTGCAGGGAGCTATCCCTCACCCTTTCTTAGTCATGGTCCCTTAGTGACTAAGAACCTACTCCTGTGAAAAGGGCAAGTCTCTGTCTGCAACCAGAGGCAGCGCTTGGCTCAGTGTGGGGCCAGGGTCAACTGTTAGGCTGTGACCCCCAATGGCTTTGATTCCTGGGAAGTCACCTAGCCCAGAAAGTAACTGAATCTTTCTCTTAATATTTCCAGCAAACTGATCAAGCCTTTTTGAAACTCAGTCCAGAGATCTCACCTTCTCTACCTCCTAAGGTAGGATAGAAACTCTCATGATTCCAGTTTGATTAGTTTGACTTCCAGTCCTTCTTGTTACTCTCCCTCAAAACATCCCTATCCCATCCTCTGGTGTCCTTACACAGTTTCATGAGGATCTTATAGAAAATAGACTTTAAAAACATATTAGCACTTCTCAGAGCCTTTTATCCTTCATAAACAAAGAATTCAAAAAGTATTAAGGAATTAAATTGAAAAAAGAAAGCAAAGAACAAGGATATGAAAGAAGATTTTTTTTATTTTATACTGAAAATAATTCCGATTAAGATTTTACTTCACGAGATTCAAGAACTGACCTCCAAAGAAATGGGAAAAAAAATCTCTGCAGTGTAATAGCAACAGCAAGTAACATTTACTGAGAACTAATCACTTAGCAAGTTCTGTTTTATATACTTTCTTTCATTTAATCCTCACTAAGCTACTCAGTGAGGTAGTTTCTATTATCTCCATTTCACACAGTGCTGAAGATGCTGGAGCCTCATGCTCTGGTTTGGTTTAAATTAGATCTCAGAGGACACAGTTTGTCCTAAGGAGTAAGTGTTTCTCTCAGAGTTCAAGAGATGGAGCTTTTCTTTCTCTGAGCACTTACTACATGCCAAGCATAGGCTAAGCAGTTTACAAGCATTATTTTGTTGAATTCTTACATCCATTTACAAGTATCATTATCCTTTCTTACAGAGACAAGAAAGAAATGTCTGAAAAGTCTAAGCTGCCATGGTGCAGGAGGAGAGGGATTAAAGAAGAGGCTGGTATATATCTTCCTTTATTTATATCTTTATTTTCTTTCAATACATTTTGTAGTTCTAGGATAGAAGAATTATACCTCTTCTGTTCAACTTTTCCCTGTGTCATTCATATAAGTGTGATGCAAATGTTATAATCATTTAAATGTTATGCTCTATTTGTTTTTGATACGTAGAAATCTAATTGACTTTTACATGTGGACACAGTATCAAGTGACTTTGCTAAAGTCACTTGTTTATTCTTATAATTCGTTTTTGATATTTTAGGTAAATCATATGTTATCTACGAATAATAAAAAGGAATCATTCCTTCTCAAAAATAAAAAGAAGAAGAGGCTGGGTCCCTGCCCTCTCAACTTCTTACCATGTCACAGAGGAAAAGGCACCGAGGCCCAAGGATAAGACTGGGGAAGTAAAATCTCATACATACAGCAGCACGGCTCCAATAGTGCGTTCTATTGCACTGTAGATCTGCCCGGGCCAAGTCATGGCTCCTGGGGGCTCCTGGGGATGAGGTGTTCCCAGCATCTGGGGAGGAGGAAAGCATCCCAGAGGCTCTTGCTCCAGGAATGAGTGCTTGTGCTTCAACCCTACTTGATCTGCCAAGGCTCTCCCACTTTGCAGGACTGTTGGTCCTGGCTGTGCCAAGCACTCTGTCCTTTTAAAACCCCTCCCTTGGCATCCACCTAGACCACCTCCAGATCCTCCCATGCTGTGGGATAAGATCTGGCGGCAGGCCCTCTTCCTGTTGAGAAGGGCAGGCATTACTACCCAATAGTTGTGGGTACAGAGGGGTTGGAGAGAATGGGGAGGGTTGAGGATAGGGCATAGTTTCCAAACATTTTTTAGAGGAAGGAGGCCAAGAGGAATTCCCTGGGGCATGCAGCACCACAGACTGGTGCCAACTACTCAGCCCTACTCCCTTCCTCTCCAGCACACCCTTCCTGCCTTGCTTTAGAGAGCTCATCCTATAGTCTTTGCTAAGCGCTGACTGTGTATTCAGCTGAAGGATGCAGGTTCAGTATACATCCTAGTTCCCAGGTTCAAGAAGTAGGTTAAAAACAAGATCCACCCACAAACAAGTCCATGCAGCATACATCTATACACAGGCACTATGGTAGGCAAGTGCTGGATTGTATGACGCAGGCCAAGTTCAAAGAAAGGATTGATGGAGGTGAGTGGGAAAGCTGCCTTGAAGACCTTTGGAGGGTCTAGCAGGACTAAGATTGAGAATGGCACAAGATAAGAGATCATTCTTGGGAGGGGGACCTGCATGAGTGAAGGTGAGGACAGAGGCTAAGCTGGTCTTGGTGAAGGCCTGGCACAGTGGCCCCAGGGCTGGGTGTGCTGAGACCACCAGAGGTGCCGGGTGCAGCCTTCCTGCTCTGGCTGAGTCAGTCTTGCAGCCCCGTCTCCCTGACAATATGGTAAATACAGAGCCTATAAATCCAACTGCAAACATCCACTCTTCCGGTGCCTTCTCCCTTCCAAGCCAACAAGCCCAAAGCCATCCCATGGAACGTGAGCCTGCCAGTGCCAAGCACTACGGAGCTGGCTGCAGGCACGTGGACAGGCTTCTGGGCTGAAGCTGGCTCCTTCTCAGAGCACCTCCCTCCAGAGAGCCCAGGCCTGTCTCAGTCTAACCAGGCTGCAAGTGAGGGACAGACAGATGCTCCAGCAGCCACTAGCAGCAGAAAAACACTGAGGCCATAAAAAAACACTCCATGTTTGTCAGGAGGGTCCTCCCCATTAGGGGAAATATGGGGGCCATCCATTATGGGAGGTGCCTACTAAAGAGGCTGATCTCCAGTGTGCCAAGAAGAAGCTGTCAAAGGGGGAAAGGCACCCTGCAAGCGCTGTTCCTCTCTGAGCCTCTGATTCCTCATCTGCGAAATGGGAGACATTCTCCTTGCCCTGATCTTTGCATAGAAACTGAATGGAATGAAAAAGAATTGCAAGAATAATCTTCGCCTGAGCAAGACCTCTGCTTCTCTCCCCAACAAGAGTCAATCTTTCTGGATGGGGGACCCTTGGAGAGGGTTAAGCCCTTCGTATTCAAAGTGCAGTCTTGGACCAGAAGCATAAGCATCCCCTGGAAGCTTGTCAGAAATGCTGACTCTTGGGCCCTACACTAGAACTTCTGAATTGGAATCTGTATTTTAACAAGATCCTCAAGTGATCCGTGGGCACAGTAAAGTTTGAGAAGTATTGTTCTAGTCCATGGAACGTAACCCCTTCATGTTACCAGTGAAGAAGCTGAGACCCAGTAGAAATAAGTCACTTACAGGAAGCCACACAGTAAATAAGTGGTAGACATGGGCCCAAGTAGCAGTGCAGTGCAAAGGAAGAATCACAGGCCCTGAAATCAGAGCTACTTAGGTTCAAATCCTGCCTCTGCCATAACATACCCTATGGCCTAGGAAGAAAGCTAACTAATTTCTCTGAACTTTGGTTTTGCCACCTGTAAAATGGGTATAATAATAGCTATCTTTTAGGATTAATGATGAGGATTAAAATGAGATGATGCATCAGATGCCTTGCACTGCATGCATTTCATGTTTGATGTTCACAAGCTTTGCCTTCATCTGCACTCCACAACCTCTAAACTCCACACCCCATGATTATTGGGCCCAAGAATCTGTGAAAAGACTGCTTTTCTGCCTCCAACAATGCAGACACAGTTGCTGAGCTGAGAAGAAGGGAAAGAATAGGAAGAGATAGCAAGGCTCTTAAAGTCTAGACTGACTTATCCTTTAAATTCTGAAGAGTTCCCAGTCCAATCCTCTAGCAAAAAGTCAATCTGCAAACATCATCAGTTACTGTGGTACCTAAGTGTACTAGTACATAGCCCATGCTCAGTAAGATTGATGAATGCAGGACTGAAGGGTCCCTCAGGCCCTCACTCTGAGCTCTTTCAGGCTCACATCCCTCATTTTCACATGTCTGGATTCTGGTCATCCTTCAAGGCCCAGCCTAAACATCATGTCCTCTGAAAGTTCATGACTAGATCCCCTGTTGGAATTGATCTCCCAGGTAAAACCCTAACTGCTTTAACATAACTTACAAGACTATCTACCTCTCAGCCTTGCATTTTGACCCTAGATTAGACAATTTGCAGGTCTCTGGGCACAGATGCTTCTTGCCTCAAGGCCTTTACACATGCTGTTCCCTTTATCTGCAATACTCTTCTCGTAAAGCCCCCTCTATCTAATTCCTACCCAGCCTTTATGTCTCAGCCTAGATGTTAATTTAGACATACATTTTTCCTGCAGAACTGGGACTAGGATGAGGCAAGCAAGGCACCTGGAGCACAGAATTTACAGAGGTCCTGAGTCTCATGTGCCAACCCTGCACTTGTGTGACTTGAAGAGAGAGAGCCTCCTTAAATTTTGAGTCCTAGATGCCTCCTTTGCCTCTCCCTGGTCCTCTGGATGTTTCCTTGAATCCCCTGCTATTTTAGAGTCCCTGCTCTGTGCCATCCCCTGGTCATAGTCTTTACTTAAGAGGACTGTGATTGCCTGGGTGTTTATCAGTCCTCTCTCTGAACTGTTAAGCTCCAGAGCAAGAATACTTCTTCCTTGCTCCCCATTTCATTCTCAGAGCCTGGCAGAGGGCAGACATTGCATCAGCACTTGCTGGATGTGCATAAAAGTGTCATCTCCCTCATCCTGTGCTCTCAAATCCCACTGAAGGACCCAGTGTCCTAGCACCTACCAATCTCTGCCTTCTGATCCACAAAACTGCCCTCATCTGGCTAGACTGCACTCCCAGGGGTCGGCCTTCACTTTGCATGCTCAGAACCCAGCTCGGGACCTGGCAGAGTGGGTGCTCATGCGCATTTGCTGGGCAGGGTTAGCACTGGAGGAATGCTGTAACGATGGGCAATGCACACTAAACCTGGTGTGGACAACTCCAGCAACATCCTCATCTCCCTCTTCACCTCCAGGCTTTCCCTGCCCAGCTCCTCTTTAGCCAAATGGGCCTGTCAGAAACATCTAACTGTCTCTAGCTCCATGTCCTGAGCCAAATGCCCTTGCCCAGCCCCCCAATGCCCTGCTCTGGTATGAAAAGAGGTGGTTACGTGCATACCTGGCTCCCTACTTCTCCCACCTCCCTGCTCCACATACATACCAATTCTACTGTGATACACTGTGAGACCAACTCTCCCTCGTCTTTGGCTCCCCAGGCCCAGCCAGGGAGGTGCCCAGTTCTGGAGTGGAGGCTGTGGGGAACAGCACACCCTTCCCCTTCTCCCTGCCAAAAGGCAGATCCTGAGCCATGGTGCGCCAAGGTTTAGGGTCCAATTTCCCAGATGCCTTTCAGTGTCTGATAGGAGATGCCAGAGAAGAGAAAGACCAGGAGGCCAGGTGATTTATGAGGGAAATCTTGGCTTTGACAAAGCTTTAGCCCTAGAGATTAAGGCAGGCGAAAGCAGAGTGCACAGCCTCTTCCTGAGGGGTGTTGGGGTTTCTCTGGGCATCTGGATCTGGATCCCTGAGGATAGCGCTGAGCTCTTGGCTGACTCCAGCTACTCCTCAGCGCCACATCCTGGAGCAGAACAAGGCCCCTGGTGGCTTAGGAAGTGGGGAGAGAGGAGCTACGAGTCCGCGATAGTAAACCAGGCCTGCTCTGCCTGCCCTCCTCCCTGCTACTGCCCTGCAGAGGCTTCAAAGGACAGCAGGAGCCTCAGAACTGGCTGTGTGACAGGAGACACACACATACTTTGGCTTATAGTTGGCAACAAACAGGTGGAGACTAATTTTGCCTTCATCCTCTGGTCTCCTCTTCAAGGATCCCTTATCCCGAGAAAGAACATCTCAAGCCTGTGAATCACACAACTCCTCTCTCCCTCCCAGTGGCCTTCACCTCCAGGGCTCTCTGTGGTTAGAACATGCTCATGTCCCTCCCTTTACAGACAGGCAGACTGAGGCCCAGAAAGGAAAAGGGACTGACCCAGGGTCTCACCAGCAGCTTATGAGACGAGCTGGGACCCGACCCCACAGCTGTTGATTCTCCCTTGGTGCTCCCAAAGACCACCCCTTCCTGATGGGAGCAATGTAAAAACCGTGGCCACCTTCAATCTGTGACACTGACATTCCAGAATGTGGGCATCTGCTTACTTTATATATCCTGTGTCATTCACCAGAATATGGGCTCTGTGAGGGCTGAGACCTTTTCTGTATTATCGACTGCTCTATCCCCAGCACCTAAAACAGTTCCTGGCACATAGAAGAGATCAGAACAAATGGGTGAAGGAATAAATGAATGAGCTAACGAATGAATGATTATGTGTAGAATAGGCCACTTGTCCTGTACAGGCTTTAGGATTCCTTCTTTTTTAAAAAAGTGAGTTGATTATTCTTGCTTCAGCTTTGGAGTCCTAGATTGTTCTAGAGCAGGAAGAACTTTAGAGAGCCTCTAATGCAGGCCCATGAAGGTATAGCCAGATCTTTCTCTTTTCGCCACCAGCAGCCATACCCCACCTTATGTTTTCTCCATCTGGACACGTGTGCTGAGAAGACCTTTGGCAGGGGGTCTATGTCCCCACTCCTCAGATCTTGGTGGGTTCTGCAACTACTTTGACTGAGACATCAGGCAGAAGTGATGCTGTGCCTGTTTTCTGGCCCAGGACTCAGTAACACTGGCCGTTCCCACTTCCTGTCTCCTGGCATACATGCATGGGTTCCTGAGGTGCCACGTGAGAAGTTCAACTATGCTTCTGGAGACACCACGTGGGGAGGGCAAGTATCGCAGCTGCCATCTCCCAGCCATACCTGCCTTCTAGAGGGAAGCTTCTAGAACTCATCACACCAGCCCAGTTGCCTGCCTAATACCCGAGTGAACTCTCAGGATGCTACAGACAGCAAAATGGCCCAGCTGCTCCCTGTCCAAGTCCTGATCCCATGGATCAAGAGCACAATAAAAGTACTGTGAAGTCACTAAGCCTAGGGTGGTTTGTCACACGGCAATAGATAACCCCAACATCCAAGTAGTAACAAGTGCTGTGAGGGAAATAAAGCAGAGGAAAGGGACAAAGAGTAACAGGGCTGTACCTCTCTGAGAATGTCTCTGAGAATATGATATTTGATCACAGGACTTAACGGAGGGTTTTGGGCCTGAATCATTCACTGAGATGAAGTCCTGGGGAGGAGGAGTTTGAGAGGTGAAGGAAGAGTACCTGAAATCAAGAGTTCTTTTATGAACATGTTAAATTTAAGATGCCTGGTGCACATCCAAGAAGAGTTGCAGAGTGAACACTTGGAGACTAGTCTAGAGCTTTAGGGTAGAGACTGCTCCAATTTTAAGACCTCTACATGATGTAAGACCATCCATGAGGTAAACAACAGCATCAGTGGAATGCCAACATGGATTCAAGGCCATGGAGCTGGGTGGGATTCCCTGGAGTATAGCTACAGAAGGTGCACCAAGGAGAGGACCAAATGGCTGACCAATGGATTGAACAAAAGTGGTGGCAAAGCAGAAGTGAGGATGAAATAGTGATAAGGATTGGATTGAGAAGACAATGGAAGGCAGTGAGGACAGACGTCCGTGGAGGAGCTGAGTTATAATGGGAAACTGAGAAATAAGGCAGGAGCTGAGGAGGGATGTGGAGTCAAGGGAGTTGTTTCTAGATGGGAGATCCTATAGCATGTGTGTCTCCTGAGTGATCAGGAGAGAGTGAGAAATTGATGCAGGGAAGAGAAGGGATAAGCACAGGAGCAAAAATTCGTGCAACAGGAGAAGGAACTTGTGATTAAGGAAGCAAGTGAACAAGCGGGTGTAATTTATCCACAAGAACAGCCATAACATGGCAGAGCCTTGGGTTCTCAAAGAGGAGAAGCCACAGGTAACAGTCCCAGCCCCACTATTTAATGGCTGGTTGACTCTGCGCAAGTCACTTCTTCCTCATCTGAACATGGGGATTAATGATCCCTAACTCACAGGGCTGTCAGGAGGATCATAGATACTGACAGTTGTCAAGTGACTAGTTCAAAGAACGGGTGGCTCTTACAGCAGTTGATACTGGGGTTCTTGGTCCCAGAACGTGAGCTTGGGTCATGTGATCTGCTTTGTCATGCAGCAAACCTCTTTGAGTCTGAGCTTTGTAATTCAGCACTAGCACAGGGCAAAGGACATGAGTGGCAATGAGCAGACCAGGAATTGAACTCAGTCTCCCATCTCCTTGGCGTTCAGAGCCCTCCGTGAGCCCCCATCTCCTGTCATTTTTTTTTTTTTTTTGAGACGCAGTCTCACTTTGTTGTCCAGGCTGGCATGCAGTGGTGCAATCTTGGCTCACTGCAAGCTCTGCCTCCTGAGTTCACGCCATTCTCCTGCCTCAGCCTCCTGAGTAGCTGGGACTATAGGCACCCGCCACCACGCCTGGCTAATTTTTTTTTTTGTATTTTTTTAGTAGAGACGGGGTTTCAACATATTAGCCAGGATGATCTCGATCTCCTGACCTTGTGATCCACCCGCCTCAGCCTCCCAAAGTGCTGGGATTACAGGCGGGAGCTACCACACCCAACCTCTCCTGTCATTCTTTACCTTGCACTTTGTGCTTTGGCAGCAATGAGTTTCTGATAGTCTCACATATGAGACTATGAAACAACCACACTGCTGTTACTCAGCTTTATATCTTTGGGAATGCTCTCCTCTCTGCCGTGCTACCTAGAATGCCATTCTCCACTTTGATGTATATAAATAGCAGCTGAGACATTCCCCTCCAGAGAACCTTCTCTGACTCCCTCTAGTCCTATGTAGGTGCCCTTCCACTGGGGCTAAACTCTTGCACACACTGCTCTGTTGGTACACTGTGTGCCCCTGGAGAGACAGAACAGAGCTCCAATCATCTTTGTAACTACAGGGCTTGACACAGTGAGTATCTGCTGAACCAAACTTTTCCCAGATAGCAGATGAATCAGAGGGATAGACAGCACTGTCCAACAGAACTTTATGCAACAACAGAAATGTTCTGTGTCTGTGCTTTCCAATACAGTGATCACTCAACACAAGTTTGTGGTTATTGAGCCCTTGAAATGTGCTGGTGCAACTGAGAAACTGAATTTTTAATTTAATTTAGTTTAGGTTTAAATAGTCACAGATGGCTAAGGGTTGTTTTATTGGACAGCACAAGTTGGAGGGTAGAAAGAAGGGGTTGGGGAAAAGCTGATGTTATTAAACACTTAGTATGTGCTAGGCTTTTGACACTCTTTAGTATGTTAATCTTTACAATAATTCTGTGAGATGGCAAGCACTATTTTCCCATTTTAGACAAGGAAGTTGAACCTTAGAGAGAGAGTCAGTGACTTGCTGTGAGCCCTCAGCTTGGAGACTGCACAGCAGGTCCCTGACTCCCCAGTCTCTGGTTCATCCCACCACACTAGGCTGACCTCACACCTATGCAGGGCCTGGCCCTGGAGGTGCTTTGTGAAGGAGTCCTCCCCATTCCCACACCCCCTCCCACAGTCCCTGCAGGCACACAGGTCAGGCCCACAGCCCTGTCCTAGCTGGTAAGGCGCATTCTTCTGGCAGTGCTGCTGCATCACTCACAGACGTCTGGGGGCAGAGGCTGAGTGTGGTGAGGCAGGAGGCCTTGGCTGCCAGCGGGAGGGGCAGGCGGGCCCAGAGCCTGCTAGCATTCTGCTCCTTGGATCTCCCCTCGCGTGAGCAGCTTTGGGGAGTTCTCTTGGTGCTGTTGTAATTTATTGTTTCTGCTCTAATGATTGCTCCATGTCTGATTATAAATGCCTTCTGGCTGGGGGCCCAGACTCAGAAAATTCCCGTGATCTGCTTCCAAAGCTGATGGAGCCACAAATGGGACTGATGTCTCTGTTTCGTCATCGGCCACATTTACAAGGGAGGAGGATCCAAGGCCAGACACAGGGCTTAGAGTGGAGATGTAACAGGAGGCATCTGGTGACCTGGAATTCCCATCAGAGCCCCAACAGGGCATCTCCTGAGTCCTGGAGAACCTTCAAGATGGTACTCAAAAGAGCCTACTCCCTTCCTCTCAAAATGCAAGGCAGAGTCCGAGTTGGAAGCAGCAGGTGATACAGTCACAGTGAAAGGGGCCTCCGAAAAACACTGTCCAACCCTGCTAATGCCCTCTCTTTATCCACCTGGAAAATTCCTACTCATGCCTCAGGAGGCAGCTTTGGCATCCTGCAAGAAGCCTGCTCTGACACCCACAGCCTCCCACCCGCAGGTAGACAAGTAGTCTCTACTCCCTGTAAATCTCTTCTAGCATGGCACACCATAATCATAATTACACCTACTATTTACTGAGGGCTTCCTCTTTGCCAGGCACCATGTACCTTATCTATTTTTCACCTCATCCCTGGGAGAAAGGCACTATCCTTATCCACATTTGACAGACTAGGGAACAAAAGCTCAGAGAGGTTAAGGGAGTTGCTTAAGGTCAAACAACTGCCAAATAATGGAGCTGGACTTAAATTCAGAAGATTCCAACCCAAAATTTAAGCCTTACACCACATGTGTTCGCACCCGTCGTCACTGTATTGCAACAGGCTGTTTTGTCTCTTGCTTCATTAAAATAGAGCTTCTGGGGACATATCTGACCTCAATAACACGGGTACTCAGGAAATGACCACTGAGCAAACTTCACATAAAGAAAGTCCTAGTGCACTAAGTAGGTAATAAAATTAGGGCAGTCACTTATTACTGCCCTACTGCAGGATATTTAAGAGGACTCAAAAAAGCAATGGGCAAAGGCTTCAACAAGCAAGTAAGATAGGACTGCAGGAAAAAAACACTATATCTCAACTGGGACTGAAAAGTCCTGAATTTTCTAGGTTAGTCCTACTTTTAAATACCATATCTCATCAGTTCCTTATGTCACCAGAATGACCTAGAAACCCCAATATTTAGATATCTAAACTGTATCTCTTATATGATATTTCATGCCCACGCATCCCAAATATCCCACTATGTCTTGTAATTTAGGATGCAGGAAATAAAGCCACAGAAAAAAAGAGCTTCAACTTTAGAGGAAGGCAGACTCATGCTCAAATTCCAATTTTGCTGCTCATTAGCTGTGCAATCCTGGACAAACTGTTTCCCTTCTCTGAGACTCAAATGTAAAAATAGAGCTAAGAGCTGCTGCCTTGCAGGGCTGTTAAGCGTAGTAAACAGAAGAACATATGGGAAAGCACCCAGAATGGCACCTGGCACACAGGAGGGACTCAGGAACTATGAGGTCTCTCCTCTCTCTCAAATGAGGTCAGGCAAGAAAGCCATTCTTAGCAACAGACTCAGCTGAATGCAAAGGGTGTGATGTACTGGTGGACCAATGATCAAAGAGAAGAGATTGGTTTACTTGGGGCTGAGGTCATGAATTGACTTCTTCATCATTTATAGACTCACAATGAGTGTGGATGAAATAACAGGCCACCCTAAGAGCAGCCCTACATTAGGGCAGATGGAAAGAGATGGGTAAAATCTTGCCCCACTCCCAACTAGGAGCTCACAGGGTGCTGGAGCAGAAAAACAACAGGAAAGGTGAACAGAGAACCCAGCAGGTATGAGGGCAAAGGGCAGACAGACCATGAGGAGGTCTACCAAGCCTAGAGATGTCAGGAGAGGCTTGTGGAAGAGCTGAGTCTTGAGGAAGGGATAGAACTTCTAGGAAAGCGTATCTTCAGTTACAGAGGAGTGCTGTACAGACAAAGGAAAAGGCATAAAAAGGATAATAAGTTTTAAAAATTAGTTTGCCACTATATTTCGGATTTTGGAGGAAGCTTAAAAAAACCTATTGCACTCTCCTTGTTGTCAAAGGTATTCTGTTTCCTCCGCTTATGAGCTGCGTGATCTTGGCCAAGTTAATCATTCAATGCTTCAGTTTTCTCATCTGTAGAATAAGTATGATAACAGTACCTGCCACATTGGAATGTTCTATGGAATAAGTATGTGGAAACCATTTACAACACATTGATCAACAAATAAGAATCATCATCATCATCACCACCACCACCACCATCACCATCACTACCATCACCATCATGATCATCACCATCACCACCACCATAATTATCACCATCACCATCATCACCACCACCATCATGATCATCACCATCACCACCACCATCATGATCACCACCATCACCATCATCACCACTACCATGATCATCATCACCATCACCACCACCACCATCATTATCATCATTATCACCATCATCATCACCACTACCATGATCATCACCACCACCACCAGCATGATCATCACCATCACCATCATTACCACTACCATGATCATCACCATCACCACCACCACCATCATTATCATCATTATCACCATCATCATCACCACTACCATGATCATCACCATCACCACCACCACCATGATCATCACCATCACCATCATCATCACCACTACCATCATGATCATGACCATCACCACCACCATCATGATCATCACCATCACCACCACCATCATGATCATCATCATCACCACCACCGTCATGATCATCATCATCACCATCACCATCATAATCATCACCATCATCACTACTACCATCATGATCATCACCATCATCATCACTACTATCATCACCATCATCACCACCACTGTCACTATCATCACCATCATCATCACTATCATTGTCATCACCACCATCATCATCATTATTACAAATGAGAAAACTGAGGCCCAGAAAATGGAAGAGGTTTGTTCAGGGTGACTTAGAGAGTCAGAGGCAGGCCCTGACACTTTTACTTTTCTACCATTCACAGAATTTTTAGGAAAAAAAAAAACAAGCTTCCTGTCACAGGTAAGAGACCCAAGATCCTTGATAAAGGAGTAGGGTTCATGGAGGTGGGGCCACCCAATGTTTAAGTGAAGGTATTGTCTCTTAAGGCCAATCATTCTGCCTCCTGCCCTGTGGATGCAAACTGTCCTTCAGCTCATACCACCTGCAGCCAAGGACAGAGGGGAACATTCCAACCCCGATACCCAGGGAGATAAATCAAATGCTCCAGACTCAGTGAAGGATTGAAGCAGGGGCAGTGCACATGTCTGTCATGACTTCCTTGTTCCAAGAGGATATGGGAAAAAACTCCTAGCTCCCCACCTCAATCCCACAGTGGTCTCCAACAATATTATGATTCTCCAGTTCTACTACTCATGATATATTTTGCCAGCCGCAAATGGGGCCTAAATTACATATTGTAGCCACCAAACTTCCGGCACAGGCCCACAGAACAAGGCCTGAGGGAAATTAGATGAGGCCAAAGGGAACTCAGGCCTGGAAGAGACTAGAAAACAGAAAGGGATGTATAGTCCATTAGCAGGACCCTTCTCTCTTTTAAGTGTTATACAGGTGAGCGGGGTTCAACGCTGCAGGCACAGAGAGGCCACAGAAGGTGAAGGAAAGGAGAGCAGAGAGGCCAAGCAAGAGTAAACTCAGGATTAAAGAGTCAAACCACCACTGGTTATTTTAGTCCCAGCTCTATCTGTCTCTGGAGTATGGCCATCTACAAACCTTTTCACCTGTCCATCTGTTTTTCTGAAAACTATGGTCCTTTCTGTCTCAAGTCCTGGACTAAACATAGTGGTGGATAGGGAGGTAGGAAGCAGTGGTAGAAGGCATCTGCTCCAACCTGTCTTCTTTTTGGAAGCACTAGACACTGGGAAAATGCATCTTTCTCCTCTGCTTTGAGAATAGTGCATACTCCATGACTTTAGCTTACTAACAGCTGGAGGGATCCCAGAGGAATTCTTCTCTCTGGGATTGAGAATGGGAAATGGAGAAGAGAGATCTCCCACTTTCCTTTTACTGGAATCATGTGTCCCTGTCTAAAACGATGGTGTTGGACTGGATTCAGTTCAACTCCAGCAGGAAGCACACAACATTTGAGACCTGTGGGGTGAAGACAGTGCACACAGCCGGAGAGAAGGTCTTGGCTGAGAACCAGAGGACTCATTTCTTCTGGAAGCAGGGATTTGAGATAGTTTCTTGGCAGGAGGAGGATAAGAGGTTGACTTTAATGGGTTCTGAATCTCATACACAGAAAAGTAAGAGTGTGTGCATGAGACAGACAGAGACAGAGACAGAGACAGAGAGGGGCAGACTGACAGAGGGGTGTGAATTAGGAGGAAGAAACAGCTTAGGGAAAGATGAGTGGCATGCAGGAAAGAGCTTTCCAGGCTAGGGTGCCTGGGATAACGGTGATGAGGAAGAGAACGAGGATCACGGAGACCACATGGTGAGGAGCCTTGAATTCCTAATGCCAACCCCCCCACCCCCAGGATTCTGTAATTATCATTAATTAGTAAGTTCCACTTTCGATTAGGGTATGCAGGCAGAAGATGGGATTGAAAGCACAGGCAGAGAGTTTTGAAAGTTTTTGAGGTCAAAATCCAATAAAAGCCAACATGACAATGAAGAGAAGACATTCAATGAGCAGGCTGGTGCACACAGACCAGGATACCAGGATGGATGTTGTGATTTAAGTTAGAGAAGTTCTACTTTTAAATGTTATCATTAAATGATAAGAAGATTTTAAATGATAGTAGTAGTAATACTAAGAATAAAATAAGGTAGCAGTGAAGAACACTGATGAGAGCTTACAGTTATGCAGGATTGCCATTTGCCAGGTGCCATGTTCTCTGTTCTGTCTGAGTTCTCTTTTAGTCCTCTCAACAGCCCTATGAGACAGGGACACTGTAATCCCCTGGACAGAAAAATTACGGGAGCTTGAAGAGGTGGAGTTACTTGTCCTAATTCACCCAGCTCATGAGAAGCTGGGCTGGGAGTCTAACTCTGATACTAACCACAAGACTATTTCAGTGTCACTGTTACAGACAGGAAAACTGAAGCCTCCAGAGGACAAGTGACTTACTCAAGGTCACACAAGGAGTCCTCCTTTCCAAGTCCTTCATTCAAACATAAACTCAGAGCTTCCTAGGAACCAGGCTCTGTCTAGCTCAGGCCTCTGGTAACTTCTGGACTATTCCATAGCCTCCTTACTGGCCTTCCTGCCTCTAGCCTCTCCTTTCTAGTCCACCTCCCTCCCACACTGAATCCAGAGTGGTCCTTCTGAGATCCAAGCAAACCTTGCAGAGCTCCCAATGCCCCAGGAAACACTCTATCATGGAAGGCCCTTCACGATCTGGCTCCAACCGAATTTCCTAGCCTTCCGTTCCCCACCATCCCTGATGCACCCTTTATTAAGCTTCTCCCTGGCCCTGATCACCATGTGGTTTCCCACAGGGACTCTTGCTTACACCGTCTGCTCCTGTTTACAGTGCCCTTAGACCCCTTCTCTGTCCTATCCGTAAACTCTGACTCTTCAAGATGCAGCCTTGCTGAACCTCCCCTGGCTCCCAGGTAGAATGGATAATGCTTCCAGCACCCAGCACCCTGCAGAATTCTTGTGCAGCAGGATCACTCTCCTTGCTTCACAGGTAGCTGAGTAGTTACCTGTCTCCACCATCAGACTGTGAGCATCTCAAAAACAAGTCACTGTGTCCGACGATGGCGATGATGGAATTTGTTGGGGTGTACTATGGACAGGGACTATTATTATATAATACTTGAGAAAACTGAGGCGCAGAGACAGAGGAATGGCCCAAGTCCACACGCTCTAGGAAGAATCAAGCTGGAGCTGGTGCAGAAGTCACATGCCTGCCTGCTGTGTCACTACTGCTTCCTGGAGAGCTCTAGATGTGGCAGATGTGACTACACGTTCCCTCCCATGAACTGAAGATCAGTGGCTGCAGGGCCAGGACCCCACAGGCTTCCTGAGCCCCGCTACAGTGCTCTGTCCCCATCTGCCAGGGGGGCTTGCTGGACAGGACCTTGCCATCCAGCTTCGACCTGAGTCATCTCCTAAAGTCCAATAAAACCCAGGGACAGAGGCAGGATGCAGGAATAAAAATAAGCTTCAGCCAGAGAGAAATAAAGGCAGCAGTGTGGGGGAATCTCGAGAGCATGGCAGTCCAGGAATCCGGAGGGGAAAATGCCCATAATGGCGTATTTTCCAGCAGTGAAAAACATTAAGACCCACTTTAGAAATGTAGTTCTCACCACAGCTATTCCTGGACTCCAGCCCAGAAGAGCAGTAGGGCCATATGAATGACACTCTCCACCCACACTTACCCACTCCCGACTGGCTGGCTGTCTCTGTCCCAAAACATCTTGTGCTTCTTCCGTGCAGCCTTCCCAGACTTACCCCTCCTCCTTTCTCTCTGTGGCCAGAGGATGCCAGAGAAGAGCAGCACCTCTGAGACTCTCACCCTGGCCACTCCTCATCCTAACCAAGGAGAGGAGAGGGGACCTATTCAAGGTCCCAGAACCTCAGTGGTAGAGCCAAGATGAACACCAAGTTCCTTAGAGTAGAAGTCCCCAAGCTTCCGCTAGCCACACTGTGTCTCATTACCCTCCCCCGCCACCAGACCCCATCCTGATAAGCACACACGTGCATGTACACACACCCATGCACACACATACACATCTATGTGTACACATGAATATACACACAAACACACTTGTATGCACACACTCGCAGACATACATGTACACACATATACACATACTTGCACACACAAACACATAGATGTGTGCCCACTTACCCACAAAAATGCACCTGGTTCAAGAAAAAGTGAACTACATTGAGAACTGGGAAACCTGACTTCCAATTTACCTGGACACTGCCTAGCTATGTGAACCTGGCTAAGTCATTTCACAGTCTCAGTTCTCCATGTATAAACCAGGCTAGTAATCACCTTGCCTACCTCTCCAGGCTGTCTGTTACAAGGTTGAAAGGAGAGGTGTGAGAAGGTACTGATGAGCTACGCTCACTTGCCTCTGTCTCCTTGGAAGCTGATGGCTTGGAAGCTCAGAGGCCCAGCCACTTGGGTTTGAGTCCCTTCTCTGCCACATACTATCTGTGTGACCCTGGGCAAGTAAGTTCACCTCTCTGTGCTTCAGTTTCCTCATCTGCAAAAAAGGAATAATTATAGAACTTAGCCACCAGGTTTTAGTGTGAGGATTCAATGAATTAACACTTGTGAAGTTCTTGGAACAATGCCTGGGCTATTATAAGTGCCAATAAATGTTAGTCAATGGAATACCATTGTCAAATTAATACTTATTAACTTAGCTTTGCCTGGTGCAACACAGGAGTTCAGTAAATGTTTGTCTAATGAATGACTAAACACTATTGGAAGAGGAGGGTGATGCAATCAGATTTACTCACACCTGGTACTGGGAGTAAATCTGACTGCATTATGGTCTCTCTGAATTAGGTTCTGCCTTCCTCTTCCTTCTTTTGTTCTCAGACTCCCTGGTTCACCAGGGACACCAAGAGTCCCCAGTACCCCATTCAGGATGTCACGTTCTCTACCTATGGGTGAGCAAAAGCCTCCTGCCCTCTTTGGAAAATAAGCATGGCAGTTCCTAGGCTCATTGGCCCAGAGCATTTAAGCACTTAAGAGCAGAGCAGGGCCAGAGCTGGAAGTGGTTGGAACGGGGTGAAGGGGACGATCAGGGGAGGCAGTGGCTCCATAGCTGCAGTGTTTATACATTTGCAGTGTCCTGCTCCAGCAATCAGCAAGCACTACTCCAGACCAAGTAGGGTTCAGGCACTCTGCTGTTCCTCTGCATGACTCAAAGGAGATGTGGCTGCTGCTATGATGACACTCTCAGGACATCCCTCACCACCCACCTACTGCCCTCCTGATCAGAAGAAATCTCCCAGATCCCGAGGCTTGGATCAAAATAATGATGACTACTGCAACAACAATAATGTTAATGACAATAATTTTGCACATTTACCAGGTTCCAGGCAGGCATTACTTTAAACTCTTTATGCATATTAATTTATTTGATGCTTGTAACAACCTAGGAGGCAGATACTATTATTACACTTATTTTACAGTTGAAGTAACGGAAGCAGAGGAGGCTTAGGAACTTGCTCTACACAGGAAGACTGGTAGGGGCCTGAGCTGGGATTTGAATGAGGCTGGCAATGTGAGAGCTCATGCTTCTTACTTGCTATACCCAAGCATTTACTGATTCGTCATTTCTAAGTATTTTAGTTGTTACTGGATTTTTCTTTTCTATTTTGAAAGCCTAAACCCAAACGTACTTGAATCCAAAAGAAGAGCACAGGCTTTGAAGTCAGGGAACAGTGGGTTCAAAGTCCAATCATTTGGTTATTCTGAGCCTTTAGAAAAGTTTCTTCCTCTCTCTGAGCCTTGGTTCCCCAATTTAAAAAAATGGGGATAACACTGGTTACTCCAGAACGGGGTTCTGAAGATTCAACGAGGACACGCACACGCAATCCCCACTCAAGGACATGGCACATGACTAGTGTTTAATCCATGTTAGGGTCCTTCCATTTTTGGCACGAAATTTCACATGTGTGTGAAAGATGCCAATGTTCCCCCACAGGTAAACTGTAAAATGTAATTAATATCAAGTTATAAAGTGATTATTGAGCTTCTACGTCCCATTATTACAAGTCAATATTGTGCACTTTCAGCCTTCATGGAGAAAGGAGGTTGAAAAAAGCACAAATAATCTCAAACAAAAAACAAATGCAAGCTCATTTCATTGGTTCTACACCCTAATGCAAGACCTTAGTTCCACAAAGATCACAGAAATCAGAGTCCAATTCTTCATTACAGATGGGGAAACAGAGGTCCTTAGAAGGACAGGGTCATATATTCAGCTACTGGAAGAGACACCCCCACTCACGCTAGAACTTATTCTCCTGACTCCAGCCTGGTGTGCTGGCACCACAAGAGGAATGCACATTTGCAACCTCTGCCTCAAAAAAGCAAAACAAAAACACAATGTAGAAAATTTCACTGTCTCTCTCTTTTCCAACTATACGTGAGATGCATCCAGAAAACACACACACACACACACACACACACACACACACACACACACAGAACACAATGGAAAGAAACATCAGCTGCAATTTATGAGATATGCCTTCAAATAGAATTTACTGGAACTCAACCATGAGCATTTACCACACACCTACTGCCTGCCAGGCCCCATGCTTGTTGCTTTACACACATTATGTCTTCTAATCAATGCTGACAATAGTCATCTGAGATTCAGCCAGACACTCAACTAATCATTTCTGCAACCTAATATATGCTATGCACTGTCATGAGCAATAACCAGGGCCAGGGGCCATCAAGGGAGGCTTCCCAGACCTGAGGCTTGGCAAAGCCTTAAAGGAGGAAGCTACCTGGGGAATAAAGGATGATGCTGCAGGACACGGGAGTGCATGAGCCCAGGAATGGAGGGGCCACAGAACATGAAATTCTCAGGGGTGTGGAGAGAGGGAGCAGGGGGAATGGCAGAAGAGTTGGATCCAGCTAGGTCCTATGAAAAGAGAGCAACCTTGGCACTGAGCTGTGAATGGTGGGAACTCTGGATGGTGGTTCTCAAGAAATATTTGTTGAATGAATAAATAAATGTATGAATTCAGAGCCAGTGGAGAATGAAGTAAAGACCAATGGGAAAAAAGAAATAACCATTAGGAAGTGTCTCAGGGAACAGAAGCCAAGACAGAGTCAGAGGTGCAAGCAACTCACTGGGAGTAATGCTTACGAAAGGCAAAGGACAGAAGAAGCACAAGTAGGCAAGGAAAAAGTTGACTGTAGTGCAGGCCAGACATGGTGAAAAGAGCAGGTGGAGGAAGGAAGAAGGATCAGGTAGGAAGTGCTGCAGACTGAAGCCCCTCTACACATTTCTCAGCCTGCCCAACAAGAAGCTCCGGTGCAAAAATTGTCCATACAGGAGTTTGGGCAGAAATGGTCAGGCTTGACTGTTAGCTGGAAGTCTGCCACTTCTCTCTACTCCCTGGCAGCAGACTCTTCCCGAAGGCAGATGTAAGCAGCTCACGGACATGGCTACCACAGTAGAAGATGTGATAAGCAGGCTGATTCCAGAACACCAAGGAGGAAATAGCCAGCTCTGTCCTGGGCAAACTTCCCGGGAGGGAACATCTCAGAGGAGATTTGGAGGTTGAGAACAAACACTCATTAGATAGAAAAAAGGGGGCTACAATTCTTGGAGTAGAAAATGAACCCCCAAAGGCACTGATGCGGGGACAAGTCTGAAATGTGCTGCAGGACATGTAGTTCAGTGATTCTGGAGCTTAGGAAGGGCTGGGGAAGTTGGGGGTGGGTGGGGAACAGATCTCCAAGGGCTGTGTATGCCACGGGACTGATTCAGACTTCACGGCCCAGGCAATGGGGAGCTCTGAAAGAAGGAGTTGTGTGTGCATTTCTGTTTTAGATCTCTGTAGCAGCACTTGGAGATAGTGAAAGGGCAGGAAGGCAGGGAAGCAATGTTGCCATGTTCCAGGGAGACGATGAGCCCCCAGGCACATCTTGGATTGGACATGGATGTAGCCGTAGCTCTGAGCTCTGAAACTAGTCTAAGGGAAAGAGGCTTCAGGAAGGATTTTACCAGGTCCAACAAACATTTGCATGCTTTCTGCCTGTGTTACAGACCTTAAAGCTTTACTAGCCTGCTCTCAGAGCTTTCATGGTTTTCATTATTAAAAAATAATTTACATATAATAAATGCACCTTTTTTTGGTGTATGGTTCTGTGAGTTTTGATGAACATGTACAGTCATGTAACCACCCAAATTGAGATATAAAACAGTTCCAACACTCCAAAGAATTCGTGTCCCTCTGTAGTAAACCCTCCCTCCTCCTCAGTCCCTGACAATCACTGATGTTTTCTGTCTCTATAGTTTTTCCTTTTCCAGAATGTCATATAAATGAATCATTTTTCGGTCTGACTTCTTTTCATTCAGCACCATGCATTTGAGATTCATCAATGTTGGGCCTGTATCAGTAGTTTTTTTCCTTTTGTTGCTGAGCAGTATTTCATTATTTGGATACACCACAGTGTGTTGTATTGTCTCCCCAGTTTAGGGATATTTGGGTTGTTTAAATTTGGGGTAGCTACAAAGAAAGCCACTATAAACATTTCTGTGTGAACAGAGGTTTTGATTTCACTTGGTTAAATACCTGCAAGTGGGATTTCTGGATGTGGTAAGTGTATGTTTAATGTTATAAAAACTGCAAAACTGATTTCCAGAGTGGTTGTACCATTTTGCATTCCCAGCCACAATGTACAAGATTTGTAATAGCTCCTTAATCTCATCAACCCTTGCTATTATCGGTTTTAATTGTAGCCACTGGATTAACTGTACTGTAGTACTCCACTGTACTTTTACTTTGCATTTTTCTAATGACTAAACATGTTAAGCATCTTTTATTATGGTACTTACTTGCCATTCATATATCTTCTTTTGAGAAGTGTTCAAATCTTTTGCTTATTTAAAAAATTGTATTTGTTTTCTTATCATTTAGTTTTGAGCATTCTTTATATATTCTAAAGACAAGTTCTTTATCAGATATGTAATTTGCTTTGTCTCTGATCTTAGGGGAAAGTATTTTATTTTCACCATTATATATGATATTGCTTGTAGGTTTTTTGTAAATGTTCTTTATCAGATAAAGTTCTCTTCTAGTCCTAGTTTACTGAGAGTTTTTATCATGAGCAATATTGAATTTTGTCAAAGGCCTTTTCTGCATCTAATGAGATGATCATATGGGTTTTTCTTCTTTAGTCTACTGATTTAAGAAATTACATTGATTGATTTTTGAACATTAAACCAGCCTTGTATTCCCAGGATAATTCCTGGGTCATATTGTATTATCCTTTTTATATTTTGCTGGATTTGAATGACTAATAATTTTGTTGAGAGTTTTTGCATCAATTTAATGACACAAGGGGTTTTGGTCTATAGTTCTCTTATAATTTCTTGGCCTTGTTTTGGTATCAGGATAGTCCTGGCCTTATAAAGCTGGGAAGTGAGTTAGGAAGTGTTCCCTCCTCTACCCTCTCAAAATTTTATATTTTGTCCTTTCACTATTCTTTGTAGTCTTTTTCATCTGTGTTACTAGTTTTGCTAATTCAGTTTGCTTCAGAGACTCAATTGTGCTACACACAATAGCTCAAGGTGATGAAAAAAGACAAGTAAGACTAGGTTTTTTTTTTTTCCATATGGAGGTAAAGAGAAATAATAATAATAGGTACCTACCCTTTATTGAGCTCCTGGTCTTTTCCATGCATTTTACTCATATGAACACCAAACCTTTGTTGCAACCCTGTTATGCCAGCTTTAAGCATTTTAAGGATGAGAAAGTTTAGGCTTAGAAGAGGGAAGTAGCCTGTCTAAAGTCACATTATTCTCAAAAGCAAGAGCTGTGGTTTGAAGCCTGGTTCAAAGCTTATGTTCTTCCCACCTTATTTTGTCATCTCTACTAATGCTTATGAACACCTACTAAGTGCCATCTATTTTAAATCTTTTATTTCTTGTCACTGTTAATCACTGCAACTTTATGAGATTTGTGCTACTTTCTCCCACGTTAACAGCAAGGAAATTAAGATTCAGAAAGGCCAAGGACCTCACCCAAGGTTGGTCAACACTGTTAGGCACCAAACACCCAGGAGTGATGGGGCAGGAGGTAATTAGCATAATGGCGTCATTAACACATACAATATATAACTCATACAAAGCAGCTTTGCAGAGTGCCACAACTGAGGCATAAACAGAGAGGCTGAAGGCAAGGAAGAGATTAATTATGACTTGGGCACTCCTAGAAAGTGTACAGGAAAGAGGTCAAGCAGCCAAGACCAGAAGACATGGTTGGAGGAGTTCGGGCGTCAATTGAGTTAAAAATCTTGGTAAACAGCAAAGGATGGCCATGGCCCATAGAGTGAATAAAAGCCAAAACAAGGAGGTCATGCAGCTAGATTTTCCAGTGTCATGACGCTGATGCTGAGCAGAGCTGACATGCACTAACACAGGAATAGCTCACATCTGCAGAGCACTTGCCTTCCAACACATTATCTCCCGCAGCTCACAGGGTGATTACCCGCACTTTATAGGTGAGGAAACCGAGGCTCAGAGGGTAAAGCCCCTGCTGGTGACTATACACAACCTATCAGAAGCTCCAGGCCTAGACCTGATTCCTAGTCCAGTACTCCTTAAGACAGAAAGTCAAGCACAGAGCAGCCCAGGTGTCATGAATCTGAATGAAGCCAGATAAGTACCCCAAAAGGCTCTGAGACTTTTGGTGACATGGACTCTTAAATCTGTGGCAACAAAAATTCTGGAATTTGGGGGGCCGTGGGCTTTGGAATCTTGAGGTCAAAAGGTCTGAAATTCTAATGACGCAGGCCGTAAAATCTTAGGGTCAAAGATTCCAAAATAGTGCTAATAGGCTCTGGGACAGTGGGGATAGAGAGACTTGGGCATGTAGGCAAAGGTGCTGTTATCCTGAGGGCATATCCTGAGTGATGGCTTGCCAGGGATGTCCTTTAGGGGGAGCAGACAGACCAGCTAAAGGCCAATAAGCAAAATGGCTTTGCAAAAGGTACAAGGAGTCTAGTCAAACATTAAACTTCCCAATCAGGCCGGAACTGTCACCCCAGCAAACCTGCTGTGCTTAGAGCACCTGGTGGTAAACACACCTATCTCAGGTTGTTAACTTTTTACCTCTTCTTGCCCCTGGAGACAGGAGACAAAAGACAGGAGTTGAGGGTCGAGTACAGCCTTCAGATTTAAACCTCGAATGTCTAGACCTCCCTATCTCTTTCCAACCCTTTAGGTTTAAAAAATCAGACCATATTTTCATTTTCAAGAGAATGAGGGAGAGGAAATGCAGCTCCAAGACCTCACCCCAAATTCTTTTCTTTGCACTTGGTTTATTGAGAAGAATACAAAATTCTTACCCCTCCATAAGCTTCTAAGACCGTCCCAAGTGACAAATAAGATGACCTTTCTCTCTCCTTAACCTCAGTATTCCTCCTTCAAAATTTCAAGATGTTTCCCTTCCACTTAGTTCCTTACACCCGCCACTTCTGTGCATCTGAATCATCTCTCTCACCACCCTCTCGCCAAGCCTCCTCATCACCCCTCTCTCACTTTTAGTCTCCATCTTTCTGTCCCTACATTTCCAGCTCCCATGACTTTGCTAAGTTTTTAAATTAAATCCTCATGACAAATCTATAAGACTAATACACTGACATTAACCATATTTTATAAATAAGAAAACTGAGGTTCAAGGGGGTTACGTGACTAACATAAGGGCACACGGGTTGTAAATGTCAGAGCTGAGTTCAAACAATAACTTTAATGCTATTACTAATAATAGTAAAATTGCTAATACATAGTAAGAGTAACTGCAATTAATGCTACTATGATGCATGCTGTGGGACAGACACTATTCTAAGCACTTTTAAAATATTAAAGTAATTTTTGAGGGTGATATGGCTATTATTATTCTCATTTTACAGATGAGGAAACTGAGGCCCAGAGAGCTGAGTAAATTGCCCAAAGTCTCAAAGTTCTGTTTGACTCTGAAGCCTGTGAAGCCTGGTCACTTCCCTGCCCAACTCTATTGGCCTCTCCCATCAGTCCACTCTATGATTGTATTTTCTTTTCTTTCTTTTTTTTTTTTTTTTTTTTTTTTGAGACAGGGTCTCACTCTGTCACCCAGACTGGAGTGCAGTGGTGCGATCTTGTCTCACTGCAACCTCTGCCTCCCGGGTTCAAGTGATTCTCCTGCCTCAGCCTTCCAGGTAGCTGGGATTACAGGTGCGTGCCACCATGGCCAGCTAATATTTGTATTTTTAGTAGAGACAAGGTTTCACTATGTTGGCCAGGCTGGTCTTGATCTCCTCACCTCAAATGATCCACCCGCCTCATCCTCCCAAAGTGCTGGGATTACAGGTGTGAGCCACTGTGCCCAGCCTATGATTGTACTTTCTAGGCTATGGTTCTTCGGATCTGTGTCCCCAAGGTCCCAGAAACTTTCTAGAGAAAATAATACATTTTTCTGAGAAAAAGTCCCTGAAAATCAAGACACAACATTTCAGATTTCATTCATTCATTCACTCATTCAAAAAATAAACATATTTACCAAGCTCCTAGGATGTACCAGGCATGGAGCCTACATTCCAGTGGGAGAGACAAAACTATAAGAAGGAGGCAACTAAGTGCCAAGATTTCAGGAAGTGACAAATGGTGTAAAGAAAGGAGAGAGAGGTAGGCGGGGCACAGTGGCTCACGCCTGTAATCCCAGCACTTTGGGAGGCCAAGGCAGACGGATCACGAGGTCAGGAGATCGAGACCATCCTGGCTAACACTGTGAAACCCCATCTCTACTAAAAATACAAAAAAATTAGCCGGGTGTGTGGTGGGCGCCTGTAGTCCCAGCTACTCGGGAGGCTGAAGCAGGAGAATGGTGTGAACCTGGGAGACAGAGCTTGCAGTGAGCCGAGATCGGGCCACTGCACTCCAGCTTGGGCGATAGAGCAAGACTCCGTCTCAAAAGAAAAAAAAAATAATAATAAAAAGAAAGAAGAGAGAGGTAAGGTGTTCAGAAGCATGGGCAGCAGGAAATCATGCAAATCTAATGGACCCTTTATCTGTCCAGGACCAGCCACATACACACATCAGAAGAGAGCTCTGTGCAGATGAGCTCAAGTATAAAGGCCCAAGACAGAAATGAGTTTGATGAGCTGAAGAAACAGCAAAGTTAGAATGAGATCAGAATGGGAAAAGACAAGGGAGATGATGAAGCTGGAGAGGCAGACAGAGAGCACAGAAGGAAAACAGGGGCCAGGGGATGGCTCTGGATTATTCCACATGTGAAGAATGGCTTCAGCCAAGTCACAAGGGAAGTGAGAAGAGATGGCTGCAGACAAGCAAACAAGGAATGCTGAGCTCACCAACAGAGGCTGCCTCGGTCACTCTCAGCCTCTGCTGATTCACTCGTCTTTGCCTCTACCAGAGTGGTGGAAAAATGTGTCCCCAAATTTTCAGCCACCAACACCTCCCTATGTGAACTTGGCAAGTCGCTCAGCCCCTTGATGTCTCCTTTATTTTTTATCTGCAAAAAGGCAATGGAAACTCCACTGGCAGTGGTGAGGGGGCACTGGTGGGAAGGGTACTGATGCTCACCTGGGACCTGAACCCTTGGGCCTGCTTCCAGTAGAGAAGAGGGTTTCATTTCCGTGGGCACAGTGCCCCACACAGAGCAGGCCTTCAATGCATTTTTATGAACTAAATGTCCCAAACAGAGATCTGGAGGTCACAGGGGCATGGTGGTCCCAAAAGTCCTGCAGGGCATGGTAAGCCAGGCTGGACTGATGGGCTGAGACTTCAGGCGTCGACTCTCCTTTCCTCCCCAGCGCCAAGCCAAGCGGGCAGCAGCAGGCCCACTGCACCAGAGGCAGACAGGCAGGCGGGCAGGCAGGGGCGAGTCATCGGGCACATGGAGAAAGGAGGGCATTGTCTGCTGAAACCCAACCAAGGGGCCAGGGCCACAATGCGGGGGATTCTTTTGGGAGAAACAGACATGGCTTTCTTTCCACCAACTGCTGCTTAAACAGCCCACTGGATTTGATTCTATCCCATTTCACCCCAAACAAATGATAAATAAATAAACCTTGGTGAGCTCAGAGCACTGGAGCCAGGACCCTGAGCCTAGAACAGACTGGATGCCGTCCTCCCAGGGCCAGGGAGTTCCTTTGTCAGGTGGGCCCGCCTACACTCCTGCTGCCAGGTATGTGGGTGAGTTTGCAGAGGGGCAGGCTCCAGGCTAGGCTGCTGCGGCCTGAGGAAGTCCCTCCAGATGTGGGGCACAGCTGGTTGGCTGTGCCATCTCATACCCAAGGTAGAGAGGGTGGGGCAGCAGAGGAAAAGATGGGGGCCTGGCTGCAGGGAAGCAGGCTGAGCAGTCCCTAGTAGCCCGGTGTCCTCTGACCCCTCACCTTGGTCCAGAGGCTTGGTCTGGAGAGACCATCTGCACAGTCCTCTGAAACTCTCAGTGAGGTGACAGCAGTGGCCCATGCTTCTCCCCACTTTATATACTAGGGAACAAGTCCCAAAAGTGATGTGCCCCGCTCAATGTCACAAAGTGAGATAATCACAGAATGCCAGAGGTTCCCTCCCGTGTCCTTTTTTTCTAGATGGTCAAACTGAGGCATAAAGCAGTCAAAGGCATTGCCTGATCCCATAGGAGCTGGGAGTTCTGACCCCTGCATCGCTCAGCACCCTCAGTGCCCTGAAGAGGGAGCAGCGACTTCTATTGCAGAAGCCTTCTTCTGACCCAAAGCTTCCTCCCTGGCACTCACTGCAGTTGGGAGAAGTAAGCTACAGCCTCACCTAAAGGAGCCAGGCATTATGCCATGTGCCACACTCCAAGGCACCTACAGTCTGAGGCCCCCTCCATGTCAGGTTCCCATCCTGCCCCTGGTTCTTTGCTCCTGTTGAGCTCCTATCCTGCTTTCCTTCCTACCTGTCCAAATGTGCTCCTTCATTGAGGCCCCAGGTACATCTCCTCCAGGAATCCTCCCTTGCTCCCTCCTGCCTCTGCTCATCTAGCCCTTCTTACAGCCTCTGCTGCCCATTCTGATAGCTGGGCTCCACTAAGACCCTGAGCAGACATCTGGTGGCCTTTAGATAAGGTGCAGAGGGCAGCCAAGCCCACAATGGCCACAAACAGAAGAATGCCAGGCTACTTCAGGCCTCCAGTCCCATCTGCTGACTGCTGTTCTCTGTATCTAAGACACCCTTTCTGCTCTTTGTATGGCAGTTCCTAATCCTCCAGGACTCCTTCCCTGACACTCGAAGGCCTCGAGCACACCTCTCCCTCTGTCTCAGCACCTGTCACCCACTCCTGGACTCACATGTGTCTGTCTATCTCTCCCACTAGACTGTGTGTCCCTCAAGGGCGTAATACATTGTGCAGAGAGAAGGGCCACCCAGGGCTCCTGTGACCCAGGCCCTCCTTGACTTATACAGTATTTACTGAACACCAAATGAGCAAAATGAACTATCCCCAGTCTTACAGAACTACTCTCCCACATGACCTGTCTCCTGGAGGACACCGAGGCCTCCCCAAGGGCAGGTCCAGTCTCTTTCTCTTCTGGGTCTTCTCGACTATCAGCTCCCAGAGGAAGGTGCGGGTCTCCTCTTGCCCTGTCTTTTGGGACAGCCGCACTCTGCTGTGACAGAAAAGGGACTCTGCCTGGCTGGCATCTCTGGCCCCAGGTTCTGGTCCAATCCATGGGGCAACTCAGCAATCCCTAGCTACCATTAGGGGAACATTTGCTTGGGGGAACATTTGCTTTAATTTTCTTAGCTCCTGACAGTGCATAATTGAAAAATGCCACAGAGGACTGCCCAGCCCAAGCAGCCCAGAAAAATGGGCCGAGAGCACCAGGCATGCAGGTACTGCACTTGTCCCAGTGCAGATGATGCACAGAGGGGTGTGGGGCAACTTTGAGAAAGAACCAGCTTTTTGAGAGAAATCAGGACAGCATAAATGGAACACATACAAACGTGCAAAAGCCTAATTTCTTCCTTAGAGCTTGGAGAGACGCACTTTCACAGCTTTTCATGACATCATGTCAAACATTTCCAGGCATCCAAGACACAGTTTTGCCCTAAATACTGTGTATTCAAGTCACATGGTCCTTTGCTTTTAAAATCATAGGGCTGGACACAGGAAGCTCCCCACCCTATACCTTCCTAAAAGCTCCGTCCTACCATTTCTCAGACAAAAGGAAACCTCTCCTACTTACAGAGGCCTCCGGGGCAGTTGGGGTGGCCATACAATCAGGCAACCTGTAACTTACCAGCTCTGAGACCTTGAGCTAGTCACTTCACCTCTTTGAGTCCCCCTACTTTCTTAAATAAAATGAAGATAATGAATCAGCACATAAGCCAGTATCCCAAGGTTGCTATATGGATTAATGAAATAAAATGAGTTCTGACCTTTATGCCTGGCTTCAGAAGACACTTAGGAAATGTGAGTTTCTTATTCTTTCACCTAGCTTGGGGTTTGGTGGCTGAGTGGGGGCTGAATCCACCCAGTGCCTCCCACTCCAGTGCTCCAGTGCTCTTTCTAGTAAATGGCTCAGCCTCCCTCATAGCTGTTCACATGAATTCGGAGAATCAGACAACGTGAGCTCCCTTCTGTCTGAGTGGCCGACTCTTTTTCTTCTTTCAAGAGTTCTCATTTTAAGAATGTATAACATTTAATTCAAACTGGCATTTCTTGAGGGCCTACTATGTACCCAGTCATGGGAGAAGCTCAAGTCACAGCTTCACAGGATTGCAGAGACAAGAAATGCAAGTAACAAGGAAAGGCCAGTGAGGGTCACTACAGATTCAAATCACGGTAGAGATGGTAAGGAGGTGACTGGCAACTTGGAGATGAGTGATTCCTGGCAGCTGGAAGTGTGGGGTATGTTCCCCAAATTGGACTTCCTCCCCTACCACCTTCCACTCTGACTGCAGTCTCAAAGGCCATGGCTGAACACCCAGGGGCTTTTCCAGGCCTCCGTTTACCCCATTTCCCTCCCTTTCCCTGGAAACTGTCTCCTCAATGGGCTGATATCCATTTGGGAGTCACTACAGTATCAAGTACTAGCCAGGGCTGTGGCACCACAGAGAAAAATCAGACCTGCAAAGCTCACAGTCTAGTGGGGAGACCCTGAATAAAGCAGGTGACTGCAATAGAATCTGACAGGTGCTATGGAGAGGGAGGAGCCATGGGCTTACAGAGGAGGGAATAACTAAAATGGTGCTTGGGACAGGAACTGCTGAGAGTTTTCAAGGAGAGACAACAAACATTTGAGCTGTCATGTGAATAAGGTCGTGGGGTTGAGCTATGTGCATGTCACTGTGTGTGTGTCTGTATGTGTGTGCCTGTGTGTTGCGGAGAATGGATTTCAGCAGAGGGGCCAGGCTGGACGAAGTTGCAGAAGCTCTCAGCGGCTGGCACAGCAGGAAGTTGCACTCTTTTTGCTTCCTGCATCTCTGGCCATGGTGACCCTTGCCTTCTGAGGCTGCCACATCTCCTCTTCCTGCTCTTAGCTCCAGGTATGGCTGTGGTCCCAACTTCTGTCATTGGTCTCCTCTCTGTCTCTGTGCTCCATCCCTCCAAGCCTGTGGCTTCGGCTCTGCCCAGAGGCCTCCCACATCTTCATCTCCAGCCCAGACCCTACTCCCTAGGGCCCAACTGCCTGACAGCCTGTCCACTTGAGTCCTTCACATTCACCTTGAGTCCTGTGGGATGGAAATGGAATTCCTTTCTACCCACAGCTGGCCTCTTGGCCTCTCCTCCTAAACAGTCCCCCATTCCCCATCCACACATGTCTTCTGTAGCTCATCAGCCACTAAGCCCTAGGGCTTTTTCCTTCATGACATTTCTCCCATCTCTCCTTTCCTCAGTTTCTACTGCCTCCACCTAAGCCTTTTCATTTTCCAGACTATAGTTACAACTACTACGTTAAGAACCTTCTCCCGCTGTTTCTAGTCACCTCCTTCCCCAGTCCCTTTCTCCTTCCACCACCTCTCCCAAATCCCGCCTGTTACTGATCCAGTTGTCTACAGCACAGAATAGTACAGACTCCACGTCACCATCTGATCCATTATCCTAATACTCAACTCTGACTATAACTGTCTGCTCAAAGAATGGCCAGTGGCTCTTCACCACCAGCTCAGCCTTCAAAGCTCCCCATTCTGGCCTTATCTCCTCAGTCTGATCTCAGGCTTCTCCCCTACAAGCACTGACCATCACTTCATTCCAAACACACAAATTTACTCATATTTCTGGATCTCATCATGCCCAAGCCCACCTGAATCTCCCCTTGATTCCTTCCTCTGCCTGGAATTTCTCAGCTCTGGTCATCCAAGCCCTAACCCTCCTTCTAGGCCTCATTTCAACTCTAAGGCCCTCATGAAGCCTCCTACCCCAACTCATTAGCCTCAGATGTCTCCAGGACCCCCTCCCATCCAGGCTTCAGGTCACTGCTGACTGTGCTCATGTGGTCCTTGGGCCAAGCCTGCCAGGCCAGGAGTCCACTGCTCAGCAACCCCAGGAGGGGGACAGATAGTCTGGCTACCACAGATTTCAGTTATACCTGCAAGGAACTCTAAGCAGCCTGTACCTCCTAGGCTGCTGCCTCAGTCTCCTTGCTTGGCACATAGATGAATCTCTGTATCCTGGCCTACCTAGTTGGCTTCTGACTGCCCTGCCTGATCTTGCCAGTTTCCTGGATGCTATTTGCTAAACTTGCTGCCATTCAGTAAGAGTATGTGGGGGTGGGAGGTGGTGAGAGGTATTTGTTGCTCAGAACCACAACAAGGAGGAAGCTGCTGGTCACTTAATTTTGCCTATGATCTCCTGCCTCTACCACCATAGAAACCCACCCACCACATAAGACCTGAAGACTACAGAGAACTACAGCTTCAGAAACCCAACTCATGGAGGTTCCAAGATGGCCAAATAGGAACAGCTCCAGTCTACAGCTCCCAGGGTGAGTGACGCAGAAGACGGGTGATTTCTGCATTTCCAACTAAGGTACTGGGTTCATCTCACTGGGGCTTGTCGGACAGTGGGTGCAGCCCATGGAGCATGAGCTGAAGCAGGGCGGGGCATCGCCTCACCTGGGAAACTCAAGGGGTCGGGGAATTCCCTTTCCTAGCCAAGGGAAGCCGTGACAGATGGTACCTGCAAAATCGGGTCACTCCTACCCTAAGACTGTGCTTTTCCAATGGTCTTAGCAAACAGCACACCAGGAGATTATATCCCATGCCTGGCTCAGAGGGTCCCATGCCCATAGGGCCTTGCTCACTACTATCACAGCAGTCTGAGATCAAACTGCAAGGCGGCAGGGAGGCTGGCGGAGGGGCGCCCGCCATTGCTGAGGCTTGAGTAGGTAAACAAAGTGGTGAGGAAGCTGAAACTGGGTGGAGCCCACCACAGCTCAAGGAGGCCTGCCTGCCTCTGTAGACTCCACCTCTGGGGGCAGGGTATAGCTGAACAAAAGGTAGCAGAAACTTCTGCAGACTTAAACGTCCCTGTCTGACAGCTTTGAAGAGAGTAGTGGTTCTCCCAGCATGGAGTTTGAGATCTGAGAATGGACAGACTGCCTCCTCAAGTGGGTCCCTGACCCATGAGTAGCCTAACTGGGAGGCACCTCCCACTAGGGGCTGACTGACACCTCATACAACCGGGTGCCCCTCTGAGACAAAGCTTCCAGAGGAAGGATCAGGCGGCAACATTTGCCATTCTGCAAGATATGCTGTTCTGTAGCCTCTGCTGGTGACACCCAGGCAAACAGTGTCTGGAGTGGACCTCCAGCAAACTCCAACAGACCTGCAGCTGAAGGTCCTGACTGTTAGAAAGAAAACTCACAAACAGAAAGGACATCCACACCAAAACTCCATCTGTATGTCACCATCATCAGAGACCAAAAGTAGATAAAATCACAAAGATGGGGAGAAACCAGAGCAGAAAAGCTGAAAATTCTAAAAATCAGAGTGTCTCTTCTCCTCCAAAGAAACGCAGCTCCTCACCAGCAACAGAACAAAGCTGGATGGAGAATGACTTCGACGAGTTGAGAGAAGAAGGTGTCAGATGATCAGTAATAACAAATTTCTCCGAGCTAAAGGAGGATGATTCAATCCATCACAAAAAAGCTAAAAACCTTGAAAAAAGATTAAACGAATGGCTAACTAGAATAAACAGCATACAGAAGACCTTAAATGACCTGATGGAGCTGAAAACCATGGCATGAGAACTTCATGACGCATGCACAAGCTTCAGTAGCCGATTCGATCAACTGGAAGAAAGGGTATCAGTGATTGAAGATCAAATGAATTAAATGAAGTGAGAAGTTTAGAGAAAAAAGAGTAAAAAGAAACAAAAAAAGCCTCCAAGAAATATGGGACTATGTGAAAAGACCAAATCTACATCTGATTGGTGTACCTGAAAGTGACGGGGAGAATGGAACCAAGTTGGAAAACACTCTGCAGGATATTATCCAGGAGAACTTCCCCAACCTAGCAACGCAGGCCAACATTCAAATTCAGTAAATACAGAGACCACCACGAAGATATTCTTCGATAAGAGCAACTCCAAGACACATAATTGTCAAATTCACCAAAGTTGAAATGAGGGAAGAAATGTTAAGGGCAGCCAGAGAGAAAGGTCGGGTTACCCACAAAGGGAAGCCCATCAGACTAACAGCTGATCTCTTGGCAGAAACTCTACAAGCCAGAATAGAGTAGGGGTCAATATTCAACATTCTTAAAGAAAAGAATTTTCAACCCAGAATTTCATATCCAGCCAAACTAAGCTTCATAAGTGAAGGAGAAATAAAATACTTTACAGACAAGCAAATGCTGAGAGATTTTGTCACCACCAGGCCTGCCTTACAAGAGCTCCTGAAGGAAGCACTAAACATGGAAAGGAACAACCGGTACCAGCCACTGCAAAAACATGCCAAATTGTAAAGACCATCAAGGTTAGGAAGAAACTGCATCAACTAACAAGCGAAACAACCAGCTAACATCATAATGACAGGATCAAATTCACACATAACAATATTAACCTTAAATGTAAATGGGCTAAATGCTCCAATTAAAAGACACAGACTGGCAAACTGGATAAAGAGTCAAGACCCATCAGTGTGCTGTATTCAGGAGACCCATCTCATGTGCAGAGACACACACAGGCTCAAAATAAAGGGATGGATGAAGATCTACCAAGCAAATGGAAAACAAAAAAAAAGCAGGGGTTGCAATCCTAGTGTCTGATAAAACAGACTTTAAACCAACAAAGATCAAAAGAGACAAAGAAGGCCATTACATAATGGTAAAGGGATCAATTCAACAAGGAGAGCTAACTATCCTAAATATATATGCACCCAATACAGGAGCACCCAGATTCATAAAGCAAGTCCTTAGAGACCTACAAAGAGACTTAAGACTCCCACACAGTAATAATGGGAGACTTTAACACCACACTGTCAACATTAGTCAGATCAGTGAGACAGACAGTTAACAAGGATATCCAGGAATTGAACTCAGCTCTGCACCAACCGGACCTAATAGACCTCTACAGAACTCTCAACCCCAAATCAACAGAATATACATTCTTCTCAGCACCACATCACACTTATTCCAAGATTGACCACATAGTTGGAAGTAAAGCACTCCTCAGCAAATGTAAAAGAACAGAAATTATAACAAACTGTCTCTCAGACCACAGTGCAATCAAACTAGAGCTCAGGATTAAAAAACTCACTCAAAACTGCTCAACTACATGGAAACTGAACAACCTGCTCCTGAATGACTACTGGGTACATAACGAAATGAAGGCAGAAATAAAGATGTTCTTTGAAACCAACGAGAACAAAGAAACAACATAACAGAATCTCTGGGACACATTTAAAGCACTGTGTAGAGGGAAATTTATAGCACTAAATGCCCACAAGAGAAAGCAGGAAAGATCTAAAATTGACACCCTGACATCACAATTAAAAGAACTAGAGAAGCAACGGCAAACACATTCAAAAGCCAGCAGAAGGCAAGAAATAACTAAGATCAGAGCAGAACTGAAGGAGATAGAGACACAAAAAGCCCTTCAAAAAATCGATGAATCCAGGGGCTGGTTTTTTGAAAAGATCAACAAAGTTGATAGTTAGCAAGACTAATAAAGAAGAAAGGAGAGACGAATCAAATAGATGCAATAAAAAAATGATAAAGGGATATCACCACCAATCCCACAGAAATACAAACTACCATCAGAGAATACTTTTATAAATACCTCTATGCAAATAAACTAGAAAATCTAGAAGAAATGGATAAATTCCTGGACACATACACCCTCCCAAGACTAAACCAGGAAGAAGTTGAATCCCTGAATAGACCAATAACAGGCTCTGAAATTGAGACAATAATTAATAGCCTACCAACCAAAAACAGTCCAGGACCAGATAGATTCACAGCCCAATTCTACCAGAGGTACAAAGAGGAGCTGGTACCATTCCTTCTGAAACTACTCCAATCAATAGAAAAAGGGAATCCTCCCTAACTCATTTTATGAGGCCAGCATCATCCTCATACCAAAGCCTGGCAGAGACACACACACAAAAAAAGAGAATTTTAGACCAATATCCCTAATGAATATCGATGCAAAAATCCTCAATAAAATACTGGCAAACCGAATCCAGCAGCATATCAAAAAGCTTATCCACCACGATCAAGCTGGCTTCATCCCTAGGATGCAAGGCTGGTTCAACATATGCAAATCAATAAATGTAATCCACCATATAAACAGAACCAAAAGACAAAAACCACATGATTATCTCAATAGATGCAGAAAAGGCCTTCAACAAAATGCAACAGCCCCTCATGCTAAAAACTCTCAATAAACTAGGTATTGATGGGACGTATCTCAAAATAATAAGAGCTATTTATGACAAACCCACAGCCCATATCATACTGAATGGGCAAAAACTGGAAGCATTCCCTTTGAAAACTGGCACAAGACGGGGATGCCCTCTCTCACCACTCCTATTCAACATAGTGTTGGAAGTTCTGGCCAGGGCAATCAGGCAGGAGAAAGAAATGAAGGGGATTCAATTAGGAAAAGAGGAAGTCAAATTGTCCATGTTTGCAGATGACATGATTGTATATTTAGAAAACCCGATTGTCTCAGCCCAAAATCTCCTTAAGCTGATAAGCAATTTCAGCAAAGTCTCAGGATACAAAATCAATGTGCAAAAATCACAAGCATTCCTATACACCAATAACAGACAGAGAGCCAAATCATGAGTCAACTCCTATTCACAACTGCTACAAAGAGAATAAAATACCTAGGAATCCAACTTAAAAGGGATGTGAAGGACCTCTTCAAGGAGAACTACAAACCACTGCTCAAGGAAATAAAAGAGGACCCAAACAAACAGAAGAACATTCCACGCTCATGGATAGGAAGAATCAATATCGTGAAAATGGCCATACTGCCCAAGGTAATTTATAGATTCAATGCCATCCCCATCAAGCTACCAATGACTTTCTTCACAGAATTGGAAAAAACTACTTTAAAGTTCATATGGAACCAAAAAAGAGCCCGCATTGCCAAGTCAATCCTGAGCCAAAAGAACAAAGCTGGAGGCATCACACTACCTGACTTCAAACTATACTACAAGGCTACAGTAACCAAAACAGCATGGTACTGGTACCAAAACAGACATATAGACCAATGCAACAGAACAGAGCCCTCAGAAATAATGCCGCATATCTACAACCATCTGACCTTTGACAAACCTGACAAAAACAAGAAATGGGGAAAGGATTCCCTATTTAATAAATGGTGCTGGGAAAACTGGCTAGCCATATGTAGAAAGCTGAAACTGGATCTCTTCCTTACACCTTATACAAAAATTGATTCAAGATGGATTAAAGACTTACATGTTAGACCTAAAACCATAAAAACCCTAGAAGAAAACCTACGCAATACCATTCAGGACATAGGCATGGGCAAGGACTTCATGACTAAAACACCAAAAGCAATGGCAACAAAAGCCAAAATTGACCAATGGGATCTAATTAAACTAAAGAGCTTCTGCACAGCAAAAGAAACTACCACCAGAGTGAACAGGCAACCTACAGAATCGGAGAAAATTTTTACAATCTACCCATCTGACACAGGGCTAATATCCAGAATCTACAAATAACTTAAACAAATTTACAAGAAAAAATCAAACAACCCCTTCAAAAAGTGGGCAAAGGATATGAGCAGACACTTCTCAAAAGAAGATATTTATGCAACCAACAGACATGTGAAAAAATGCTCATCATCACTGGCCATCAGAGAAATGCAAATCAAAACCACAATGAGATACCATCTCACACCAGTTAGAATGGCGATCATTAAAAAGTCAGGAAACAACAGGTGCTGGAGAGGATGTGGAGAAATAGGAACACTTTTACACTGTTGGTGGGACTGCAAACTAGTTCAACCACTGTGAAAGACAGTGTGGAGACTCCTCAAGGATCTAGAACTAGAAATACCATTTGACCCACCCATCTCATTACTGGGTATATACCCAAAGGATTATAAATCATGCTGCTATAAAGACACATGCACACGTATGTTTACTGCAGCACTATTCACAATAGCAAAGACTTGGAACCAACCCAAATGTCCATCAATGATAGACTGGATTAAGAAAATGTGGCACATATACACCATGGAATACTATGCAGCCATAAAAAATGATGAGTTCATGTCCTTTGTAGGGACATGGATGAAGCTGGAAACCATCATTCTCAGCAAACTATTGCAACGACAGAAAGCCAAACACCACATGTTCTCACTCATAGGTGGGAATTGAACAATGAGAACACTTGGACACGGGAAGGGGAACATCACACGCCGGGGCCTGTTGTGGGGTGGGGGGATGGGGGAGGGATAGCATTAGGAGATATACCTAATGTAAATGACGAGTTAATGGGTGCAGCACAACAACGTGGTACATGTATACATATGTACCAAACCTGCACGTTATGCACATGTACCCTAGAACTTAAAGTGTAAAAACAAACAAACAAATAAATAAATAAAAAGAAACCCAACTCATTGACTGCAGCCCAGCAATAGATTATTTCCTATTGTAGCTCCTCTTCCTTTCACCCCTTCACCCATCTAGAAACTGAGGTGTCCTACAGTTTGCTCTGTCTCTCAGATCCTGATACCTGCCCCCTTTGCCCTTAATAATAATATCAGCATGAACAACAGCTAATGCTCAATTAGTCCTTACCACGTGCCAGGCACTGCTCTAGACACTTTACATATGATTGATTCATTTAGGCTTCACAGCAACCCTTTGAAGTAGGTACTGTGATTCCTCCATTTTATAGATGAGGAAACTGAGGCACTGGTACAAAGTGGTGAAGTTAGCACACAAACCCAAGCAATTCAGCTGCAGAGTGTATGCTCTATACCTCTCTGTTTCTCCCCAGATCCCATCTCACCCAGTGGGGCCACCCTGCACACTGATGCATTCTGACTCTAGCCCAAGGGCTCTTGGTGAGGACAAGCCATGTATTGAGCACAAGGCTGCCTCCATTCACAGGAAGGGGTATCTACTCCCACATAACAAAGATGCCATGCAAGCAGGCCTGCTGCCCCGCCGTGAAACACAATTAGCCTCCCTGGTTTACCTCTGAGTTGGAATTGAAGCTCTAGAATTTTGGCATCCATCCATCCATTCATTCATTCACTAAATATTAATTGTATGTGGGATGCCATTAGATGCAGGGAGACCAACTATGTCTGTGCCAGGGCAGTGAGCACAGACTGACTTAAACACACATACGAATTTATCTGATGGATCGTCTCCCAAAGACAGATTAACATAACAGGTTTCTGGAAGCAGGGACCATCTCACAAATAGGTGACTTGCAATATGCATTCACTGGATATTCAAGACATGCATGTTGAATACAGCGACAGATGGCAGGTGACATCTGGACAAGGCTTGGAAGTGCTCTGCTAGCCCCATCCCCAGGTTACAGGTGGTGAACAGAGAGACCAGCAAAGCATCAGAGCCCATCCCTCTTGATTCTCAGGCCAGGGCATTTTCCCACTGCCAGGAGCTGCCTCTTAGGGACCAAAGCACTTAGGAGAAAAAGAGCAGGCCCTTGCTTTAAGCCAGGACATAAAGAAACATGAGAGTAACTTCAATTAACCCAGAATGTGGGAAGAATTTTGAAGGTCAGGGAAATGGAAAAGGTAAGTCATGAAAAAAGTTAGCATTCAGCAGTGGAGATAAACTGAGCTGATAAACGGCCTTTGAACATTTGGGTTATTTATTTATTTGCTTCCAGTCCTTGTGCAGTTGTTAATTCTGGCTAAAATTTCCCAGTGCCTTGCTTGCATGTGTGGTACATTATGTACCCATCTGGCAGCAAGACTGACACCTCCCCTGGCAACCGTCCTATGAAGTTTCAAACACACTTACATGTTTGCGTCCCAATAACAACAAGACAGAAAGGGAACAGAAAAAGAACACCCCGGAGTTTACTGCGCTGACTCTCTGGCGGAGTTAACAACGTCTAGTCTGCAACAGGAGCTCAACAAACATGTGAGCAAGTGAACTTGGGCCAGGCCCAAAGGCCAGACTGAGACACCTCATGAAGCAAAAGAAAGATACAGGCCATGGTCACCGTGAGGCTACCATCTGAGGTCCCCTTTGCAGAAATAAAGATAATTTGTTCTGGAGTGTTGTTTTTTTCCCCCTACATTCCCCCTGCTTAAACAAACCCTGGTGAAAAGAACTCCTGCTCTGATTGTCCATGGAAAGTTTCCCTGGAATGTTGGACCGAGTTTCTGGAATGTATAGATTTAACGAGCCAATTTGGAAATTAACAGAGATGAAAAGGAAGCGTTACGGTCACATTACACACTGAATTCACTACCTGAGTCAGGCCCAAGGGGTCAAGGAGGTTCCCTGAAACTTCCCATGAGTGGGCTTAGCAGGTTCCAGACCCAAAACCTTGTCCAACCCGCAGTTTTAGGGGAGAGTCCACAAAGATCACCAATAGACTTGCTGAGGAAGGAGCACAAACTTCATTAAGAATTCTGAAACACTGTATAAACATCGTTTCCAAACTTTTTACTGAGATAAGACCTGCCTACCCTTAGACTACTGAGTGTCATGTTTTGAAATATTTTCCCTATTAACCAAACCACATCCCTGTCCCAAATGATTGTGTCAAATTGCCAGTCCAGGCTTCTAATCAGGAAAAAGATGACAGAGTTTGAGCCATGGATATTGATATATTTTGGGGGGTAGAAACTTGAAATTTTAGTTATCTTTATTTGCCTCTAGCAATTTGTTTTTAATGCTGAACAGCCTTGGGATTTCAACTAGGGTATTACGGTAACACCATATTACTGTATTCCTTCATGTCTAGGGAGCTCTGGGGTCCAGGCCGGACTTAGTTACTTCATCCAGTTTCTCTCATGTTGCAAAGGAGGCAGTGGAAGCCCAGAGAGAGGAAACAATGTACCGGCCAGGCACTGCATAAGTCAGAGACCCCTTGGAAGCCCTGCCCAGGAAGGATGCGGCCCCCACTTCCTACCCCAGGCAGACACCATTTCTTCTCATCCCAGATTTTTACCTAACTCTTTACAGCCTTTTCTCCTCCATTCAGGGCACTGAGCCATCTGACTCGATCTTCAAAGAATAAGTCTTTTTTGTTTAGAGATGTACTAAGGGGCTTTAAGCATTGCACATGATTCTTCCTCAATAGCCTTTGATTTTTCTTCCAGGACTTGATCAAATAGGTTCAACTCAAGCATCAAGACCAGGTTGCGGTTTCAACCAAAGCCACTAGGGAACAGGGAATATCCCATCAGATTTGGCGGGGGGCGGGGGGGGGTGGAGGGGGGGGTGGGGGGGGTGGATGGGGAGGTGGGGGGAAAGTTTCAACAAGAGTACAAGTCTGACTTTTCTGCAAAATTGGGGCTACATCTCTGCATTCAAAAGCGACAGGGTGTCTGGCAAGGTCCAGGACAAAGTTACAGATCTGGACTTGAAATTAAGCATCTCCTTCCCTGCAAAAAAAAAAAAAATCTCCTTGGGGGCCAGGAAGTCTAGTGCACTCCTGTGGATGAAGCCCAGGCAGAGGGAGGGCAAACCAGATGCCCCTGGACTCACTTTGGCAATATCTGACTGCCCCTTCCCTCCCCTTTTCCTGAGAATGTCTGCCCTGCTGACCCGGGCCCCAGCCCTCCCCCAGCCCCAACCCCAAACCCAGGGGACACTGGGGGAGTCTGTTTCTGAAAGGTCTCTGACAAGGTGCCCAATACCTAAATGTGACATCACACCTCTCTTCCCACTTCAGTACATGGGGAAATGGGGCTACCTCTTCCTTCATGACACCATGTGATCTGGCGTTGTTTTAAGTCTATGTTGAGTCTCTTCTACTTCTAGGATACTAGGATGACCACTCAGGATTTCAGATCATGAAGAGCAAGGGTACTCGAAGAAGGGTCTGGAAACCTAAGGCTATCCCAGACCCATGGAGAATAGAGCAGGAAAGGAAGAATCTCTGACTCTCCCATCTCTATTCCCCCTCTATCCCGTCAAGAAGAATATTTTGCAGCAGACACCCCTCACTGTTTATGAAGGGGGAAATAACCTAAACAAACAAAAAGCCCCAGCTGCACTCCACATCACAGCCATATGAAGCCATACATGTCACTTGAAGAACTGTCTGGCGCTGTTTACAAAAAGGCCTATTAAGTCCTCTTGAAGGTCAGCACGGGGTCTGAGGGTTTGAGTCCCATATACCAACTCAGGCATAGACAGCAGGGAGGTGGCAGGGCTGTGTGTTATGACGTCTGGAAGTGCCAGGGCAGGGGGCTGTGGGAACCCTTAGGAACCCTGGCACTGCTCCCCAACACTGACCCATGTAGCCCAGAACCTCCAATGTGACTCTGGAAGGCAGCCTGGCCACGCTTGTCAGTATTTATGGCCACACGGCTGGGCTCTTGACTTGCCCAGCTGTCAGCTGACACCAAAGAAAATGTCACCCATTTCTAGTTGTTAAGGTGAATATCTCACCTGAGGAGGTGAGAAGGGACATATCTCCACTCAGCTTTCAGTGGGATGACAAAAAGGAGGCGCTCACCAGACTGCCTGCTGAGTACATGACAGAAACTGGTGATTCCAGCCCACCTGGGAAGAGGAGTGCTAAGCTGAGCCACATGTATACAGTAGATGTGCAGATTTATATTTGGCTAACACAGCTTTGCCAATCTCAAGAAGGAATTTAAAATCAATCAGGTTGGCCTGGTGCAGTGGCTCACACTTGTAATCTCAGCATTTTGGGAGGCCGAGGTGGGCAGATCACTTGAGGTCAGGAGTTTGAGACCACCCTGGCCAACATGGTGAAACCCCATCTCTACTGAAAATATAAAAATTAGCCAGGTGTGGTGGCGCACACTTGTAATCCTAGCTACCTGGGAGGCTGATGCAGTAGGATCGCTTGAACCCAGGAGGCAGAGGTTGCAGTGAGCTGAAATCACACCACTGCACCACAGACTGGGTAACAGAGCAAGACTCTGTCTCAAATAAAATAAAATAAAATAAAATAAAATAAAATAAAATAAAATAATCGGGTCAATCCTTCAAATACACAGTTTAGTGTAGTTCAATAAAGTTGAACAAATCTTAAAAATGGGAGAAAAACAGTTCAATAGCTTGGCAGATGTTTAAATCCCCTTGACCATGTGCTTGGATGGTTAGTGGCCTGGCCTCTGCTGGCACACAGCTCCTTGACAGGAGCTCATACCCTCAAGGCAGCTATTCTAAGACTGGACTTCTCTTTTAGCAAGTTCTTCCTACTGAGCTGAAATTGCCTCCTGGAAGCTTTTATTCACTAAGCAGGGCCATAAAAAACACATTAGATCCTGGTGCTTAGAGACAGCCCTTCAGAAATTGAATTAGCTGAGTTATCCACCCCTCACTATGTATTATGAGTGTATGTGAATAAGCAAGAAAACACACACACACACACACACACACACACACACACACAGCAATACTTCGCTTATCCAGAAGTCCACTATCTAGCAACTTCCCGTATCCAGAACATATGTTAAAACAACAAAATTAACACCGCACCACATCCATACACTTGACTCCTAGAACAATACCTCACCATCTTCACCTGAAATTATTTAGTTTATCTTTGGACTCTCGTTTACGTCTGGTTCTCTGGCTTTCTAGCTCACAAAAGATTAAAAACAACCAATACACTGCAAAGGATGCTGGCTCCAGTAAGAAGTCAAAATGTTCTGCCTGACTCTGTTAAGAGAGATAGATAAATGACTGGAAACTAGAAAAATAGGAACTAGAAAATAATAGCAGCCTAGAGTCATCCAGAGAAAAGGCAATACTATATACACCTCACCATGTGATATCCAAGAAAATTATAAATGACACTGAGTCTCCAAGAAAACTGTGAACCAGTTCAAGAGTTGGCTGCTGTACACAATAAACATACTTCTATAAACTTTTCATCCAACATGGTTATGCCAACTAACATCATGATACCTAACGGTTATAACTTTTTATCCAGATAATTCATTTCGGTGGAAGACTTCACTCTACAGTGATGTTGACTAAATGAGGTGTCACTGTGTGTTATCTTACAGTGTACAGCATGGTTTTCAAGGGAAGATGAGACTGATTGTAATGCATAATGCAATGATGAGCATGTGGTGGGCACCACCCTAGCTGACTGATTGCCATGGTAACTGGAACTAGGCAAGAAAGTATTACCTACTAGAGATACTTACATTACCTGCTTTCACAGAGATAAGAACTGTTCAAATTAGCATATTAATATTTGATCCCAAACAAATAACATCCCTGCCTTGTGATAACTATGCGTTCATGACCCAGATGCACATTTCCTCATGAATATGTATTTTCATTCTAATTTGCTCAGCAAATCCTTTTCCTAGAGTCCGAGAAGGTAAACTGCAGGCTGCTCCTACGACAACCACTATGGTTTTACTCCCCCTACTACTCAAGTCCCCAAACCAGCTGCCAGAAGGCCAGGACCTTGGGAGTGAGCTGCCACAAAGGGACAATAACTCTTAGCTGTCTGGGCAGCTAGAGGAAGTACAGCTAATATCAAACAACGGTTACTCCAGAGTCATTCATCTTGGGCTCAGGAACACAGGTTCACACTTTGGCATGCACATGCGTGCACACACACACACACACGCTCCAAGACAACATATCCCTTTGAATCACCTCAACCACTCACCATGTATGAGCCCCCAGGCAGAAGCTCCAGCAATGGTTAGGGTTCATAGGCTGCTCTAACTACATCAAACAAGACTAGCTCTGGGGTGGGCGTGGCACTTCAAGAGCCTTTTCACCCTGTTCTTCTCCTATTTCCACAGCACACATTACCTTCCAATCTACTATTTTATTTACTTGTTATGTTTATTATTTGCTATCTATCTGTCCTCACTAGAATGGAAGCTGCCTGAGGACCCTGAACATTGTTTTGTTTTGGGGTTGCGATTTCAGTACCCAGGCCACTCCCTGACAGTAGAGTAGGGGCTCAGTAATAACATGCTGAATGAAGACAAATGAATGGTGGCTGATCCTGCAGACTAAAGAAAGATATCAGCCCTGGTAAGCATATGCTGAATTGCAGTGTCCCATGCCTATCATTAACACATTATAGCCCTGTGTCAAGTCCAATAGAGCCTCAGAATCATTCTCAACCCAAGATTTCAGGAAGCCACTACCATTAGGTCCTCGTTAACATAGGAGCTCTGCTCACCATTCCCAGCCCAGGCTATTATCACAGAAGCCTGGAGGTTTTGTTTGCTTGCTTGTTTGGTTTTCTTTTGCAAGTGGATCCACAAGCAGGGATTTAGTGTCTTCTGACCTTGGGTAGGAAATAAGTGCTCACTGGGTATGTCTGCTTATAGGCAGGAACTCTGAGATGCAGGGCCAGGCTTTTAAAAAGCTGGCATTCTCTAAGTTTACACTCAGCCTGTCCCCCAGGTGCCATCCTCCAAGATCTTCATGCCGTGCAGAGGGAGATGAGACCACCACTCACAAGGGCTCAGTTAAGCAGTGATTCACTCAAGGACAGAAGCCAGCATAGGGCAGTTTGAGTAGACCTTTCAGTGATCATTTCACAGATGAGGAAAAAGGCTGGGAGAGGTCCATGATGGGCCAAAAGTCACACTTTAGAAACTTACAAACACTGGACTGTGCCCTCCTCTAGGGAAGAGACCTCTCAGTCACTGATGTTTCCCCACACCCAGGTCAGTGACCTAGAACATATAAATGATCGAAGGCGTAGACACAAAGCCTAAAACGATTGGACAGCATGGCATTAGTAATTTGGCCTAAAAAGAAAGGCCAAATAGAATCAGATTCACAAACCTAGTGTCCCTTGCAGAGCCAGCCCTGGGGTTCAGAGGGAGGACAAGTGATGCTGTCCTGGTCCCAGGTGAAGCCAGCAAGGTGATGTTTCCCCTGCCATGTCCTCATGATCAAGAGAAAGGAGCATGCCCTCCCTCGAAGCTGCCCCTTCCAGTGTCCGACTTCACCTCCCCCACCGCTCCTCACTCTCACATTGCAGCCTGACCTCCTTGTTGTTCTGGTCCCTTTTCCAAAATGTTTGGGGAAGGACCCTATGGATCTCTCTTCAGGCTCTATCCAGCCCTGACCCCACACTCAAGCACTTACTCATTTTAAGAGCTCAGCAAACATTGGTGAATGGATGAATGGGTAAACGGATGACTTATCAGAGACTCCTGTTTTCCAAGTCCTTGTTATCAAGTGCCTGGACAATTCTGTTACACATATATTCATTCAACAAATATGAATAAATATGGAGTACCTACTAGATAAGAGGCAGGGTGTCAGGCTCTGGAGTTCAGTGGGGGACAAAACACAGTAGCTTTTCAAAAGGTCTTTTGACTTTTAGTTCCCTCTCCATTTTAACCATTTTGCACTTATTTTCAAATTTACCCTTCTATAGCTGGGTTTGGATCTCACTCCTCCTGACTCAACAACTTTCAATGCCTCCCACTGCTTATTGGAAAATGGCCAGATTCCTTACACTGACATTTAAGACCTTCTAAGATCTAGCTGAAATCTATGTTCCCATTTTCATCTCCCATCCCTCATTCCCTCTTTCCCTCCATGACATAATTTACGGTCCTGCCCTTGCCTGAAATGCCCTTCTCATCTGTACTGGTCAGCTATTGCTGTGTTACAAACCACCCCAGGCCTCTGTGGCTTAAAGCAATAATCATTTATTTTCACTTGCACGTCTGTGGGTCAGCCGGGGGTTGGTTGATCTGAGTTGGACTTGGCTGGACTCAACCTATGTGTCTTGGGGGTGACTCTTCATTGTGGGTTGGACTCAGGTCTGCTGTGTGCATTCTGGGACCCAGGCTGAAGAGGCAGCAGCTACATGGAAGATTCCCTTCTCATGGTGATGGCAGAGGCACGAGAGGATGAGCTCAACTAAAGCAAGCACATCTAAGGCTCTGGTGGCGCATGTCTGCTAGCGTCTCACTGGCCAAAGCAAGTGACAAGACAGAGCCCAAAGTCAAGAAGCAAGAAGTACACTTAGCCCACCAGAAAGCCAAAGCAAGTGACATCGTCAAACTCTACATCACTGGAGGCTGGGGGAAGGAAGAGGCAGAGAGTGAATATGTTTGAACAATAATCTAATCTAACACACCATCTCTGCCTAATGAAATTTGATAGCACGGTAAAAGAAATCAGGCTTGGAAATGGAAGGCCTGGCTTGTATCATAGGTACACATCCTACTTTCTGAGAGACTTAGACACAGTATACTCCCCCAATACTTCATTCATTCAGTGCACATAAGCTAACAATCTACTATATATAGGAATATCATGCCAGACCCTGAGCCAGTTTTGTAAACCAAACAGACATGTCCCTGCTATCCTGGTGGTATGAATGTAGCTCTTAACCTTCTGAATGTCAGCTCTCTCAATACATGAGAAACCTTGCAATAAATGGGAAAACCCGTGGAAAGCCAGCCTTGGGTATAGTTATAAGTGGAGAAAGGCTTATCTCCTTGGAAATGATCTCTCTCGCCAATCTGAATTCTTAAAACAATTAATTACCAAACAGGTAAAGGCCCAACCAATCAATGAGAATTTATCCAGGTCTACCTTGTGCCAGGTAGGCCTGCCCAGCCCTAACTCCCTACACTCAGATACCACACCTTAACAGGAGGACAGGTGTGTTCTTCCTGCCTTCCCTGACAGCACGCAGCCTAATGCCACACCCACAATAGGTACTCAATATATGCTCCTGACCAAGACTCCAGAACCTCCTCAATTGCTTTTCTTACTCTTTCCTGGATACAGCCTCAAACAATGAGGTTTCCACCAAAGACTTCCCATTCACCCAGAAAGAAAAATTCAGTTAAAGCAATCTGGCCTTTTCTTTCCATTCCCACCACCCCTCCCACTCTCACCCCAGATGAAACCTCCCTAAGTGATTAAATGTTATAATAAGGATTTGACATATTTGCCTTATCAAAGATTGTGCTTTTGTGGTATCTCATGGAGCACAAACAGATGAAAGAGCCAACAGTGAGATGGACTATCAGCAGAGACCAACCAGGAAAGAAAACAGCAAAACCTCAAGATAAGTCCACAACCTCTAATCACACAAAGACAGGGCCAAGCATGCAACTAACTGAGACTTTCTGGCAAAAATAATGCTAATTAAGTAGTTATAAAAATTATTGTTATTATTAGCAGTATCATTATTATTACAATAAATTAAATACTGGCTAGAAATTCAAGTCTTTCTTCGGGATCTGGTTTCTTCCAGTTTTCTTGCACACAGGTTATATCCAGCAGTGGTCCCCCACTACCCATGGGAGCCACTGAATTCCTCATTCTGGCCTGAGAGTCCCTCCAGGCAGCAGTATCCACCTACTTTCCAATCATTCACTCATTCAACAACTAGTTTTTCAGCACTGTTATGTACTGAATGTTTGTGTCCCCTTAGCCTCCTGACTCAAATTCATGTGCTGAAATTCTAACCCACAATGTGATGGTATTAGGAGATGGGGCCTCTGGGAGGTAATAGGCCATGAGGGTGGCACCCTAGTGAATGGGATTAGCACCCTTATAAAAGAGACCCCAGAGAGCTCTCTAGCCCTCTTTCCACCACATGAGGACAAAACTGGAAAACGGCAGTCTTGCAATCTGAAAGAAGACCCTTACCAGAACCCGAACATGCTGGCTTCCTGACCTCAGACTTCCAGCCTCTAGAACTGTGAGAATTTTTTTTGTTTGTTTATAAGCCACTCAGTCTGGTACTTTGTTACAGCAGCCTGAGCTAAGACAAGCACCAATTTTTGACCCTCATGGTAGTCAAAGTCCATAAATTTACCTTTCCAATCCTTTCTCTCGCTAATTCTCTAACAGAAACCCCAAAGACATGGCCCACTCCCCTCAATGCCCTTCAGATCTACAGTCTGTGTCCATCTCCAGGGAGCCCTCCTGGATCCCTCCTAGTAAATGAGGCATCTCTAAGGACATGTGCTTTCTCTCTTGTGGGGACTGTACGTGCATGGTTGTGTACTCTTTACTGGACATGCCCCCACACACTTCATTCACCTTGTGTATGCCTTATCTACCCACCTAGACAGAGATCATGGCTCCTGTCTAAGACAGCATTACGCAATAGCTGGTGTTCAATAAATACTTGTTGACAGACTTTACTGTGGAAGTAATTCAACACAAACCAAGAGATGCTGATTTAGTGGCAGCTGGGATAGGAAAAAATAAATTGCTATGGGCTGGACACTAGGAAAGGCTAGAAGGTATACAGTTCAATGACAGGCACACAGGGCCTGGGCCAGCAGGGGGCAGCCCCCGCAGCCAGGTCTCTGGCAACTGGTGTGCACTTTACATCCAGGGTCCCCAGCCATGCACACTTGATATTTGCATCTCCTATTTCAATAGTATGGACTACTGGGGAGAAAGGGGGCATGGGAATCAAGAAACAGGGCATTATTCTAATCTCACCAGGTAGATGATGTAACCCGAAGATGCCACTAACAATGTTGCCAACAAACGAATTCCAGGAAGCTTCTCTAATGAACCACATAGTACTTGAAATTTTACAAGTACTGTGTGTATACTCGTACTTGCTCCTCCTCCAGCCTCCCCTAATTTCAGTGAATGGCACCACCATGGACCAAAATGTGCAAGTGCCACCCCAGATTCTTGAAATCTCCACAAGCAACCAACAGTCATGTCTCAGCTTCACCTCCAAAACAGAGCCACACCTACCTCACTCCTCCCCAGGTCAACCACTAGTGTCTCCCACCTGAACTATTCTAATAGCGTCCATGCTGGCCTCCCAGCTTTCTCTATTCTGTTCTCCAGGAAAGTCCATTTTGCATACCACAGGCAAAGCAATGTTACATTTAAAAATTTAATTAGGCCGGGGCCGGTGACTCACACCTATAATCCCAGCACTTTGGGATGCTGGGGTGGGCCAATAGCTTGAGCTCCGGAGTTCGAGACCAGCCTGGGCAAGATAGTGAGATCCCATCACTACAAAAAATACAAAAATTAGCTGGGTGCGGTGGAATGTGCCTGCAGTCTCAACTATTGGGGAGGCTGAGGTAGGAGGATAGCTTGAGCCTGGAAGGTCGAGGCTGCAGTGAGCCATGATCACACCACACCACTGCACTCTAGCCTAGGGAACAGAGTAAGATTCTGTCTGCATCTCCTCCAAAAAGTAAATTAGATCACCTTCTGCTTCAAACCAATGACTTCCACTGTTGGAATAAAATCCAAGTACTGTCCTATTACCTGTAGGCCAGGTGAGATCTCACCTCATCTCCTCTCTGCTCCATCTCCTGACATGCATGTCCTGTACATGCATGGCTCCAGTTACATCCTTTCTGTCCCTTAAGCAGCCTCAGGTCCTTGGCACGTGCTGTTCCTTCTACCCAAAATGTGCCTTCCCCAGGTGTTCATGGCTGGCTCCTCCTCATCCTTCTGGATTCAGCTCTTAAGGCACCTTCTCCCCAAACCCCAAGGACACCAAGCATCTGTCCCCATCCAAACCCCACCCACTTGCAGCCTGGTCCCTCTCTAGCCTACTGATTTTTGTTTTTCATTATACCCTTATCATGACCTAAAATTATTTATTAATTCATTGCTAAATCCTCACTGGAATAAAAGTTCCATGCAGGAAAAATAAATCTTTTATGTTTTGTTCACCACTACATTTTCAGCATCTGTACCAGTGCCCAGTGCAGACTGAGCCTTCAAAACGCACTTGTTAACGACAGAGCAGTTAACTCCCCACTTTTTAGGAATGGGTTGTTCACAGCAACTCCTTTCCAATGTGTGCAGTATGAAAAGATGGAGGGAAAAAAGGGTACCTCTATAGTGGAGAAACCTGACAAATACTACTTCATCCAGGTGATCAAGGTTAATATCAACAGTAATAAGTCATGTTGCTAGCATGTACCTTTGATATGATGTGAGGAGAATAGCACTTTGCCTCTGTGGCCTTCCTCCCCAAAACACACAATTCCACTCTAATTGTAAGAAAAACATCAGACAAATCCCTATGGAGGGACAGTGCTCTTCAAAACTGTCAAGGTCATCGAAAACAAGGAAAGTCTGAGAAACTGCCACAGCCAAGTGGATTCTAAGAAGGGATGATAAGTAAACGTGATACAGTACCCTGGATAAGATCCTGGATTAAAAAAATAACTTTAGGGGAAAACTGAGGAAATCTGAGTAACATATGGACTTTAGTTAATAATGATGTATCAGGTTCATTCATTATGACAAATGTACCACATTAACATAAGATGCTAATAACAGGGGAACTGGGTGTGGGGAGCTCTCTGTACTATCTTCTCAATAATTCTGTAAATCAAAAACTGTTCTAAAATTAAAAGTTTATTTAAAAAACATTTGTTAGGTGAATGAATGTGCAGTAATAAATGCTGCACATATATTTTCAGGTCTTTTTGTAAGCATTTACTGAGCACAGGGTTTAGCATGATACTAGAAAACAGACGAATTCCTGAAGTCTGTTAAGCACTGTCTGGGTCATACCATTTGCATCATTACTTTGTGCACCTGAAACATTGTAAAGGCAGACATTGGTTCACCCGAAACTGAACCATCAGTGGTTCTAAGTGAGGAAAGTTGGGGTCAATGACAAAAATAACAAATCTTGCCCTTTTTGAGGATGAATTCAGTTATCTCACTGTTCTCAAGTCCATTCAGCCACAAGCACTGCTGAGGGCCTACTGCACACCCAAGCCTGGGTTTGGCTTAACAGCCAGCTCTTGTCCTAGAGCGGCAAACACAAATCTGGCCAAACACAAGACTCTTCTAAGGGGTCAAATGAAGCAATACAAACTATAAATGGCAAATATGTTCAGAGAAAACTGATCATGGAAGTGGGGTAGTCAAAGAGGCCTTCCTGCAGGAAGGGCCAGGCTGGACCTGAAATAGGAAACAGGATTTGGAGTGACAAGAGGAAGGACAGAGGGCACCCCAGGGTAAGCACAGAGTCCAGAATTAACTGCAGATGGTAGTCTGAGTACAGCTGTGGGGTTCCCTAGAGGGGCAATGGAAAAGGAGGTTGGTAGCTGAGCTGGGGCCAGACCAGAAAAGACCTTCCAGACCTTCAAGGTCCCCTGCTTCATGTTCCTTTTCATGTGTCATTTGCATTCTTGTCCCATCTCTCCTACTCCACCTGTAAGCTTCCTGGGGGCAAGATCTTTTCCTGCCTAATTTCTGCCTGCTCTAAAAGGTCTTGCACTTAGTAATGGCCCAAAGGAATATCTGGTGAGTGAATAAAACAGAGAATTAATCAGTGAATTATAATCTAAGAAGCCAACCTTCTACCCCTTACACACTGGGAGGCCTGCAGGGTTTGTAGAAAAATCCAGGATCAAAATGACATTTCCTCCACTATCTCCCCAACCCCTTCCTTTGCTTGTTTTCATTCAGCATTTATCTCTCTCTGACTTCTTATTAATCATTTGTGTACTTTGCATACTTGTTTCTTATCTGTCACCTTCCAGGCATTCAACAATCATTAACTGATTACCTACTATGTGCTAGACATAGTAGGTGCTAAGAATACAGACGACACACAAATATTTCTACTCTCATGGAGCTAGCATTGTAGTGATGGGGTGAAGAGCAATACGTAAAATGTATAGAACGCAATTGATGACAGGTGCTATGGTAGAAAAGGGCAAGGAGAAAGGAAAGTAAATTCAAGGGAGTGATTTGCAATTTCAAATAGGGTGGTCAGGGGAAAACATCTTTGAGCACCTGAGGTAGATAGGGATGGAATTCTTTTCTTTTGCATACATGCTTGGTACATGAGCAGTACCTGGCATGCAGCAGGCACAGAAGAATGAATGAGTGTATGAACTGAGGGTGTTGGGAAGATTGATCCATTTTTTAAATTAAACTTTTAAGAGAATTGTAGATTCACATGCAGTTGTAAGAAATAATACCCTTTACCCAGTTTCCCCCAGTGGTAACACCTTACATAACTATAGTACAATATCAAAACCAGGGAATTGAGGTTGATAACAATCCACTGATGTGATTCAGGTTTCACCAGTTTTACATGCACTCAGTTATGTATATGTGTGGATGGTGTATTTAGCTTTATGCAATTTTAAGGTTTAGTCCTTTTTTTTTTTTTTTTTCCCGCGAGACAGAGTCTTGCTCTGTTGCTCAGGCTGGAGTGCAGTGGTGCGATCTTGGCTCACTGCAACCTCTGCCTCCCAGGTTCAAGTGATGCTTATGCCTCAGCCTCCTGAGTAGCTGGGACCACAGGTGCATGCCACCATGTCACCAGCTAATTTTTTAAATCTGTAGTAGATGGAGTTTCACCACACTGGCCAGGATGGTCTTGAACTCCTAGCCTCAAGTGATCCCCACTTTGGCTTCCCAAGGTTCTGGAATAACAGGTGTGAGCCACTGCGCCCAGCCAGGTTAGTCCATTTTTAATATGTGAGTTAGAAGGCCACTTGAAGGGTGTAGGGCTGAAGGAGAGTGGGACAAAGTAAACCACCAGCCACTAGGCACGCTGTTCATTTTCACATGCCTGAGCTCCATTTACCCGAGCAATCATCCTAAGAAGATAGGTATTCTTATCTCCATTTTATATACGTGAAGACTGAGGCACTCAGAGAAGGAATCTGTTGGAAGTCACAGCAGGCAGAAAAATCAGAACCCCAAATCTCTGACTGTCTAGCTACTTCCTGGGACTCTTTCTTGAGCACAAGAATGGCCGGGATGAAAAAAAAAAAAAAACACACAGGAATAAGGAACCAAGAGGAAGGACAGGCTCCAGGAGACATTGGAGGAGAGAGGAAATGAGGGGGAATTGAAAAGTATGCCTCTGGATTCTGAGTTAGGGAGAACAGAAGTATCATCACAGGAAGAGGAAATGAAGAGCTGGAGGGCTCTAAAGGAGAAGAAAAGGGAGATGTCCTGGTTCAGCCCTGATTTCATGTGTGATCTTGGGTGAGTCAATTTACATCTCTGGGTTTCATGTTCCTCATCCATACAAGGGTGGGAATGGCCACCCCATTCCATCCATCTGGTATGCTCTAAATGTCCATAATATGTTCCCATTCACAAAATTCTCCCCCAAATTTGTGTCCCTCCCCAACCCCCAAATTTATACGTTGAAACCTAATCCCCAATGTGACGGTATTAGGAAGTGGGGATTTGGGGAGGTCATTAGGTCTTGAGAGCGGAGCCCACATGAATAGTATTAGTGCATTTATAAGGGACTGAAGGGGCCATAGTTCTCCCCTTCTGCCATGTAAATACACAGAGACATGGCACCATCCGTGAACCAGAAAGCTGTTCCTCACCAGACACTGAATCTACTAGTGTCTTGATCTTGGACTTCCTGGCCCCCAGAACTGTGAGAAATAGATTTCCGTTGTTAATAAGCAAACTAGCTTATGGTATTTCGTTATAGCAACATGAACAGACTAAGACAACTATCCAGGACTGCTCTAAGGCCAAGGAGCGATGATGGGGCAGCCCTCTGCAAAGCAAGGTGCGAGGCCAACTGCCAAAACCGGAAACAAGGCAACCCAGCACAGGCCCAGACTGCCTGTGGTATCCCGACCCGAATGACTGGCTGGCATTCCCAAAGATGAAAATGCAGAATTTAGGTCAGCACACACAGAGAATCTCACTTTGTTTACATGAGACAGAGAGTGTGTGTTCCTACGAAATGCCTTTGAATCCCAGCGATGATGAGAGACCCAAGGCTGTTTATGGCTTTGGATATTTACTTTTCTCATAAACAAATCAGCTTGGGTGCCGTCAGAGCTGACGCCACTTCACACTGCGGCCCTCTGACGTCCTCGCTCCTCCCCGGTGCCCCACACATGGTTTGAATTTATTGGTTTTAGCAGCTTTCATTTATATTGTGTGAGGATCACGGAATGACCAGCAAACAGAAGCTCTGATCCGTGCTCTGGGAAAAACACAGAAGCACGAAGAAGGAGGTTGTGGGGAAGAGCTGGGAAGTTTCCTCCAGTCCAAGGAGAAGCAGCTCCCACCCACAGGGTGGTCCAGTCAAAGCCCTTAGGGCCCCTTTGGAAATGGAGGATCAGGGGGATGCTACAGCCGCACCAGGAGTCGGTCAGAGCACGAGGCTGAGAAGGCTCTCAGTGGTCACGGCCTCCCAAAGCCAAAGCACCCAAGGACTGCCGTGGGAAGTGGAGGTGGCTGCTGAGGTACTTGGCCTCCTGGAACCAAACATCTAGAAATGTGGGAACAATGCGGGAAGGGGGCTTCCTGTTTTCTACCAGGATACTCAGGCGATGATGTGTAGACATGGTCAATAATTTTACAGCTACACACAGGGTCCCTGCATGTGTACTCAAAGCCAGGTGTCAGGGAAACCCAGATTCATTCTACGAGGTTCCTTCCCACAAAGAACTTCAGTTTAATGAAGGAGACAGACATGTGAACATATAAAAGACAATAACATTTAAAATGCCACTTTCCAGTGAGGTCAGAGCCAGCTTAGAAAGTGGCTTTGCAGCAGCAGGGGTATGGTTTATGGTTTACCAACCAATCTCACACCCACCAAGGGGGCTGAGCGAGGGGAGGGACTTGCTCTGGTCATGCTGTGGGACTCCCAACCCAGTGCTCTATTCACCGACCAAGGATCCTCCCATCCCCCACTTCTGCTGGGGCTGGGGCGAACATCAGGAATCGCCTGCCTTACCCCGCCCCCACTTTGAACAGGTGGAATCCCACAAATAAATCACATAAAATAAGTGACACAAAATGCAGGAAATGTTATCCTCCAGCAACGACGTTAGAAATGGTGGTCAAGGTCTCAGGCTCCCTCACAAAAGGCCCTGTAATGTATAACTACTCTGGTCTCATTCAGTCACCAGATCGCTTTCACCACCTTGTTTCTAAAGGAAACCCAGTCCTGAGTTCCTGTCCCAGAAGCTGGGAACCCTTCTGCTCTGGCTCAAGCAAGAGGGTTGGGAAGGTACAGACAAGCCTGGGTGAGGTGTTCCAGTTTAGCCAACAAAGGAATGAGTGGGTGGGCCAATTATTAACCAGAAGGAATTCTGAAATGCAGAACATGAGAGTGAGGGTCAGTGGCCCCCCAGTGCACCCAGGATGAAGCCCAAACTTCTTAATATGGTCCTAAGGCCTCCATCATGTGACCCCTATGTGCTTCTATAGTCAATTGCCTAGTCTCCCCATGCTTCCCACTAGTGTTCTCCACATGTGAGTGTTATGAGTAACTATATTCCTTCAATCCGGATCAATATCACCATCAGCACCCACCCCCATAACATGGTGCCACTCCTGAACCCAGGACATGCCCACTTGTCCTTCAATACAGCTCAAGTGGTATCACACTAAAGCCAAACCAGGTACTCACAAGGAGGTGAGGCCAGTCTATTGTATACAATTGAGTATATGCAACAGCAAAGAGAACTAACTCCTAGACAGCAAGAATACAGGCTCATCCATTTGGTAGCATCCATAGGACCCTCCAGATCACCTGAGCTCTGCAAAGCCCCAGCTGCCATGGGGGTGGGGGACTCAGGGTCAGCACTCAACAGTACACTAACACAGTAGATTGAATGACAGGTGGGAAGCGACATTCTGTCCAGCTACTGAGGCAAATTGAACAGAGATTCCTCTAGGCTGGGGGTGGCCCTCCATCACATTTCCCCTTTCCCTGCCCTACACTAGAAAGCTCTGCAGAGAAGCATCCCAGCCATCTAGACTGGTGGCATTACAAATTTGGCACCTGTACGTCTGTTGGGCCCCTCAGCCTGCCCTGCCATCGCTTCAACTGCCAAGGTCAGCTTCTGCTCTGAATGCCCACCACAGACTTTCTCCTCACACTCCCTCCTCATTCTATCTCCTAGAAAATGGACTATCTCACTCTCTGCTTCCCAGGGCCACAGCCTTCCTCAAGAGGGACCCTCAGAAGTCTCTCAGCTCCTTGTCCCTGTCACCTCCTGGCCTCTTACCTTTCATCACATCTCCAGTTTCAGAAGGGCTGTCGCCTCTACTCTCAGATTCCAGCTCCACCTCCTCTGGGTCACATTCCCTCTTTTCTTTTTTCTTTTCTTTTTTTTTGACAGAGTCTTGCTCTGTCGCCCAGGCTGGAGTAGAGTGGCACGATCTTGGCTCACTGCAACCTCTGCCTCCAGGGTTCAGTTCAAGCAATTCTCGTACCTCAGCCTCCCAAGTAGCTGAGATAATAGGCGTGCATCACCAAGCCTGGCTAATTTCTCTACTTTTAGTAGAGACAGGGTTTCACCATGTTGACCAGATTGGTTTCGAACTCCTGGCTTCAAGTGATCCACCCACCTCGGCCTCCCAAAGTGCTAAGATTACAGGCATAAGCCACTGCACCCGGCCACATTCTCTCTTTTCCTTAGATGCAGATAAGTCAAGAGAACAGGGGTCTGCAGCCAGAGTTTCTGTGTTTAAACTCCAGATCCTCCACTCATTAGCTGTGTGACCCCAGGCAAGTGAATTACCGCTCTGTGACTCAGTTTCCTCACCTGTAAAATGCGGCTGAATCTACTTGAGAGACTGCCATGAGGATTAAGTGGGGCAGTGCACATAAAGGGCTCAGAATCATTCCTGGCACTCTGCAGTGAGGCACCTCTCTCTCAGGTCTCTTCAACCCCACCCCCTTCCCCACTAGCCCCATATACCTCTCTGAACCCTCAGGATCTGGAACTGAGCCTGGCACAATGTAGTTCCCAGCAGTGCTTTTCAAAGAAATGAACAAATAAATGAATGAACAGTTTAATAATAACTAATTCAATTAATTATTTATGGGGAATTTCACTTTGGGAGAAAAGAGGAAAAACACATGCACCTCTAGCACTACTGAGAGCATAGAGCACCTGATGGCTGATAAAGGCCTTCTCAGACTTGATCCCACTGGATTCTCCCAAGAGCTGTAAGCTGTTGCTAGGTAACATCCAACCTGTCTGAGCAGTAGAGGAAAAGGATGCTGAGAGGCAGGAACCCCAGGTCACAGATCTAACCCAGGGCAGAGCTGGGCCTCAAGCTGGGGACTCCAGCCTAAACCTTTCACTCCCTCCTTTTGGTGTGTCCCAACTCCAGAGAGTAGTGGGAGACCACAGTGAAGGCAAGCCAGAATGAATACAGTCAGACATTACACACTGCAGATGGTCAGAAAAATAAATGGCCATGCTCTGGGTGGTCCAACCACATAGTTCCCATCAGACCAACCAACAACCCATCCCTGCACTGGATGATGCTCAGTGTGTGAGAGACCAAAGGACCAAGAGCCATCTTTTGTACAGAATGGGCTTCACTTCAAGACAGACATTGTGAAAATGGGCCAATAATAATAATGAAAATGACCATTACTTAAGCCACCACAGTTAACATTCATTAACTCTTACTGTGTGCCAGCCACTCAGCTGTGTGGTTTATATGCATTATCTCATTTATGCCTCACAACAACCCCAGGAGGTAAATACTGTTGTGAGCACCATTTTTTCAGATATGGAAACAGATGTTCAGCCATCTAGCCAAAGTGGAGGAGCTGGATTTCCAACTCCAGTCCAGTTTCTTCCTTAAGGTATCAAAAGATCCAAGTAGAAATCCTGGCTCCATCATTTTGAACAAAGTACTTAGCCTCAGTGTCCTCAAAATGAGGGAAAAATGCTTACCTTTCAGGATTGTTTTAGAAATTTACTGTGATAAACCAGAGGCCTAGCATATAACAGGCACCAAATAGCAATGGCTCTCTTAGGGGCTGGATAGGAAACAGGAAGAATAAAGCCAGTGGAGGGAGTGTAGAAAGGCTTGTTCTGCATTCCCTCTGCATTTTCCCATCCTGGCACTTCCGTGTAAGTCTGCTTCCTTTCCACCTCATCTCCAGGGGCCCAAATCCTATCCCACCTGCAAGGTGTCTCTCAAAGCCACCTCCATCAAAAAGCCTCCCCACAAAACTACTGATGGAAGCAGAATATTAAATTACCTCCAAGACCACCAGCAGGCCTCACCATGCGGGTTCTGTAGTGGTGGGTCAACAAACATCACTGTCTATACCCAGAGGACTATAAATCATTCTACCATAGAGACACAGGTTTGCTAATGTTCACTGCAGCACTATTCACAATAGCAAAGACATGGAATCAACCTAAATGCCCATCCACAGATTGGATAAAGAAAATGTGGTACATACATGCCATGGAATACTAGGCAGCCATAAAAAAGAATGAGATCATGTCTTTTGTGGGAACACGGATGGAGCTAGAAGCTATTACCCTCAGCAAACTAACACAGGGACAGAAAACCAAATACTGCATGTTCTCACTTCCAAGTGGGAGCTAAATGACAAGAACTCAGGAACACAAAGAAGGGAGCAACAGACACTGGGGTCTACCTGAGCGTGGAGGTTAGGAGGAAGGAGAGAAGCAGAAAAGCTAACTACTGGGTACCGGGCTTAATACCTGGGTGATGAAATAATCTGTACAAAAAACCCTCTGTGACAGTAGTTTACATACGTAACAAACCTGCACATGTACCCCTGAACCTAAAAGTTTAAAAAAAAAATGACAGTCAAGGTCAAGCACAATGACCAAGCATTGTTATCACCGAAGTCCCCAAGTGGCTCAGTTTACCCATCCTGTGACCAATCCACAGCTCTTCCAGCTGCAACTCGGCCCCAATACAGGGTCTGGTTCTCAAAAATGTACTATAATCCAGTGGATGCTGGAGCCACCCAGCTGGATATCTGGGGGTCCCAACGCCTGGCACTCTGAAGCAAATCCAGTTCCCTTTCTGAGCTCAGTAACCACACTGGCAAAAAAAGAAAAAAAAAAAAAAAAAGAGGAGCCAGGAACAGACTAACACTAGAAGTGTCCTTGTTGGGGACGGGAGGGAACGCGGTCGTGCATGTGAAAAGCCTCTGGAAATTGCAAACCGCGATGCAAATGGTTGAAATTATCATTGCCAATTAGGCTTTTGTCTCTTTTCAGACTCAAGGCCAAGCAGCTCAAGAAAGGGAAACCGTGTGAACTAAAGCTAAAAGATGAGCCAGAGAGATTTCCAAATGGCTTTCTCCGCTGATATCATTCTAAAAGGGGCTGTCGAATGGGACCCCAGGCTTAAATTACTAACGGCCATGAAGGCGCATTAAGTCCCCAGGAGATAACACTGGCCAGGAAACTTTAAATAACCTTAATAGGGAGGAAGGAGGCAAATCCTTTAAACAGAAGACAAGGAGGGGAAGGCCTGTCCTTTTATCTTTGCACCGTGGCTGCCCGGGCAGGGCTGGCCGCGCGCCGCGCCGCCTCCTCCACCGCAGGAACGCCTCGCCCCGAGGTGCCTGTCCGCAGGGCTCCGCCTGTGTCGCTGCCTGATCGAGTGACGGGCGAGGACATACACACTGCGGCCCCCAAGGCGCAGCCGCCCAACCGCTGCTCTTTTAGGAAACGTGCACTTGCGCTCGCGGAGGCCAGGCCAGAGAGGCGGCGCGGCTCGGGCCAAACGCGTCATGCACAGAGCGCTCGCCTCTGCGCCAGGGCGTGAAATGGGCACAGTCATGCAAGCCTCCCGGGGGAGCGCCAAGGTGAACTGGAGGTGGAGGGACACCAGCAGGCGGCTTTATGCAGCATGGTCTCTCTCTAGTAGCAGTCCATGCAGAGAGCGGCCAAGCTGAACTGCTCTCGGCCCTCAAATGCACAACTCGCGCCCCGTCCTCTAGCGTAGGTGCCTCCAATCTCCTGAGCCTAGTACTCCCTAGGCTTTACCTGGCTTTTTTACTCCCTCCGATCTCAGGTTCACCTGGGCTTCTTCCAGGAAGCCTTCCTGGATCTCCTCAGGGCCAAGGAAGCTGTGCCTCTTCTGTACTCCCACAACACACCACAAGACAAGCCACAGCCTCCCTCCTCCCAACACCTGCACGGATGCTGTGTCCCCTACCAAGAAAGGAAGCACCTGGGCAACAGCAACGTTCTTCTCGCTCACTACGTCCAGCACTTATCCCATGTCTGGCACTCAGTAGGAACTAACAAACATTTCTTGAAAAGTTGTATAACGATAATTTGAAAATGAAGTAATAACTATGAGCTAGTATGTACTGAGCATTTGTGTGTGTGGCACTGTGCTGTAGTGCTTTACATTAATCAATTAATCCTCACAGCAATCCTATACAGTTGACATGAGAAAACTGACGCACAGACAGCTTATGTAACTACCCCAAGGTTACTTACACTCCCGATAAGTGCACTTATTCTGGGAACTGAAGGAGCACTGGGCCATCCGGCCAATGTCTGGAAGTTTTCCAGTGGAGGGGACTCCTGAGCTGAGTCTGCACTATGACGTGTAAACTTAAAGACTGACTTTTGGTTCTGAAGGTAGAATCAGACCAGGATGTTCCTCTGAATAAGGGAGGTGGGAAGGAGCTTAATGTCTCCTCCTGCCCTTCCTGAGTCAATGGGAAGTAAAGGGAGAATCCCAAGAATGAAGGTGACAGAGTGTCAGCATTCAGGGCAGGGGTGGTGGTCAGGTGCTGTTTGGAAAAGCCCAGGTTCTCCCAAGGAAACCACCTTGTCTAAGTCCTTCGGAAGGAACACAGAATCCAGCAACAGGTGCAAAGGCAGAGACCACACATCTCTTAAGGCCCTAGGTTGTCCCTCAGAGATGGCCCCAGGGCCCTGACTTTTATAGGCATGGTCTGATGACCTCATGGCTCTTTTCCAGTAAAGCCAGGCATTCAGTGTGGCCCAAGTACAATTTACCTACCAGTTCTTTCAAAAAACAATGCTAAAAGCCAATTACATTGTTGCACCTAAACTCAAACTACTGAGTTATGATTACATGGCATCCATCCAATCTGATGACCATGGATAAAAGTCTTGCTGTAAAGTGACATTTGTTTGACGAGCCCAAGCTTTTAACATGGATGGTCCTCAGGGGCCTTTACCAATTCAAAGGAGTAAGAGTTAGCCAGAAAATAAAAACTGGGAAGGGGCTCCCAGGTAGAGGGAACAACATGAGCAAATGCATGGAGGCATAACTAAGGAGTATATGTGAGAGGGAGGGAGGGAGATATCATACAGCTCAGCAACCCTGGTGCTCCAAAACCAAGATAGCAAGCAAAGAATAAAAAGCATTTTAACATGAAAATAAGTGGAGGGATGCTGTGAGCCTGGAGAAGATCATGTGTGCTCTGGATAGTGAAGAGGAGAAAAACAGAGACTTGTTTGCAAGTAACAGTTGAAAAGGAAGGAAAAAAACCCAAAATATCCCAGGATGGAGATTAATGAATCCAACAGGGACCCATGAATGTTACAAAGTTTTGACCAAATGGGCCAGCAACAGTACTGAATATGTCTCAGGTGGAAAGCCTAAGAAGTTTCTGAGAATTAGAGAGGCCAAGACATAGTCCCTTTTTAGCATCCAGAGCTGCCAACACTCCAACCACAGAATATACCACAAAGCCCCAACTTCAGAACTGGAGAACATTCAATCTAATTTTGTAATCAATTGTGAGCACATTTTGAGCTAGGTTTGAATCAGAAGAGAAAAGACTGCCTGAGAAAAAAGTATAAACAAAATATATAAGTGCTGAAAGAATGTCGTAAAATGCCATAAATAATTCCACAGAGGGGAAAAATATATGTGGCTGGGTCATTAAGTAAAGCTTTGGCCCAAGTCTTTCTGAGCAGATTAGACCTGGGAACATTCTAGGAAGACTTCCTGGAGGAGGTACAGCTTTAAGCTGAGCCTTGAAAAATCTCAGGATTCAGAAATAGAATAGAAAAGGAGGAAATTCCTAAAGAGGGAGGGGGCCTAGCAGAAGCAACGGCGTTTCCAAGCTTGGGGCAACAGTTTTGTGTTCCAGCGGATATAGTGCACAGATTTAAAAGCCTGTGGATCCTGGAGGAGCTGCTCGGCGAGACGGCTTGGCAGCCGCTGAACAGAACTGAAGGCTCGGCCACCGGCTGCCTGTGGATTAAGTGGGCGGACAGAGAGCCAGTGATGGGAGATAAAAGGGAGTGAAGTGGATAATATTTAGAAGCAAACTCAAGGGGAAAAGAGCGTCAGCAGCCCGGCTGGCAGGCTGTGGCGCTCACGCCGGCATTCTTGTTTCCTCCCTAGGAAAGCTGCATTACCAGGCGACCTCTTCTTGGCTTTGAGAGACGTCCAAATGGGAACTATTAACAAAGGCACGCTCCCATTTTTATCTCCGTCAGAAAGTGCTTTGCCGGTCAGGTTTTCTCTGCTTGGCCTGGGATTGGAGAGCGGGTTGGGGGAAGATCAGACAATATGTTTGCGGATGAGGGTTCTTGGAATTCTTGAGAGCTGGCCCCTTCCAACTCTAAGATTTTAGAAGTCTGTGTCCATGAGCTGACAATTCTTCAAAGCTAAGAGGCTAGGATTTCATGAAGTGAAGATTCTTTGAGTCCCTAAATGTCTCTGAGCCTAATGTTCTGAGATTTCACCATTCCTAGATTCTTTGAGCCTCAGAGTTTGGATTTATGGTTGGAGATTCTCTGAGCCTAGAAGTCTTCTTGCTGTGAACTTCCAATTCTGAGACTAGAATATCTCATGACATTTTGGTCACCTCCAGCTTTAGGACCTCACTCTCCTCTGATGGAGGTGCATAAGCTATCCTGTGCTCCTGCTTCTGTGTGTGTTATCCCCCTACATTTAGATAATATATTAAATATTAAGACACGAATGAACCAGGTCATGGAGAGGGGATGGACAGAGCTCGCCATGCCTGCAGGGGTTCTTCACAAACAGCCCTCTGGGCACAGAAATAATCTGAGTGAGCACATGCCCAGGGGTCCCTGCTAGGGGACACCCGGTGATGGACATTTGCTGAGCAGCTCCTTACCAGATGGCTCTGTGGGGGAGACACAGCGGGTGTGGCAGACTGCCGAAGCACAAGGTGAAGGTCGCGCCAGAAGAAGCCTGTTTCTCAGTCCAGGTTCTGGAGGTATATGGTATAGGCGATGCCAGCCTGTGTTTAATTCCACGGTGATGGAGGGGCTCTCCCTCCATGGTTGACTTCCTGGGAGAAAAGGCTTCGGCACGGTCTGAGGTCCTCCAGGGGTGTCTGGGGCCTCGGGGAAGGCTTGCTCCCTCTACTCTAAGGAGCGCACATAGATCTGACAAGAGATCTGACAAGGTATAACACTGTGGGCTCCAGGGCTGCCACAGAGGCCCAGAGAGGGCTGGAGGACTCAAGGATGGCCATTCTTGGAGGACAGGAAATTAGAGAATGGTTCTGAAAGGTGGGAGCATACAACCAAAAGGGGAAGAAAGAACAGGGTCTCTATCTGAAGTGTGGAGAACCAGGGCACAGGAGAGACTAATATTCAGGTGCTCTGTGCCTCAGTTTCCATGCTGCAAACAGGACTAATAATACCCACCTCTCAGGGCATAAAAGCAATGGGGTGCACACTCAGGTAATGAATTCTCGGCAGGCAAAGACACATTTCGAAGTCTCTTCCCAGACCCTTCACTGGCACAACACAGTGAGGTGCTCTGGTTGAATGAGTGAGGAGCAACAGAGGGAGAAGAGTCACAATGAAGGAGAGCAGCTGAGGCTGGGTGGGTGTCCAGCAGCCTGTGCCGTGACAGGCTGGGGCTCTCCTGTCTGAAGCCTGGCAGCAGGATCACCCACTGGAACCAACAGGCTCTGGACAAATAGGTATCAGCAGCAACTGCCAAAGACAAGCCTGCCAGCCCCTCCCAACTACAGATAACTCAGGCTCAAAATTTCAGACTTGGTTGGCCTAGGCTCTCCAAAATATGGGAGATACGCATCACAGAAGTCAGACCTGGGCCAACACTGGAAATCACCTAGCCCAGCGCTCTCATGGGACAAAGGGGGGCAAATTAGGCCTAGAAAGGGAAAAGGGCTGGCCCAAAGTCACAGGCAAGGTACTAACAGGATCAGGATTAGAACCTGCTTTGAATACGACCTGCCTATGCTGTGGTCCAAATGTATGTGTCCCTCCAAAATTCGTATGTTGAAACCTAACCACCAAGGTGATGATATGAAGAGGTGGAACTTCTGGGAGTAGATTAGTTCATGAGGTCTGTACACTCACGAATGGGATAAGGACCCTTACAAAAGAAGCTAGAGGAAGCTTGTTCACCCTTTCCACCATGTAAATACACAGAAGGCATCACCTATGAGAAACAGGCCCTCACCAGACACAAAATCCGCTGGTACCTTGATCTTGAACTTCCCAGCCTCCAGAACTGTGAGCCATAATTTCTGTTGTTTATAAATTACCCACTGTAAGGTATTTTGCTGTAGCAGCCTACATGATAATTTTGACATTTTTTGTCCTTATAGGATGGAAAGGAGCTTTCAAAGTTCAGAAGGGGGCTCCTTGCTGTGATTTATACTTTTCTTCATCGTTCATTCCTTCAATGATGCTGCATGGTGGAACGGAATCAGGGATGGTCACATCATGATTTTTGACCATTTGCTCATTAATCCATTCATGCTCCCAATAGTTACTCAGCACTTACTAATACTTGCTGGCCCCGCCAGGGTGTAGACATAGGAGCTCTGACTATAAACCAAGGAGATCTTTATTCAACTGTGCAGGCTTAGCCTATATTGGGGGGTGTGTGTGTGTATGTCTTCACAGCAGTGGCTTAGAAAGTTTGGGACATATTCCCTGGGAGTAGCTGATGCCCAGAATGTCTTTGAGAACTCCTATTTTAGAATCACCTTGAGATCCAATTTATAAGTCAAGGAGAAAATCAGTTCCAGCACTTTTCAATTCTCTCTCTCTCTTTTTCGGCAAGAAATGATGGTCTACCACCATTCCAACACACACACACACACACACACACAAACACACACACACACAATTCAGCAGAAATGTCATCTAATAAAAACCAGGTCATCTTTCAGACACTGGGAAAGCAGGGGTTGTGGTAATGGACTCACCTGAGTTTGAACACTGAGTCTACTTGGCCTGTCTGTGTAATCACAGCCAAATGACTTCACCTTTTCAGATCTCAATTTATGGTCTTGAAAATAAATACGATAATAAATCTTGTTGCATCTCTGTGAGGGTTAGAGATAATGTAATTATGAGGTCTAATGCAGCACCCTGCATAGAGACAAAACTCAATAAATGGTATTGTGGTTTCTAACTCCTCAAGTGAGGGACTTGTAGAATTTTACAAACATTTTGCACACCTTTGGCAGGCACGGTTCTGTGTTCAGGCGCTACACATATTAGATGGGTAATGCTCACATGCTTGGTAAAGTACAGAATAGCAGAGTCCTTGTTTTCTTATTATACCTCACAGAACCATGTAACTTTGAGGTCTCATCCAGTGTCTCCGACTCTGCCATGCAGGGAGTTGAAGGGGAGGACTCAGGTCCCCTAGAGGGAGAAGTAGTGGCAGCCGGTACCAGTCCCTGGTGGCAGCAGGCAGAGCTGATAGAAATCTGCAGGTCTCAAGCTTGTCATAAGATCTGGACTCAAGACTTAGGCATCCTTGGGCCCCCAAGGGCAGGGGCTCACCGCCTCCTAATACTCCAACGTTCAACAAGGGATGACGAGTGGATATGGCTGCTGGGAGAAGGGAGTGGCAACTTCCCATGCAGCCTTCCTCTTTCCCTGCCCTGGAGCCAGCCTAGACTGTTTGCCAAGCACAAAACCAACATCCAAGTAGTCATTTTAACCCATCAACAACCTCCCACAGGTAGTATCTTCTCATGTCCCCACAAAAACCAGCTCAACTTTGAAAGACTGGTAATTGCTGCCCCATTGGATGGATGGGCATACCAAGTCTTGCCCAAGATTATATACAAGTTGTTGGTTTTAAAACGTTGGTTTTATATATATATATATATATATATATATATATATATATATATATATATATATATATATATATATAAAACGTTGGTTTTAGTGTTGAGGCTGGGACTGACACCTGGAAGCAAGTCTCCTATCTCCAGCCCACTGTGCTGAGCTGTCTACAATACAACAAGAAAACCTTCAGAGACCTGCCTCACCACCAGCCTCATAGCCGAAGGAAATATCTCTACAAGTATAAATTTTCCAAGAAAGACAATTTTAAGCCCTCAAGTCCTAAAGGGGAGAGAGAAACAGAAGAAAGAACTAAGGAATGATTACAGAAGATATCAAATACCTAGACAGGAGGAAGTCTAGAGAAACAGTGTGGGGAAGCTGGGAGAACACATCCTTCATACAGAGTCAGGCTGACTGGCTCTGTTCCTTATTAGCCACGTGACCTTGGGCAAGTCATTCAACATTTCTGGATGCCCACCTTAGAAAGCCATAGGGTTGTTATGAGAATTCAATGCAGTGGAAAAGCGTGTGGAGCCTCCTGCAGGGTGCCTGGCACGTGGAATTGATTAGAATCATCCTATGGAATGTCAGGGCTAGAAGGAGCTTGAATGATGACCTCATCTCAGTGTCTTATTTCACAGACCAAGAAAACAGGGCCCAGAGAGAGGAAGTGACTTGCCCAAGGTCACATAGCAAAGTCACGGTGATGTTGGGTCTAGCACCCTCAGTTTATTTTGAAATCAAAGACCAAAACCTAACAATAGACCTGATCTTCCAAGCTGCGCAAGGGTGGAAGAAGCTTTTTCCAGGGTTCCAAAACTTAAGCTTTCTTTCTCCATTTAACAAGCAAAATTATGGTTATTTCTGTCCAGAAAAAAATACAAAAATTTTAAAAACAACATTAATACTAAAATCCCAGATCTTAACAAAAAGACACTGTTTTAAGCCTTATTTTTCCCGCCTTCTTCTCTCACTGTCTCCCCAACCCAAATATTTTGCAATAACAGTAATGCTGCGAGGAAAGAAAAAATAAAAATCTGATGCACTTAACAGATATTTCAGTGCACTAATGCATCACAGATGTTCATATCAAACTGTGCACGCGTGCATGTAATTTTACTGAGAAGGCTGTTGCATTTCTGATTTTGAATTTTTGGATCCCTAATGACCTCATCTGCCTAGGCTCCAGAATCCCACCCTTCCCATTTAGTCCAAGGCTGCCCAAGGGGATGGAGGAGAGATTTCATCGCCTCCCTACAAAATGATAACAGGACAAATTGGCATGATTGGACACTCTGGCAGGTGGTGAAGGGTATGGAGATTAGGGAACTAAGAGGAGTTCTGTTTTCTTTTGTTTGGGACTTGCTTTCTGCAGCTCTTTTGAGGAGCTGGACCAAAGAACAATTTTAAGAGTGGGCCCAGGCTGGTGATGGGTTGGGCACATTTTTGAAATAGAATTGGAGTCTGTTTGATCTTCAAACATGAGCTTTGGAGACTGTCAGCAGGCTCCCTCCCGGCCGATGAATGGCTCTCAGTAACTTTTCCTAAAACATAACCTCACACACACTTTCCAGCAAATGTTTTCACCCTACCAAAGCCATCATTTGGTTGAACAGGAGTGTCTCCCGACCCCAAAGAAAGATAGTTTTGTTGTTTTAAGAGAGACGGATTAAAGACAGGGGCTGCTTAGCCAGAGTTTGTGTGTGCTCCCTTCAGCCTTTGTCGGATTCCTCTGTGGTTGGTGCAAAGAGAGTGTTGAGAGTGATGGTGGATACCTCACCTCCCCATCCTAAAAAAGATATCGAGGCCAGACCTAGGCCTCTGAACAGAGAGGCCTCCCACAAACCTGCCTCCGAAATGAGATGGGCGGTGAGCGCCGGGGGTCCCGACACAGATAATATCAGCTCCCGAGGCTGGCAAGGGAAAAGTCACTTCAGAGGGAGAAAGCGGCTATGTTCAGAGGAATCAGCACTGGGCCATAGAATACACAGGATTTTCCCCCGTGGAGAAGGAGTCAGGCGTAGTCAGAACCCTGCAGGGCGTGACTAACTGCCCCAATACTCCTGCCACTGGGGCCCTCTGGGTAAGGACTCCACAATTATGGGAGAGCCAGCAGGAGAACCGACAAACCCGCCTTTCATTTGGCCGGCAAATCAATCTGGCTTCTTACCTCCCCAGGGACAATATTGCATTTCCCTTGGAAAAACAAAGGCCAGAGATCTTGGAAAGGGGATCAGTTTCTGCCGCTGTTTCCCTGGTGAAGAGCTTGCAACATCTCCGGAGGAGCAAGCAGGTCTGATTCCAATGGTAGTTTCTGGTCCAGCCAATTTATGAGGCTGTCTCCTTAATGGGCAGCACGTCTCTGAGCCATGCCTCACTCAGGAAATTGACCCAAGCCCCATCTTGGGGCCTCCTTGAAGGAGTCCCCATCCTGGGATTGACAGCCCCGTTCTCAAGGCACAGATGTGAACTCATTGTTCCCAGGGTCTCAGAGTTGAGTTTGGGGCCAGTGAGTAGCAAGTGACCTCTGCCCATGGAGAAGGGGCTTTTAATGACATTTTGCTCTATCAGATCTCTGGCAGCCAGAGACTTTAAACCTCTTAAGCCCCTCCCTTCTCTCCTACTTCTGAGGTTCAGAAATCAGGACTGTCAACCTTTAAGCGAACACGCTTCTCTGAAATTATTAACCTTAAAACTCTCCTGGCTGACTTTCTCCTGGCCTTAGCGAGGCGGTCCGAGGGTCACCTAGAGCTTTGCACAGAGCCGGGAAACTGATGGTGCTTAACCTCAAATGGCAAGCAGCACTCTACTGTCGCCAGGTCCCAGGCAACTCCTTGTTGGCTCAGCCCTGGGAGCCATGCCTTCCTCTTACTTTCTTGGGCACTGTCCACACACCAGCCTCAATACAGCCTCCAGGGCCTCAGGAAGGCCTGACACAAACCGGAAGCCCCCTCTTTTTGTTTTTGATCACTCTGATGCTCTGAGGGAAATTCTTTCTGCCCAGGCAAGCACAGCAGGTGAGGAGTGTACATCCCCAACATGTAATACTGCTGAAATAGAAGCAAACACGCAGACTCTTACCCCAAATTCCAGTATACGCCACTCTCAACTGATACCACCAGAGCAGCCAGGTGCTGCCTCGCTGCCCAGCAGAACCTCTCCTTCCAGAAAAAGGACCTGACTCTGGCTGCCTCCCCCTCCCCCTCGGAGAAGAAAGACAATCAGAGAAGAGGACCCAGGTACCCAGGGCTGTCAGCTCCGGGCTGGGGCACTGCATGCCTACCTGGGAGAAGTTGAGCCCGTTGTTGAGGGGATGGCACTGCTCCTCCACCTGCTCCACAGCCCCTGTGGTCTTCTTCATCTTCTCAGCCTGCTGGGCCAGGTAGAGGTCGAGCACGGGCACACCACGGAAGCGCACGTCCCTCTCTGTGAGCGAGTTTACCATGAGCATCACCCAGACGGGCCTCTTGCGCTCCCAGTTGCCCGCGATGGCATTGAATAGGTAGTCAGCATAGAGCCCCTTGCCCCGCTGAGCGGGCGTCATCCAGGAGGGCATCATCAACTTCACGTAGTCCAGGTGGCGCTTCAAGCGCCAGTAAAGCTCGTGGGGCAGCACGTCCTGCAGGTTTTCCCCGTGCGGCAGCAGCTGGCAGCTGGCCAGGGCCGAGATGGTGTAGGGGTCTGTAAGGTCCAGCTCAAAGTAGACACGGGTGCTAGCCTGGAAGGCTGCCTTGGAGTTGTCCGGGATGAAGTCCCAGACGCGGGTGTAGGGGACGTGAATAGTGCCAAACAGGTAGGCCGGAGGATCACGCCGAATCGTCCACAGGAAGGAGTTCAAGTCCCTCTGCTGCAGGAGTAGAGAAGAGGCAAGGCAGTGAGGCCGAAGGCAACAGAGTAGAGTCAGGGTAGCCCAGAGGCACGTTGCAGAGGGAGGTGGGGATGGGAGGCAGAGACCATACACAGGCCGTGGTAAAGAGCCAGGTCTTTGGAGCCTGAAAGACCCACATTGAAAACCTAGCTTTGCCCTGTCTTAGATGTATGATCTTGAGTGAATCATTTCACTTCCACAGGCTCAGTTTCCTCATCTGTAAAATGGGGGTGAAAGCAACTACCTCGGGTTGTTGGGAGGATTAAAAGATACAATATATGTATATTAAGCCCTCAGAGCAGTGCCAGGTACAGAGGAAGTCAGCAATGAAGGGAAACTCTCATGATTAGCGTTCCCTGTGAGTGCCAAGGACTGCCACACCACCTGAGAATATTCATGCTTGGCCAAGTCAAACCTTCACCGGTGGTGTTTCATGCGGAGGGTGGGGAAAGGAGGACCAAGAGTCCTGCTCTGGCAAGAAGGGAGGAAGTCATATAACTTTTAAATCCAACCATTAGAAGATATAAGCCAAGAGCACTTTGAAAGCAGAACACCTATTAAAAATAGCACACCTATTTAAACAGCTACTTCACATTCATCACGGTGAATACACTTTTCTTTTTGGAGGGCAGGTCTGGGGTGTCAGCTACTTTGCTCGACCAGCTGAGACCATAGATGAGAAAGTGCTTTAAAATCTTGCAAGGCCAAGTCAAGTTTCAGAATCTGGTTTGGGAGGAAAGGATTCCATTACAATTAGTCCCAAGAAATGTACATATTCTGGGTACTTTCCAGGCTCCTCCCCTAAAAATGTATACCTGATTTCCAACCCCAGTTGTTTGTCATTTTCTATGACCTAAGCTCCGACTTAGGGGAGTGTGTGTGCGTGTGTGTGTGTGTGTGTGCGCGTGTGTGTGTATGTAGGAGCTGAAGAGAGGCATGCAGACAGGGGTCCTTTCTACAGATCCAAGTCAGGGCTAGGCATAAAGGGCAAAGCCATTTTCCAACCAGAAAAATCCCTGGAGTGCCCACTGACCACTTGCAAGCTTTAGACCAACTCATAACACTTTTCTGCCTGATTCTGGCACAAATGAAAAGTATGTGTTGGGATGGGTGGGTTGTGGGAGAACAGTACCTTACTTTACTAACAACCCCAAACTGTTAATCCCAGCATGTTGGCGATAGACTGAGAGCCCAGTCAGCCAACGAGCTCCCTGTTTGTGCACAAGGCAGGCTGCTGGAGGTGCACCTTGCCCAAGGTCAGCGAATTCCGGGCTAACAGGCAGCACACCTACAGCAGCCAGACCCTATGGTCTCCTGGCCTCCAATTCAGGGTTACTGTCAATGCATTAATTTACACTTAGAGGGAAAGATACTGAAGGAAATAAAGAGGTTCTTTGTTTTGGAAGGAATATTAGGAGAACCAGTAATTACTCGACCCCAAGAAATATTAGGCCAGTATGTCCTGGCATTGCCTTTTCCTCTCCTCTGAAATCTTCCCTCTTTTCACGAAATATGGACGCTTGGGAGAGTAGGTGGTGGGAGCCTGGGCCGCAGAGATGGAGGTGAGAACGAGGAACAGGGAGAAAGTTTGTCTTAGGTCAGAGTGGGAGGGCAGGGAGAGAGAGGGAAGCCTGGGAGGGGGCAGAGTGTGTGAATGGGAGAGCAAAAGGGTTCGATGGAAGTCAAGAGAAGGGCAAGGAACGGTAGAAAAACACAGTCAGAAGCGGGCAGAGAGACCAGAAGGGTAAAGACAGAAAAAATATGAGAAAGGAGAGACAAAAAGGGGCAGAGAGAGAGGAGGCGTCCAAGCAGGACCACAAGTCAAGAGGAGAGCCCCAGAGCGGCAGCGTGTGGAGAAGGAACCGGAGAGGGAGCGCCCCTTCTCGCTCCTGGCTGGGAGCTGGAGCCGGGACAGGCAGGAGCGAAGGAAGGGCGCCCGAGGCTGCGCCCGGGGGGTGGAGGTGGAGCGGGCGGGCTAAGGTGGGTGCGGAAGCAGGACCCAAACCATGGTCCCACGGGACTAGAATACCCAGGCAGGCGGGAGAGTGGCCGGGCAGGCGCTCGCTCACCGATCCGGGCGGCCGGCACTGTCCTCCGTCCGGGGGCTGCGGGCGGGCGCGAGCGGTGGCGAGGAGGGCGGCGAGCAGCGGCCCCGCCAGGGCGGCGTGCATCCTGCCAGGGCCCGCGGGGCGCGGGGGACCCTCCTGGGCGGCGCCCCTCAGCGGGGCGGGGAGCCCCCAGTTGGGCACGGAGTTTCCTCTGGAGCACGGGGCTCCAGCCGCAGGATGCTGGGCGCCCTCTGGGGCGTGGCTGACTGTCCCTGTCGGACCTGGGGGTTTCTCTGGGGCCGGGCTCCGTCTGTTGGAAGAGGGAGACCCTCTAGGGCTGGGCCCCTCCCCCGGGCGCTCAACCTCGCTGGCCGAGCCCCCGGGTGCTGAGGGCGTGTTGGGGTCCGGGGGCGCGCGGGGTCCCGGAGCTGCGTCGCGGTCCAGGGGCGCGCGGGGTTCCTGGGGCAGAACCGAGAACCCGGGGTGCGCAAGGGTCCCGGGGTTATGCTGGGCACCCGGGGCACGCAAGGGTCCCAGGGGTGCGCGGCGCTCCAGGAGGCGCGCAGTGGGACAAGTGCGGCGGAAGGCGCGGCAGGGGTGGGGGGCGGCTCTGGGGCGACCGGCTGCCCCCGAGCCCGGCTCAGAGGGGCGGCGGGCGGCCGCGCGGCCGCTGCCCGGGCTCCGCCATGCTGCTCCGCGGCCGGGAGGGAGGGAGAGAGGAGGGCGGGAGAGCGGCGCGGAGCCGGGCCGGGCTGGGGGCTGGGGCCGCTGGGGCGGGGGAGGGGAGGACCTGGCGCGGGGGGCGGGGGGGCGAGGGGCCGGGGCCGCGCCGGGCCGGGCCGGGACGGGCCGGGCGGCAGGGAGTCAGGGCTAGCTCCGCGCCCGGGCGCGGCGAGGCGGGGTCTGATGGGCATGGCAGGCGCTCGCTCGCTCCTCTCTCGCTCCCTCGTTCGCTCCCTCACACGCGCGGAGGGAGGCGAAGCCCGCAGCAGCCACTTCCCAACTTTCCAAACTTCCCAGCGCAACTTTTTCCTCCCCTCCCCTGCCCGCGCCTCCTCCTCCCCCATCCCTCCTCCTTCCCTTCGCCAGGCGCGACCGGGCCGCAGCTTCCCCGTGCGGCCGCCAGAGGGCGCCCGGGCTAAGGACCCGCTCGGCCAACCTCCGCCGGCTCGGCGGCGGACGCGGACTGGTGGCAGCGACAGATTTGGGGACCAGCCTCGCCCAACGCATCCGTCCCGCAGATCCTGGCAGGAGCGAACAGCGAGAGGGACAGGAGTTGGACTGGGGAGGCAGCAATCACACAAAATTCAGAAAGCTGCTGTGTGCAACCTTATGTCACGCGTAGCTCTGGGATGCGCTTGGTAGATGCTCTGCAAACACCAAATGTAAAAGAAAAGAAAAGAAATCCTCAAAATTCCTTGGAATCTTCCATTTAAGTAATCCCCTCTTATCTATGTCCTTGGACCCACGCAGGATCCCTGTGTCTGTCTCTGGAAGAGTGAGAATTGATATCCCAGTTTCTTAGACCACAAGACTTGAAAGACCCCTTAAACCAACCTACCCTTCCTCAAGAGGCAAATGAGACTTAGAGAAGGCCAGAGCACAAGATCTAAGCTTCTGAGCCGTTTCCAGCAAATGAAGAAAGGGAGGCACAGGCACCCCTGCTTGGTTCTGTTAAAGGAGAGTTTGTCGTCTCTTCCTATCCTGACAACAAAGATTGACAGATGAATTAGGTCATACTGTCAGGAGCCCACAGCCTAGAGAAGGAGACAGACAGAGACAGATATGCAAAGACGCCATTAAAATACAGATGATGAGGGCCAGGAGAGACAGAAGCACAAGGAAATGGGAGCAGAGAGGAAGAGCTCCTAACACAGCTCAGAGGCCCAGGGAAGACGCCTGGGAGATGGTCTTGAAAAATAAGTCAGAGGTAGCTTAGAGAAGGAGGTGCACATGCCTTCCAAGCGGAGGAAGAGCAGGTGCCAAGGCGCAGCAGTGTGAGAGCACACCTGCAGGGGACTGCAAGCAGTTACCCATGGCTGCGGCAAAAAGCAAGTGGCAGGAGCTGAAGTTGTGTCTTCTGGCCAAGCTGGGGAGTCTGTCCGTTCTAGGTATCAGGTCATAGGAAGTCACTGCAAGATTTGAAGTTTAAGGTGGCTAGAGTAGATCTGTGCTCATCGGGGGCATGAATTGGAGGGGGCAAGTTGGAGGCAGGGAGACCAGTGGGCAGATAGTCAGTGAGGAGGGAGCCAGAGCCCAAGCCTCGGTCTCCTGACTCCCAGCCCAGTGTTCTCCCCACTTCTCCCACTCATGCCTGCAGGTACCAGATTGAGCAGCTAGAAAATGACCATACTAGAAGGCTGAGTGAGAAAGACCAAGCAGGGCTGGAGGGCCAGAAAGGTTTTCCAGAGCACAGGATCTGGGTGGTTGGGAGGAACACGGGAAGGAAAGAAGGGGACACCAGAGACTGGCAGGTTTACCCTCATGTGCACATGAAGTTGCCACTTTTGTAAGTTACAAGTGAATGCATGTTGGCAATTTCATATGGTTCAACTTACTGGGTGTCTGGAGCAACCTCAGCCTCTTAGCTACACACACACTTGGTGACAGACACCAAGCAGGCCAGAGTGCCCAGACGGTATGTATGAGAGCACAGGACAGCGCCATGCTTCCCACACACAGAGCTCTGAGACCTGCAGCTCTGACAAGAGATGTCCTTTAAAGAGTCTCCACTTTCCGGAGCTCCAAAACTCCCTACAAGGTCACCACTCTGCTGGTAAGGATGAGGGGAAGTGAGAACTGAATTCCACTGGAGGGAGGGTCATGGTTCTCATTGGAGAATTAGAAGACACAAGTCAGATAGTGGATAAGAAAGAGCCTGATCAATTTAAAACAATGATGTGTGTAAATATGTGTGTGGATTTAAAAAACCTTCCCCTGCTGTATTGTAAACAAAGTTTCCCTGGTATCTTTTTTCCTAAAATTATAAAAGTTTTGTTGGCTAATTTTCATGAGTGTCAGCTATGACTTCCTCCTCCATGGTACACGTGGTGACTGTGACCAAGGCAGGACAGTTAGCTTTTCTGTGCCTCTCTTTCCCCAGCCAGTTTCCTGTCCCCCTCACTTTCTGTGCGTCAATGTGTGCAATAATGTCTTAAGATCTTTACCAGTATTGTTACTGATATTCTTAAAGAGAAGCAAGAACAAATAGATTTTTCTGTTCCTAGATATATACCCAAGAGAACTGAGGACATTCATCGACACAAAAACTTCTACGTAAAGCCTGATAGCAGCATTATTTATTATAGCCAAAAGGTGGAAACAACCCAAGTGTTCATCAACTTATGAATAAATTAACAAAATGTGATATATAAAAATATCATATCATATGCTAAATATATACATTTAAAAAACATGTTATAGTCATATGATGGAATATTATTTGGCCATAAAACAAAATGAAGCACTGATACATGCTATTTCCAGGATAGGATAAATCAGTCTTGAAAACATTATGCCAAATGAAGCCAGTTGCAAGAGGACGTATATTATATTATTCCATTTATATGAAATGTTCAGAATAGGCAAATATATAGCAAGGCAGAAAGTAGAGTGGTGGTTGCCTAGGGCTAGGAAGAATGGGGGCAATCGTGGGGCCATAGCTGAAGAGTGCTGGGTTTCCTTTTGGAGTAATGAAAATATTCTAGAATGGTGATGGTTGCACAACTCTGTGAATATATTAAAAACCATTGAATTACATTTTAAATGGGTGGATTGTAGGGTATGTGAATTATATCTCCATAAAGCTGTTACCAAATAAATAAATAAGTTTGGGGCCTCAGGAGAGAGTGTTCCTCAAGACTCAAGAGCAAGGGTCTCAGTGTTTTCAAACCATTTTTTTCCTCCCACATCGTGTAGTGTGAGAAACCCTGGATGATGATAATCCTAAGTCCTGGAGACGTATCCTTCCTCTGCTAACATCTCACGAGGTAGCTTTGGGTAATTCACTTGTTCTCTCTGGACCTGAGTAGGAACTGAGGTTCCATGTCATCAGTATGAAGAAGTTTGTGGAGCAGGTCACCTTTAGGAGCCTCTATACATAACACTGGAATTCTGAGCCCCTTGGCCACAGCCTGCTTAGAGCCTTTAGGCAGGATGGAGAAGAGCACAGGGCTCAAGGGAGAGTCAGGGGACTCGTAGCTTGCCTCCTCTCCCCTGGGCACATTTGGCTCACTTTCCTTTTATTGCATTTTAATTAAGTTGTTCAATCAAATTGGTACCAGGAATTGAAGGCTGTAACAGTTAGGGCAGGAGCAGAAAGCCTTGTAGCGGAACTAAACCAACAAAGTCTGCCTCCTGAGCAGATCCAGGAGCCAGCCCAGTGCTGCTAAAGGGCATCTCTCAGGGAGGCAGAGGAGGGGCTCCCCTGCTCCAGTCCACTGAAAGGAGGAGCTTTGCTGTGGGCCTGAGGGCTGCCCTCCTGCAAGGCCATTGCCCTGGCCATTGGCCACACTGGCATTTTCAAATGGGCCTGGCCTGGCCTGACTTCCAGCTCTGACTCCTATCCCAGTCCTGCTCCTTCCTACCCACCCTCAGGCTCTATCTCCTCCACACCCTCTCCCCCAACTCCCTCACCTGGGTTGGCAGTTAATCCTTGATGATGGAAGGTCATGGGGTGTGGGAGGGAAGGACATGGGGCATGGGAGGGAAGGACAGCTGACTTTAGGACCAAGAGGTTGGCAGTTAAGACAGTCTAGAGTGGTGGAAAGAGCCAGAAAAAGGGCTGGGCACAGTGGCTCACACCTGTAATCCCAGCACTTTGGGGGGCCAAGGCAGACGAAACGTGAGGTCAGGAGTTTGAGACCAGCCTGGCCAATATGGTGAAAACCCGTCTCTACTAAAAATACAAATAATTAGCTGGGCGTACTGGCAGGCACCTGCAATCCCAGCTACTCAGGAGGCTGAGCAGGAGAACCTCTTGAACCCGGGAGGCGTAGGTTGCAGTGAGCCGAAATCACGCCACTGTACTCCAACCTGGGTGACAGAGAGAGACTCTGTCTCAAAAAAAAAAAAATTAAAAAAAAAAGAACCAGAAAAAGTGCAGAAACTAATTCAGAAAAGGGCATTTTCTCCTGGCAATGGGAAAATAGACACATAGTCACAAAAGTGCAACAAAGGATTAAAATTGCCATATAATATGGCATTCATTAAAAACAAAACCCCTACGTGGGCCTGCCCAGTGGGGGAGTAGAGAGTACATAGGAATCAGTCCAGGGTTTTGTTCCTAGGGAGCTTGCAATCCAGTGAGGAAGACAGAGATGCAAACAAACAGGGGGCTTTGGGAAACAAATAGAGGGGACAAAAGGAGCAACGAAGTCAGCCTTAGGAGAAAGGAGATCAGCAAAGGTCTTTGCTGAGAAGGTCATGTTTCAGTTGATTTTTAAAGATGAGCAGGAGTTGGACAGGGAATAGGAAGAAGGGAAGGTCAGGCAGTGGGAACTGAATGTGCTAAGACATGGGACTGCAATTGCTTGGCACATACAGGGATTGTCAACAATGAAGGCGGAGAGGAGAGGCAGAATGGAGGAGAACTACTGGGGAGACTCAGAAATCAGACTGTACCAGGAAGGACTATGCATTATCTTGGAAATCCCTTCATCCTGCCATTCAGAGGAGATAATCCCCTGAGCTTGCTCTGCATAAATTGTGGGTGCTGGTTGAGGGTGGCTGACCTGCCAGGTACCAGACGGGCTGTGTGCAGCCTCAGGGATATAATAGCAATGAGAGGCATTGGCTGTGTTAACTCACAAATATTTACTGGGTCCCCATATGAATTGTGGTGTCTTAGGCAGGAAGGAATATAGTCCTGCCCTCTGGATACTTGCCATTTCTGAACAAGACAAAACATGGGTAGGTGGTAAGTTAAGATGCATTTATGTGAATAGTGCTGCGATGAATATGGTAGGTATAGATATCTCTGGATCATGCTGTTTTCATTTCCTATAGATATATACCCAGAAGTGGGATTGCTGGATCAAATGGTAGTCCTATTTCTAATTTTTTGAAGAGCATTCATTCTGTTTTTCATAATGGCTTTACCAATTTACATTCTTACCGACAGTATAGACGGACTGGTCAAAAGTATAAATTTTCAGTTATATGATGAATAAGTTCTGGGAATCTAATATACAGCAAGTGTGGTGACGGATGTGTTTTTTACTTTGATTTTAATAATCATTACATAATATATACATATATTAAATTATCACTTTGTATACCTTGAATATATACAATCTTCTTTTTTTTTTGAGATGGAGTTTCCCTCTTGTTGCTCAGGCTGGAGTGCAGTGGCGCAATCTCGGCTCACTGCAACCTACGCCTCCCAGGTTCAAGCAATTCTCCTGCCTCAGCCTCCTGAGTAGCTGGGATTACAGGTGCCTGCCACCACGCCCAGCTAAGTTTTTGTATTTTTAGTAGAGATGGGGTTCACCATGTTGGCCAGGCTGGTCTCGAACTCATGACCTCAGGTGATCTGCCTGCTTTGGCCTCCCAAAGTACTGAGATTACAGGCATGAGCCACAGCGCCTGGCCAGACTTTACAATCTTTATTTGTCAATTAAATATTTTTAAAGAGAAAAAGAGTTAGAAATCACCACCCACCCACTCGCATGCATGGAAGGGCCAGGGGAGTGGTGCAGTATTGTAAAAGTCCAGGCAAAGTCAGTGAGCTGAAGACTCTCACCTTCGTATAGAACTACTAAATGATCCTGGCGGAGGCAGGATTTGAATTAGGCTATAAAGGAAAAGTAGGATTTAAATCGATGTAAAGGGCCTTGCTTGCATTCCAGATAATGGGAATGAGGAAAGTGAAAGGGCCAACATGGGGTAGGGAAAAGAAGGTTCTGGTTAGAGTAGAAGGGGTGAATATTGAGATAGCAGGCTGAAGTCGGGACTGGGCTGGGGTGCAGTTTGGCCATGAAGGAGGAAAAGGAGCTGGGGGTTATTGCAGACCAATTCTGTGAAAGACCCTGTATCTAAAGGATTGTAATGATGTTGTGAGACAGATATTTTTATCCCCATTTTAAAGATGAGGAAACTGGGTCTCAGAGGGGAGGCATGACACATTCAAGTCATATAGCTGATAATTAGAAGAACTGGACTGTCTAGCTCTTTCCACTAAAGCATTTGCTTCCTTTAAGACATGAATGGGAAGGTAGCACAGATAGCACAGGCCAGATGGTATGGCTAGTAAACACACACACACACACACACACACACACCACACACACACTGGGGGGCACATACATACCAAATATGGCAATTCCTGTGCTGTGGCTCCCAATCTAATTAGTGGGATGATTGCCATTTAGGAGACTTTTGCCTTTCACTTTAGCCCAAGCTGTGTGAGGCTCCACTCCTCTATTTGGGATTCAATAGGAGTATGGAAAGGGAAAAAAGAAATGTGATGCTTGAAACAAAATACCCCGTCGAGCTGACCACTAAATAGCACTTAGACCCCAAGTATACACACAGCTGCTTTATGTAATGAAGGCTGTGGACCATGTTCCTGGATATAAAATAACAAACCACATATAAAGTTTTATGTTGCTGTGTAATTAGCACAGATCTGTGAGTGAGCATGCAGGCCCGGGTGAGGGGAGGGGTGCTTAGGCCCCGGGCAATGAGCTGTGGAGGAAAGAGCATGCACGGTGGAGCCCAGAAGACAAGAGTTTGAATTCCTGCTCCACCACTTTGTAGCCCTTTGACCTTGGGCAAGTTATTTAAACACTGTAAGCTTCCAATTTCACACCTGTCAAGGGAGGCAAAGCGCATGTCTTATAGCAGTGGTTTTGCCCTCATCCTGGCCTCCAGAGGCATCTGACAATGTCTAAAGACACTTTTGTTTGTCATAACTTGGAAGGTGCTACTGGCATCTAGTGGGTGGAGGCCAGGATGCTGCCCCCACCCTACCCTCACAACAAAGAATTATCCTGCCCAAAATGCGAATCCTGCCAAGATTGAGAAACCTTGCCTTCTAGGTTGCTATGTGATGACATAATAATTACAAACTTTTACTGAGCATTAACTATATGTCAGGCACTGTTCTATCACTAAAGTGTGTCAACCTGTATCTGTTAATAGCAAAGCTAGGAGGGTGGTACTACCATTATCCTCATTCTCTAGATAAGGAAACTGAAGCACAGAGAGAAAACATGCCCCAAATCACACACCTAGTAAGTGATGGAACCAAGGCAGTGTGCCCGGGTTTGAAGCAAAGCAGTGGCATGAACTCATGTGTGTCTACTTCAGTGTCTGGAACGTGGTGGTGATGGTGACTTCTCCACCTCTAGAGTGGGAGGATTCATTCATCCATTCATGCAACATATATGCATTGAGAGCTTAATCACAGCGTGGTGATAAAGAATTGGTTGACAAGATAGGCAAGGTCCTTGCTCACACAACTTATTTTCTAGGTGAGAAGAAAAATTATAAACAAGCAAATCAATAAAAATGGAGATAATGTAAGTGATAGAGAATGTCTGGTGAGTGTTGAGAAGGAGTCTGCCATGAGAAGATATGGGGGAAGAGCATGTCCAGCAGAGAGAACAGGCTGGGAAAAGGCCCAGAGGTGGGGAGGCACCTTGGTCAGTTCAGGAAATAGAGAGAAGTCCAGTGAACCTGGACCTAGGTCATGAGGGAGGAAATTCTGTTTGTTTGTTTGTTTTTGAGACAGGGTCTCACTCCATTGCCCAGGCGGTAGTGTAGTGGCACGATCTCCGCTCATGGCAGCCTCCGCCTCCTGGGTTCAAGCGATTCTCCTATGAGGGAGGAAATTCCAAGAGATGACATTAGAGAGATAGGAGGGGCCAGGTGGAGTAAGACTTTGTAGGTCAAGGTAAGGAGTTTGAATTCCAGCTTTGCTGAGAAGCTATAGGAGGGTTTTGAAGAAGGGTAACAGGATCCGATTTACATTTGTAAAAGAGCATTCAGATTTTGATGTGGGGGATGATGAGGCCAACACATGGGGAGTTCAGGGAGTGATTCAGTAAGGACGCTAGGGCAGTAGTTAAAGGGTATGATGATAGTGCCTTGGCCCAGGGTGATTGTAGTGAAACTGGAGGACAGTGAGCAAATGTGGTTCACATACAGTGACTGTTTTGTGGCATACATCATGTGAGAGGGAAAGAAAGAGAGGAATCAAAGGTGACGCTGAAGTTTTTATCTTGAGCAACTGGCTCCATCAGCTGAGATAGGGAGGCCTGAGGGAGGAGCAGGGGTTGGAGGGAGTGGAGGGAAGGTATCAAGAGGCCACCATTAGGTCATGTTAAGCAAGAGCTGCTTGCTAGGATCCAAGTAGAGGTGTGAAGAAAACAGCTTATAAGTGAGCCTGGGGCTCAGGGCAGCAGTCTGGGCTGGAAGAATAAATGTAGTATCCATTGCACAAAGATGATATTTGAAGCCAAGGTGCTGTTAAAGAGAGGGAGAGAATGGAAGAAGGCCTAGGTGTAAGTCAGGGAACTCATTCATTTCAAGTTTGAAAGAGAAGCATTCATCAAAAGAGACAGAAGTAGGAGAAAAACCAGGAGAGAGAGGTATCAAGACATCCAACAAAATAAAACAAAACAGGGAAGTGACCATTAAATTTGACCACAGGAGGCTGACATGAGACATTTCAGTGAACTCTTGGGGATGCAAGCTCAAGTGAAATAGGTTGAAGACAGAGAGTTGAGCAAGTGGAGACAGCCACTACAGGGAACTCTTTCTAGGAATTTTATGGTAAAGGGTAAAGAAATGGAGTGGAGTAAGAACAAGGGTCAATGGTGAAACTATTAAAAATATGAGTCATATATGTATTTGCAAGCCAATGTGAAGGATCTGGCAGAGAGAAGGGAACTTCTGATCCCAGAGAGAGAGGGGTTCACGGGAGACATCCTTGAGAAGTACTAGAGCAGCAAGAGGCTTGGGATCCAGAGAGAATGGAGTGGCTAATTCTTTTTTTTTTTTTTTTTTTTGAGATGGAGTCTCACTCTGTCGCCCAGGCTGGAGTACAGTGACACGATCTTGGCTCACTGCAGCCTCTGCCTCCTGGGTTCAAGCGATTCTCCTGCCTCAGCCTCCCAAGCAGCTGAGACTATAGGCATGTGCCACCATGCCCAGATAATTTTTGTATTTTTAGTACAGACGGGGTTTCACCACATTGGCCAGGGTGGTCTTGATCTCTTGACTTCTTGACCTCGTGATCCTCCCGATTCGGCCTCCCAAAGTGCTGGGATTACAGGCGTGAGCCATTGCACCTGGCCCTGGAGTGGCTAATTCTTGTTAGGACATTTCATCTGTGATTATAGGAGAGAAGGCCTCAAGCATGTGAATGATGTAGGTGGTCTGGTGGCTAGATAATGCTGTTCTGGGAGAATGATTTCCACTTTCTCAGAGAGGAAGATCTGAGCTCTGACCTGAGCCACTGGTCAGCTCCTAGCCCTGACCGTTGATACAGACTGAGCCAGTCCTGGCGCCAGACTGAGCTCTTCTTGTAGACTGAATGTCTAGTTCTGTCCAGACACCTCCCTTTGTTGATAAGAAAGAAGCTGGGAAAGCTTCTTTCACTATGGTGACTCAGCATAACCCATCTCTACAGCTGAAGAGAAAACTTGAAGCAAAGCCAGGCTCAGCAGGACCTGGATAGGTCCACAGATGAAAGGGAATTCCCCAAACTTGTCAGAGGAGGGGTTGGTAAGAGTAGAACCACTGATGGGGCATGTCATGACCAGATAGAGCCAAGAACAGGAGGTTATCGAAATGGACCAAAAGTTGGGATTCATTAGAAGGAAAGGCCCAGACTGAAGTAGGAATGGAAAATGAATGAGACTGGCCATGAGGACATGCAAGCAGATCTGAATGAAGTGGGTTGGGTGGAGTTATGGGTGATCCAGCTAAATCTCAGACTGCTAAGTGCTCTTCAGTGTTTTCCTTCTTTGTGGACTCTTGCAGGGCCAATGTGGTCTACGCAAATAGATTTACACATTTATATGGTGATCGAGAGTTTATAACTGTAAAACATATGCTGTGTAAGAAAAGGCTTTGGCCAGGCACAGACTCACGTCTGTAATCCCAGCTCTTTGGAAGGCTGAGATGGGCAGATTGATTGAGACCAAGAGTTTGAGACCAGCCTGGGCAACATGGTGAAACCCCATCTCTTCAAAAAATAAAAAAAAATTAGCTGGGCATGGTGGCAAACACTTGTAGTTCCAGCTACTTGGGAGGTTGAGGTGGGAGGATGGCTTGAGCCCAGGAGGCAGAGGTTGCAGTGAGCCAAGATCATGCCATTTCACTCCAGCCTAGGCAACAGAGTGAGACCTTGTCTCAAAAAAAAAAAGAAAAAAGAAAGAAAGAAAAGAAAGCCTTTACTACCATTAGTAGTGGATTGGATTGGGTTGGATTCTCCGCTCCCATTTTATGTTTGAAAGCCCTTTTGGTCAGTCTTATCAAGCAGTTGTCTGGACACTGCTTATGATATTTAGTGACAAGAAGCTCACTAAAGGCTTCACTTAAGGCCTAGCTTAATCTCTCCAGACCTCAATTTCCTCTTCTGCAAAGTGAGGAACAACAGTAATGTGTATCTTACAGCTTTGTTGTGGGAATCAAGTTAGATAATGAATGTGAATGCACTTTGTGTACTGTAAAGGGCTGTGAATATTACTTCTGTCATCATTATTAACAATACTAAGAAAAAGAAGAGGCCTCAAAAATATTTCCTGTACTACTTTCAAGTTCTCTTAAAAAGTCATGAAAGGGCCTGCATCACCTTCAACATGGATGCCCTGTGGAAGGAGCCATGGAAGTCTGTGTCATGGTGGCACCCGGGGCCACTGCATGGAGCAGGTGGGCAGGTTGCACTTCGCAGGAGGGGGCTCTGTTAAGGAGGTGAGTGGTAGTAAAATCCAGCCAGCACTCCGCTTGTCCAGCCTTGTGCCCTGGCAAGGAGCTGCATCTACAGTGATTCCACCAGGCACCATATAGGCTAGCACCCACCGGCATGCTTCCTAAAATGTTTAGGTTTGCTTGACCTTTAATTAGCAAATCCATTCATGGAGAATCAGATGAATTTCTGATCTTCAGCCATTGGAATTTTATGATGACTTTTCCATCCCTATACCCAGCCTGCTCTTTCCTCTACTTGAATGCCTTGCTTTCCTCTCAAACTCATTATGTCCAAATTCATACAACCATTTTTCTCAGTTGAGAGTTTGGGCTGGATACTCTACTCCCATTTTATGTTTGAAAGCCCTTTTCTTGAATCTTATCAAGTAGTTGTCTTGACACTGCTTATGACATTTAGTGCCAAGAAGCTCACTACAGCCTCAGATAGCTGATGCTGCTTTGAAGCAGCTCTTCACATTCAGAAACTTCTATCTACTGAGTCCACACCCGCCTACCTGGAGCTTATACCCACTAGTCCCTGGTTCCTGCCCTTGGGACCACATGGAACAAATCTCTATCTTCTTCACGACAGCTGTTCATTGATTTGGATAGAGGGATCGAGTTACCCTGTGTCTTACTGCTATTTTTTCCATTTCTTATATAAAAGCTTTTGCTTCTTTTCACTCTCCTGTCCACTAAGAAAATTCTTTGTGTCTAGAAATGGCACCAATAATTTATAGTTTTTTTCATTCATCGATTTACTAACTCATTCATCCAACATCTATGTGCCCTGGGATCCAAGGCTAAGAGAGATGAAGTGATTTGTCCAGGGTCTTACAGCTCTTAAGCTTTTCTCTGACCCAGATCCATGTTATTTCACTAATACACTGCCTTTATGTAGAAGCTGTAGCCCTGGAGTCCAGGAAACTTCTGAAGTGGCAGAAGCTTTTGCAGACTCACCAACTTAATTGATTCTTTTGTTGTTGTAATTTTTAGTTTAGCTTAGTTTTTTGCCTCTGAGCTTTTTAGTAATCTATCTGTAGTATTTAGCATTCCCATCTCTTTCTCCCCTTCTCAAATCAGCAGCTTAGCCAGGCACAGTGGTTCATACCTGTAATCTTTGGGAGGTCACTTTGGGAGGCCAATCAAGGTGGAAGGATGGCTCAAGCCCAGGTGTTTGAGACCAGCCTGGGCAACATAGGGAGACCCTGTCTCTACAAAAAATTAAAAAATTCACTGGGCATGGTGGTGCACACCTGTGGTCCTAACAACTGAGGAGGCTGAGGTGAGAGGTTCGCTTGAGCCTGAGAGGTCGAGGCTGCGGTGATCCATGATTGCACCACTGCACTCCAGCCTGGGCAACAGAACGAGAAGTGAAAAAAAAAAAAGGGAAAGGAAAAGAAAAAAAAATCAACAGCTCCTGGTCTAACCTATTCAATATAAACTATTTTCTCACAGTTCTAGATCTCTTTTCCAGTAATGTTATAGATGGAAATCACCATTTCTAGCTATAACATAAAGCATTAGCCCAGGAGTAGAGAAACATGAGTCTTTAAGAGAGTGAATTCAAAAAATTCTCACATATACAGGGAACAAGTGTGGTTAGACAGACGCTTCATGAGAGTAGAGACCATGTCAGGGTTTTTCATTTTGCATTGTGTGTAGCTCATATTCATAATAGCTGCTACTGCTAGCTGCTATGACTAATTGCTAATATATTGGAGCACTAATTATATGACAGGCATTTAACAATGTATGGGAGTTCCAGTTGTTCGCCTCCTCACAAATACTCGGTCTTGCCAGATTTTGTAATTACAGCCATCCCAGTGAGTGTGAAGTGGCATCTTACTGTGATTGTAATATGTCTTTTTCTTTTCTTTTTGTTTTTTTGTTTTTTGTAACAGGGTCTTGCTCTGTCATTCAGGCTGGAGTGCACTGGTGCCATCTCAGCTCACTGAAAGGGGCTCCTCATGGGCTCAAGGGATCCTCCCACCTCAGCCTCCTGCATAGCTGGGACCACAGGCTTGGACCACAGGCTTGCACCACCACACCCAGCTAATTTTTTAGTTTTTAGTAGAAATGAGATCTTGCTACGTTGCTCAGGCTGGTCTTGAACTCTTGGGCTCAAGCGATCCTCCTGCCTTGACCTCCCAAGGTGCTGGGATTACAGGCATGAGTTACTGTGCCTGGCCACTAATGATTAATGGTGTTGAGCATGTTTTCATATACTTATTTGCCATTCTTACATTTTATTTGGTGAAGCCTTTGTTCAAATCTTTTGCACATTTATATTGGGCTGTTTGGCTTTTTATTTTTGAGTTGTGATAGTTCTTCACGTATTTTGTATGCAAGTGGTTTGTGAAACATAGTTTTGCAAATATTTTCTCATGGCTTGTGTTTTTATTTTCTTAACGGTGTCTTTTGGACAGCAAATATTTTAATTTTGAAGAAATCCAAATTATCAATGGTCTTCTTTAATAATTTGTTCATTTTTTCTTCTGTTTAAAAAATCTTGGCCTAACCCAAGGTCACTAAGATTTTCTCTCCTTTGTTTTATTCTAGAATTTTTATAGTTTTAGGTTTTCCACTTCGGTCAGTGATCAGTTTTTACTTGGACCTTGTATGAGTTGTGAGATAAGGACCACGGGCAAGGGTGCCGCTGCTTCTTTTCCTCTTCGTCCTACTACTCCCTCCACCTCTCCCCTTGTTCCTCTTCCTTCTCCTCTTCCTCATCTCCTTCTTTTCTTTCCTCCTCCTTCTCACCTTCTTTTCCCCACTTCTTCCTCTTTCTTCTCATCTTCCTCCTCGTCATTCCCCCTTCCTTTTCTTTCTCTCTCTCTTTTCCTTTTTGCTAATGGATATATCTATGTCCCAACACCATTTGCTTTTTTTGTTTTTTTCACAGCATCTGGAAAAAAAATCTTTAATTTCCCTCTTTCTACAGCCCCTTGTAGCCTGGGAACAAAGACCATCAATTCTGAGATTTGTGAGGCAAATCTAGACCCTTCATTGGTTGCCTATATTTTGGATGAGTGGAGAATTCCATCCGTCGGGGCATTTGCTGCATCACAGCAGTTGCTGAATTTTCTTTAGGCAACAGAAGAACACTGTCTACCAAAGCTGGCAGTCCCTGAATAGCCTGAGTCCAGGGGAAACAGAGATGGATCTTCTGGTCACTTGGGAGTGAACTCGGCGTGGAATCTGTAACAGTGGATATGATGTAAGTCATTGGTGGGCTGGGTGATTACAAGCTTTGCTTTCACTTGAAGGTTAAGGGGATTCAGCACCCCATGATGTTTTAGTTTACTACATATTTGCCTGACAACATTTATTGAAAGATTACCCTTTCTGTATAGAATTGCCTTGGTACCTTTATCAAAAATCAATTATCATTTTTGTGTGAGTCTGTTTTTGGACTCTGTTCTGTGCCATTGGTAGATATATCTACATTTACAGCAACATCACACTGTATTACTATAGTTTTATACTTAGTCATGAAACCAGGTATTAAGTCTCTAATTTTGTTCTTCATCTTTGATATAGTTTGGACATTTGTCCCTGTGTAAATCTTGAGTTGAATTATAATCCCTAATGTTGGAGGTAGGACCTGGTGGGAGGCGTTCGGATCATGGGGGCTGATCTCTCAATAATGGCTTGGGCCATCCCCTTGGTGATAGGAGAGCTCTCGCTCTGAGTTCACATGAGATCTGGTCATTTAAAAGCATATGGTACCTCCCTTCTACTCTCTCTCTCTTTCTCTCTCTCTTACTCCTGCTTTCACTATGTGAAGTGCCTGCTCCTGCTTCACCTTCCTCCATGAGTGAAAGCTCCCTGAGGCCTCTCCACAAGCAGATGCCTGTATGCTTTCTGTACTGCCTGCAGAACTGTGAGCCAGTTGAACCTCTTTTCTTATAAATTACCCAGTCTCAGGTATTGCTTTATAGCATTTGTTTGGCTATCAAATTATTTGTATTTTCATATAAATTTTAAAATCAACTTTCTGCAAAAAGTCTCCTGGGATTTTGATAGATATGGTCATGATCTCTAGATCAATCAGGGGAGAATTTACATCTTAATAATATTGAGTCTTATAATCCATAGGCATGGTTTATCTCTGTTTAGATTTTCTGAAACTTCTCTCAGCAATATTTTGAGTTATTCAGTGTACATATCTGTACACCTTTCGTAAAAGCTTTTCCAAAGCATTTCATGATTTTTAATGCTCTTAGAAATAGTATTTAAAATTTTTCAACTTACAACAATTCCTTGAAAGTATGTAAAATACAGTTAAAAGTTGTATGTTATTCTTGGTTTCTATAACCTTGCATTTTCTGCATCTGTTGAAATGATCAAATGGATCTGTAAATAAATCCCCTCTTCTTACTCTTGCTGCTAGTAATCTGACTCTTCTATTTTTTGTTTTTCCTGGTCAATCTGGTCAGAGGTTTATCAAATTTATATCTTCCCAAATAACAAGCTTGGGCTTTACTGATGTTCTCCATAATTTTTCTCCATTCTATTTCCCCGTTTTCTGTTTTAATTTTCGTAATTTCCTTCCTTTTCTGCTTGCTTTGGTTTTAGTTTTCCCTCCTTGTTCTCAAGTTTTAAGATGTAAACTCAGGTCATTAATTATCCTTTCTTTATTTCTAATATATGCCTTTAATTCTACATATTTTTCTTTATCTGCATTTCATAGATTTTGGTATTTGTTTTTTCATTTTGATTTAATTAAAAATACTTTGTAATTTCATTTCTGATTTCTTCTTTGTCCCATGGGCTATTTAGAAATGCATTGTTTAATTTGCAAATTATTGGTTGTGTTCCAGATTTCTTCCTGTTATTCATTTCTAATTTAATTATCTTGTAGTCAGAGAACATACTTTGTATGATTTTTATCTTTTTGAATTTATTGAGACTTGTCCTATGGCACTGAATAAGATTTATCTTAATAGATGTTCTGTGGACCCATGAAAAGAATGTTTATCTGTTGTTTGGTGAAATGTTCTACAAATGCCAATGACATCAAGTTGATTATAATGTTTTTCAGGTTATCTTAATCTTATTTTTTGTCTACCTAGTCTATCAATTATTAAGAGAGGAGTGTTGAAGTCCCAAGTATGATTCTGGAGTTGTCTATTTTTCCTTTCGCTTCTGTGAGTTTTTGCTTCATGTTCTTAGAAACTCTACTATTAGATACATATACATTTTGGTCATGTCCTCTTGATTAATTGAACCCTTCATCATTATGAAATGACCTTTTTTATCTATGGCAAGATTTCTTGCTCTGAAGTCTATTTTGTCTGATATTAATAAATCTATAACCACTTTATTTAGATTAGTGTTAGCATCGTATATCTTTTTTCCATGTCTTGCTTATAACCTACTGTGTCTTTACATTTAAAATGGATTTCTTGTAGGCACCATGTAGTTGCATCTGCTTTTTTGTTCCAATTTGACAATTTTTTTAATTTAATGTGATTATGGGTCTGCTTGAGTTTAAATCTACCATTTTGCTGTCTGTTTTCTATTTGTTCCGTTTAGATTAACTGACTATTTCTTGTGATTTCATTTTCTTTTATAACCTTGGTAGCTTTTTCCCTCCTCTCGTCTTCTTCCTCCTTCTCATCTTCCCCCTTGTTCTTCTCCTTCTCTGCTTTCTACTTCCCCTTACCTATATCCTCCTTTTCTTTTTAAATAAATTGTTGCTTCATGGTCTATTGTGCACATGCCCCGGTTAGTGGCAGAAGTTAGTCTCTCTCTCTCCTTCTGTCTCTCTTTATTTATTCTCTTTTATTCTCATATCTCTTTCCCTTTCTCCTCACCACACAGGCAACAATTACGTTTAATGCATTTTTTTGTTTGTATATGTCCTTGCAAATATGTATACCTATTTTGTGTGCATATATTTTTAATTTAGATAAATGATGTTGTGTAATTAGTCTGACTCTGTTCTTTTCTTTTGCATCAAAGACTATACTCTTAACAATCAATTTATTTCTTCTGACTGCTATGTAACACTCAGTAGTAGTATTTCACATGTTTTACCTGTCTACTCTCTGAGTGATGATCTTTCAGGTTGCCTACAACTCCCTGACTCCAGAAATAATTCTCTTATACACGTAGATTGGCTTTTTTAGGGAATGCATATCCCAGAGTGTAATAGCTAACTTATAGACTATGCATATACCTAATTGGACATAGTGGTGGGGGATGGCTCCACCACTAGAATGGCTCCACCACTCAATAATCCTGCTATATGAGAGTTTCCTATATCCTTGCAAATCTTATTGTTTATCCAGCTTTCTAATTTTTATTGGTATAAATTACATAAGGGACATTTCTCTGGCTACTAATAATTTTGAGCAACTCTCCTAATACTTTTCCTCTTTTTGAGTTTCCTCTTTTTAAAATTACCTATGCACAAATATCCTTTGCTCACTTTTCTCATGGCTTTTCTCTTTTTCTTGTTGATTCGTAGCAGTTTTTGTATCTTTTCAATGTTAATCCCGTGCCAATTTCAGATGTTGCGAATACCTTCTATTATTTATTTTATTTATTTATTTTCTCCATAGAGCCCTTCATTGGATAGAAATCTTCTAAAAATATAATGGAGTAATATTTATCTTTTCCCACATTGTTTGTGCTTTTAATGTTTTTTGTGTGAAATTATTCCTCATATCTAAGTCATAAAGATAAACTTCAACGTATTCTATTAACTTTAAATTTTTTAGATCTTCTATTAACTTTATCATTCTTCTGATAACTTTATTTTTTCTTTCACATTTGTGTTTTTAATCCATATAATATCACTTTTGTATATGATATTAAGTAAGAGATCCAGTTTTCCTCTTCTACATATGGTGAACTAATTTTCCAACATGACACACTTAATTTGTAGTGACTGGATTCGTCATATTCTATTGTATGTGAAGTTATTTTATATATGTATCTGTGAGCATCCTAGCAGGACACAGAATGCAAGCTGAAGTGGGGTGACGGAGGAGAACTTAATGAAGGACTCCCAGGTTAAGGACACCAACAAGGATGGGTAGGATACTCAGTAGCAACAGTGGGGAAGTCTTATCTTCCATCCTCCAGCTCCTACCCACCAAGTATGAACAAGCCGTTGAAGGGAGTGGCTATCAAACCCAGAAAAAGCTGTAGCTGGTGTTCTGGTCTTGGGCATATGAGTGCAACCTGGCAGGGGAGAGCTAGGGCGTAACTACCCTCTAACTCCTTTTCTCTCCAGCCTCCCTCCGGTGACTCTCTTTGGCCAAACTCAATAGGGGATCACAGGGCAAGTAAGTATGGTTAATGCAATGCAGGGAGGCCAGTCTCTCATATGAAGCTAGAGAAGGGTGGAGAAAGGATGTGGAGGGGCAAACCTAGAGTATCCAGTGCAATATATGTGAGAGTGTGAGGATGTGTCTCTGTGGCTCTCTGTTCTGTGACAGTGACTCTATCTGTTATTGGCCATTATTACAGTGTGTTTATTATCTTGCTTTTGTAGCATGTTGATATCTGGAAGAGTGAGGTTTTCTTCTTTTCTTTTTTCTTTATTACGATTTAACATTTTTAGGTTAACTCCATTTGAATTCCTCCGTGTACATTTTAGAGTAAGTGTATTGCATCCTCAAGAAATCAACTGATATTTTGATTGGCTTCATATTATATGTTTATATTGATTTTGGAGAAGGGGCATGTTTTTAATATTAAGTCAGCTCAATCATGCACAGGAATGTCTCTCTACTTATTCACACAATCTTCTATGCCTTATGTTAGTGTTATACTCTTCTACATAGAGATCTATTGTATTCTTGGTTACATTAATTCCTAGATAATTGGTTAAATTAACCACTTATCTTGTATCTTGTTTTCTTGGTTAAATTAATTTCTAGATTAATTAATTCCTAGATTAATTCTTAGATTTCTACATTGTGGATACTATAAATCGTGCACATATTTAGTGAATGCCTTCTATGTGCAGGCCCTATGCCTGGTGCTATGGATACAGTAGTGAGCGTGACATGGTCCCTGGTTTCGTAGACCCGACACTGCAAAGACAGACATCACACATTTAAACAGACAAATATATGACCACACGTTGTGTTGAGAGCTCTGAAACAAAGGCCCAGCTTTCGTTCCTGGCCTTCTGCCTTTTCTGTGTCATTTCTCAGTGCTCTGTGTCACTACTCTTACAAAGATCCAGGCCAGATGTCAGGAGACAGGATTTCCAGCCCCAAATCTGATTCTGTCTGGCCAGTTTGTTCATCTTTAGAATGAAGGGTTGGACTAGTCCGTCTTTTAGGGCTCTTTAGCAGCATCCATCTTCCTCCCTCCCTCCTGCCCTGACTTTCTTCTTCCATGATTGAGTGTGAAAGAAAGAACAGTAGTACCTGGGGAAGGGAAACTGCTCTGTCTTGTTTTAAGTGCTATGGGGATACTCAGCTGTTAAAGTGCCCACCACCGTAGAACGTGCAGGTGTGGATCTTAGGAGGCTTCCATGCTAGAAGTGTACAATTCAGGGATACCACTTGAAGTCCTGATGTGAATGAGAGAACTTAGAAAGAATGTATACAGAAGAAGAGTAGGACTAAGAATAGACCCTGAGGAGCTGAGCCATTTAAAGTAAAGTAAGAAGGGAGGAGGGTCCTTCAGAGGAAACTTGCCACAGGATCAGCATTACAGGGAAAAAAGTTTTACATCTCCTATGAAGGCACTTTGGAAGCTTAATTAATGACCATAATCAATCTTTTAGAATCCTTTTTACATCACTCTTACTCTGGAGAAAAAAAAAGCTCGTCAAATTGATGACCTTCTGTGATTTCAAAAGTATAGCACTTATTTTTAATGAGTTTGTTTCTAAGATGTTAGAGCGAGCAACCTTATTGGTAGTTGCCTCCATTTCCCCATTTATAAAATGGCCATAATGAGACTTACTTGATGAGGTTGTGGTGAGGGTGAAACTGGATTCTGGGAAAGTAAGAAATTTCTGCAGAATTAGGAAATCCTACTGTTATTCTTTATGATAGTACCAAGGGTTAAATTTGCTTTCTGTCTTTGACCTTTTTTCCCCATTCTGTGACTAACTTTTTTGTAAACTAATGTTCATTCCATTCTCATATATCTCTTCTGTCCCAGTTTCTCTGGGTTCCCCACGCCCAGCAGTTGGGAGGTCAGAAAGATACCATCTGCTGATTAATAAACAGACATGTATTCCTTCCTAAGTTGATTGAATCAGGGTGTCTCTTGACCCTAATTCTGGATGTTCATACATTCCACCACATATTCACTTATCTAAGGTCACACCCAGAGGCTCTGTGGCTGGGATGAATCACATCTGAACTGACCATCCTTCCTGGAACCCATGGGCTGCAATATGTGTGAGCTCAGCTGAAGTAAACACCTTCCACGTACTGAGAACAGGGCTGGCTCCTGGCGATCTAACATCTTACAGTCTACAGGGGCCCCTGATCAGTAAGGGCTGAGGATTGCAGATAGAATGTCTACTGAGCACCCCACGTGTTCAGTCCTAGGGTGGAGGGTGTTGATGGTGGAATAAAAACAATCAAGAGACTGGGTCCTAGCTCCTCAGGAGGAAAGAAGGTGGCTGAGGATGGTGGCAGGTTTGGAGTGAAAACTTAAGGCATGTATGGGCAGATTTTAATTTCTCTATCTAGATTAGATTTGGGGTCCAGATTTTGGGTCTAGCAGCCCACAACTCCCCAAAATGAATTATACTCTGCCTTAAACATCCAAAAATCTCTCAAGTCTCTCTGAGCTGATTGACTTCCATTGGCTCCCCTCTCACTCTGAAGCGTGTTTATTTCTCTGGGAGTTGCAGGCTCTCATGTTCTCAGGGCTTGGTGAGGGCCTGGGTCTGTACTCCTCCAAGTGGAAATGAAGAGCTACAGATTTATCTGGGCTCCATGGCCATCTTCCTTGCATTCTTTATCCCCCAGCTGGGTGTCCCAGAGACATTAATAAGGGGGGATTGTTTGCTTTTTCTTTCTTTTCTTTTTTTTTTTTTTAACATATTGAAGAAACAGAACGAAGCACAAAGCTAAGAAGAGTCAGTCATCCCTCTGCCTCAAAGTTTATAAGGGCAAAAAATCCTGTTATGAGGAACGGGTGAGAAGCACACCCACATTAATGAGTTTGCGTGGCACTTCCACTTAACACACAATAGTCTCAGGCCAAGAAAGTTTAAAGTGCTTCTCCAAAGTCTTGAAGAAAGTCAGTACTAGAATTGAGATTAAAATCCATGTGCTCTTCCTCTCAGCTCAAGCCTCCACCCTGTAAAGCAGGGAAGACTTAGGGCAGAGGAAGAAGGAGGCTGTGCGGCTCCGTAGGGCTGGGCACAGAGCCGGGGCAGGTCTGGACAGAGACTGGAGCTTGCGGTTATTCTCTTCAGGGCCTGCACTTGACTCACTGGGGGCTCAGGACAGTCCCTCCTTGCTTTCTGTTTTAGTCTGTTCTCCTGGAAGTTGGGCTTTTCAGAAGTGTTACCATGAACATAACAGGGCAGATCTGGGGTGGCAATGTGGGGGCTGGGGCTGTTTTGGTATGTCTAGGCTCTCCAGGCCAGCTCCACGCTGCATGCTCAGCACTGAAAGCAGGATCTGAAAACCAGTGGATGGTAAGTGGATATTGCTATTGTAGATGAAACTGAGGCTTGAGGGTCAGACAGATCTAAATTTAGAACCCCAATTTACTAATTCTTAGTTGTACCAACTTACATAAGCTTCTTTCTCAGACACGGTTTCCAAATTTGATTTTCACACCAACCTTTATGAAGAAGGCATATCAGAAAACTAAGAGTTAGTGAGAGTATGGCTAAGCCAACATAATACTAATAATACGAAGCTGATTTAGCTCTCATTCCATGCCAGGCATCATGTGTTAATATACACCTAAACTTATACCAGCTCTGTGAGGGAAATGCCATGCTTGTCCCATTTTATAGATAAGGAAACCAAGGTCTAAAAAGAGTAAGCCCTTTTTTGGTACCATGTATGTCCCTTAAGTGTTTCCTGAGGCAGGCAGAGAAATCCTTCCCACTTTACAGATGAGAAGCTGAGACATAAAGAGGAAGATAAACAATGGGCTCAGGGTCACCCAATAAGGAGTCAGTAGTGGAGCTGGCTCTGAGTCCAGATCTCCTGGCTCACAGCTCAGGGTTCTGTCACTGCCTATACTTGCCGGGCCCAGCCAAGCCCAAGGAGGGCATCCTGCCCTGGGGTGGTGCTCTCCTAGACCAGCCTCACCCCTCTTGCCAGAGAATCACGGCTCCATCCCCTGCCAAACAGCCTTGTTGCCCAACTTGAGGGTAGGAGCCAAGCCTGGCAGTCTTTGGTGGGCATCCAAGTCAAGTTGCTGTTTCCTGGGCTGAGTTTAGCATGTAGCATGGCTTCATCATCCAAATATGTCCTGCCAGACAGGCCTCAGCTGCTGGCCAGCGGGGCATTTGGCAGCCCAAGAGAGCTTGACGCTAATTGGGCCCAGCCGACATAAATCATGTCTCTCATTAAGAGGAAGTCCAGCCATTCTCTGGAAGGGGCAAGAGGTGGGGAAGGGGAAGAGCCTCCCACTGAAGGATTGAGTTCCGCCAGGGCCCAGTGACCTTATGTAATTGTGCAAATCACTCTGGCCCTCTCTGTCCATCTGAAGAGTGAGGAGGCTACACCCAGTGATCTCTGGTGGTTCATGCCAAACTAGAGGGCTGTCCTGTGACTTTTGTGTGTGGGTAATGTTGTCTTTCCTTTCTGCTTGGAGCACCACTGGGGCAGGTCTCATATTCTGTGATGGAGTGGGCTAAGAATCACCTGACTTGGGCGAGGTTAGAGAAAGTCCTTTCCATGAACAAAAGAACTCCCCAAGGGCAGCTTTGATATCTAGAACTTTTGTAGCAGAAAGCTTGGATTCACCTTGAAACAGAGTAAAGAGCTCCAGGAGGGGAGTGCTTCTAAACTAAGCTGGGTCACTTGTTGACAGATGGGTAGGGGGGAGTTTGAGAGGGTCTGTTTTGTCCTAACGGAAAATTTGAGCTGTCAGTGATGGTCAGCTGTGCTCAGATGAAACTGGAAAATGCTGGGTCAGTTTGAAGACAAATGATATCAATCTTACAACTCTGGCTTTCCTAAGCATGCGTCAACTTAAGCACCCATGCATTTATTAATACATTCACTCGTGCACTCACCATAGTAGGCACTAGCTACATTCCAAGTACTATTCTAGGCACTGAGAATATCAATGAATCTGACTCAATCATTGTTTTATTCAGAGCCATGGTCTACTGAGAAGAACAAGCACTTGAAAAATTGATTCTAAAATGTGTGATAAATCCTGTACCAATGAAATGTGCAGATTCTCTGAGTGGAGGAAGAAATTAGGGACTCTGACTTAGGTGGGGTGAAGGAGACAGGCAGGCTTCCCAGAGAAGGTGGCATCTCAGCAGTGCTTTGGAGAATAAGTTGAGAATACTGAAGAGGACAGTTAGAGCAGAGGAAAGGGCATGAGCAAAAGTTGAACAAGTTTATGTCCTTTGTAGGGGCATGGATGAAGCTGGAAGTCACCATTCTCAGCAAACTATCGCAAGGACAAAAAACCAAACACCACATGTTCTCACTCACAGGTGGGAATTGAACAATGAGAACACTTGGACACAGGAAGGGGAACATCACACACCGGGGCCTGTCATGGGGTCGGGGGAGGGGGGAGGGATAGCATTAGGAGATATACCTAATGTAAATGACGAGTTAATGGGTGCAGCACACCAACATGACACAGGTATACATATGTAACAAACCTGCACGTGGTGCACATGTACCCTAGAACTTAAAGTATATAAAAAAAAAAGTTGAACAAGTCTAAAAGGATACTATGGTCAGAGAACAGCAAGTAGTTTCATGTAGCATGAGGGAGGCTGCGTGAACAGCATTAGGGGGGCGCAGGGTGCAGGTGATGGAACAAAGGCCAGAGCTGAAGCTGGGGCTTGGCTGATCCAAAGATGTCCCACCTGGGAGGGGCTTTGTTCCAGTGATTTTCTACAGTTCCCAATCCTGTCTGTGCATCAGTATTACCTAGAAAGCATTTATAAAATGCAAATAGTCAGTCTTCATTCCTGAGATCCTGATTTAGCTGGTCTGGTGGGGTTCAGGAATCTGCATTTTTAAACAAGCTCTCCCAGGTAATTCTGAGGCAGCTAGCCAACAACTTAGCACTTTTTTAAAAATGTAAGATACTGATAAATGCAATGGAGAGAAATAAAGAAGAGGAGGAGACAGAGAATTCTTGGGGGGGTGGGGGTGACACAACTTTAAATAGTGTGATCAGGAAAGGAAGACCTGAAGGAGTGAAGGAGGTAGCCATGGGTAGATCTGAGAAAAGATCACTCCAGGTGGAGACAATAGCAGATACAAAGGTCCTGAGGCAGGGATGACTGATGTCCTGGAAGCCAGTGTTGCTGGAACACAGGAGATGAGGTCAGAGAGGTAATGGGAGCAGACTGTTTGGATAGGGCTTACTCCTGGCCTTTCTGTAACCATTGATTTAATCGAACTCATCCACCGTTTGGAGAAAAAACAGGCCTGGAAAAGGGACATTTTAATAGATGCATCTTCTCTGTGTCCTTCTTTTTCTCAAGGCTGTGTACTGGGCCGGGTGACTTGGTGGTGTAGAGGAGCATAGAGATGAATGGAATACAGACTCTGTCTTCCCAGGGATCCCAATCAGGGAGGGGCACAGGCTCATGCAATCCTTTCCAGTAGAAATACATGCTGCTATGCTGATTCTAGCTCTAACAGAAATGGCAGCTGCAGTTTGAGGTGGTCGTGGAGAGAGATGGGCATGTGAATGAGCAGACTGGGACAGAGTAGCTCCTTGAAGTTGGGGGTAGGGAGTGGGTCAGACTTCAACAGACACAGCAGGAACGACTTGCACAAGGAAACAGAACAAGTGCATGGCTGAGACTGACCCAGAATGGATGTCTGTTTGTGGTTTGGGGGAGGCAACTTGAGAGTATGGGGTCAGAAAGTCCTGGGTTCTGAGCCTGGCTCAGCCTTGACATTTGAGACCAATGTGGGCCACGTGTCTTTACCTCTTTGAGTCTCTCTGGCCTCAATTTCCCCATCTTTTCCATGGGATTAATCCCTACTCTGAATATTGACTATGAAAATTAATGAAGTAATGCACGGTCGTGTGTCTACAAGCCCAGGGGTTGGCATGTGGTAAATGCTCAGGAAGGGAACTTTGCATCACCCCCAGCATAATTTGATCTGTTTTTCTCCCCACGTACAACACCACTTTCTGCCTTCATGGAAGCTACTATGGGCAAGCTGCCACCCAAAGGTCCCACATAACAATTCGCAAAGCCCAATCCCGTTGGCCAATTGAGCTCCATATTTCAACTACACCCTGAAAGTGGCATTATTATTATTATTGCCCCATTTCATGGGTTAGGGGAGGTGGGAGGAGGGTAGCGTCATCCTTGAAGGAGCCAGGACTTCTCTGTGTTTTTTTCTTCTTTATTATGTTGACCTTCATGGCTGGGCCAAGGACACAGACCACTGAGGAGCTCTAGGAGCCAAAGGGAGCTGCTGAGTAGAGCCTGGAGCTGGGGAAGCTGTCCTAACCCCATCCACATGGAGGGGTCCTTGGTGACAGTGGTCATTTGGCCCTGCCCCTTCTGCCCCGCCTGGGCTCCCAGTTTGGCCATGCCCCAGCCCTACCCTCTGGGCTCAGCCTGGTGTGCTCTGCCTGGCCTAGAATAACCAATCAGCAGGGACCCCCTTCTAATTTCATTTAGGTTGCTGGGGATGGGGGTAGGTTCACACATACAGGTTAATGCTTTCTCTGCCAAGGATGGAACATTTCTGAGGCAAGTTCTTTGTTCTTTTGATCATTCATTCTTTCAATAAGCCCTTCCGTAGGTCTCTTTGGCACCGTTCCCTGGGTTGACACTGGGGATAAAGAGGCAAGTTAGACCTAGCCCTTGACCTGGACCACCGCCTCTGAGGAGGCAGACGCAGAGACCCATAATCACCAGCTGTGCTGGAGGGCTGTGAGAAAAAAACAAAGCCCAGGGTACGCAGAGATGAATTCTAGGCCAAGAAACGTTCCTCTCAGTCAGCATGGTCATTCATTTGTTCATTCAGCCAACACACTGACACCTGCTGGGCTCTGTGGGCCTGGGCCCTGGGGAGGCAGAGATGACTCAGACCATTTTTAAATTTTTTAAAAATCTCAGACCTTGAGGTGGTGGAGGATGGGCAGACACACTGAACTCTGAAATAGGTCATTAAAAAGAGAGTGGTAGGAAATTGGGGGTGGGATGGTGCAACCACTTTCCTGGGGAGGAGGGTTAGAGTAGTGGGCAGTGGGACAGCTTCTAGGACTTAGGCCTTGAAGAAGGGAAAGCCTTTAGCTACTTGGAGCTATGATGATGGGCTCCAGGGGAGCCACATTTACCACCTGCCGGGTGTCCTGGATAATTCTTATTTAAAAAATTAGGGTTTTAGTTGAATGGATATATCAATTATTGTCTGACTTTTGTGTTTATTATGTAATACTCTTTTCACTAAAGGTATTATGTGTTCAAACTTCCTAACATTTGATTACTTTGATCAAACTTTTTGGAAGAAGAAATTAAATAAGAATAGGCCATTTTTTAGACCACATGTTCTGATTTCTGATTCAGAAGCATCATTTCTATACTTATATCCACACAGCCAGGGTCTAGTTTGACCCCTTCGCCCAACCACAATGTGTCTCAGGAAAGATTCTGTCCTCAGTCATCTCCCCTGAAGCAAGGTAGAGGTAGGGTGGGGGTGGATAAGAAAAGAGCCCTCACCAGGTAGATGGCTGGGTGGAGTTAGCATTTGAAGCTTGGAATGACCCAGGCCTCAAGAAAGTTCAAGGATCAGGGTGTCTTGGCTATATTCATGGTTAAGGACAAGGGATTTTGAATCAGCTGCAGCTGGGTTTAGTCCATTGTCAGATACATATGTCTGGACAAGACAATTAACTAATGTACCTATGCCTTGTGCAATTTCTGTAGGATTATTGGCAACATTATATGAGATAATGCCCTGTATCTGGCATTTAGTGAAGACTCGAGGAAAGGTGACTGATAAATTAATGGTAGTAGTTGGAGGACCTCAAGTCTGCAATGGATATGACTTTTGAAGCCAGAACCCTCACAGCCTCTGAGATCCTGTTACCACCAGGACTGTCATCCAGCTCTCCCTCCCCACTTACAATTCACACCCATCTGAGCAGGTGTGATCAGGGGCCAGAAGCTGAAGTGCTCAAAAATCCTAATAACACACTGAATGAAGACAATGTCAGCCCTGGGGCTGCCATGTGAGGATCTGAGCCTGCCCCCACCCCATCCCCCCTAAAGCAAGCAGCACCTATTTGGCTATCACTTCAGAAAAGACCTAGAGCTCTGCTTCCTGCCCAGGGTCCCTGCCCCTTTAAAAGACTCTGTCTTCTCATCTTCATTCTGCTGGTTCTATCCATTACCCCTGAATGGAAATTGAAGCTTAATTTTTCTTGCTTGAAGCCATTAACACTCTGGGCCCTTGACAGGAAACACAGCTCAGCTTTAATTAGCCACAGCAAGCTCCCTGCATAAGCTTCTAGCACAGCCCAGGGACTTCAAAGATAAAGACTTCTCCATTCTTGCTAATCACAGCTATTAATGAGCCAATTAAGGCTGACTGGGGCCAGGGCAGGCAGCTCTCTTAGTACCTTAGGCAGACAGCTCTGTCCTGTTGCTGGGAAGCTCCTCCCCCTACAAAGCTAGAGTCTGGTGTCCTTGGGAGCAGAATGACAGGGATTTGATGTCCCCTCTGGGTTGGGACCCCAGCTCTGCAGCTTATCTGCTGTGAGTCCTAGGACTGAACAAATGTCCTTTCTGAGATGCTTTCTACAACAAAAAATAATAATGCTATTTTCATGAGAAGCTAGTATTATAAGGGGAGTATAGGTCAGAGGTTCTCAAACTTGAGCGTGCTTCAGAACCACCCTGAGGCCTCATTAAAACTCTTGACTGGGCTCTACCCTGACTTTCTGACTCAGGTGTTCTGGGAGGCGTGGTGTGCAAGAATTTGCATTTTTAACTTGTTCCCAGATGATGGTGATGATGGTAGTTCAGGGACCACATTTGAGAAGCCCTACTCCAGACTACATAAGGGGTTGTACAAATGTGAGCTATTACTTAAAGATTTTGATTGTATTTCCCTCAATAAGTGTCTCCCCGCCACTTTCCTTAACCTATGTCTCCTATGGCAATTTCTAGGAGCTTCCCATCTGGGCTATCAATACTTGGACACCCCAGCATTTGTCACTGTGGTGCCCTGATAGTGTATAATACTCCAGGTACGCTCAGTCCTAGGCAGAAATTGGCAGGACCACTTCTTTGCCCAATCTTGGTACCAAGATTCCAAATCCTGACATTGACATCTTAAGTCTCCAGCATCTTCTCTGGAAGGACAAATGCATTGGGACCTCTGATTCCAGAGAAAGCAGAGAGCATGGAGCCTTTAGAAGTCTTTTTTTCGGAAATGAACTGCATGGTGGAGGCTGGGAAGGTGGAAATGTGCAGAAAGGAAGATATTCATTGCTGGAGGCCATGCTTCTTTCACCTGAGCATTACAGTGTGGGGAACATAAGCAATGGGATGGTGGTAGGACAATGCATGTGGTTTAGGGGGGATTGATTAGAATTTTCTACTGATGGCCTAACTAATGTCTAACTAAAGTCCTTCCTGCTGCATTCTGCTGTTTCCTTAGGCAATAGGGACACGTACTCATATTTATTTCAACTACTGGCTCCTGCTTGCAACACCTGATAGCATGACTCAGAGTCACACTGAGCTTCTGGCTTTAAAGACAGGCTTTTGTGGTCAAAGAAGACAACAGTTCATGGACTTAAGATGTTGAGTTTCAGCTGAGGCTGTCTTCTCCTGGTCCTGACCCCTCATGCTGCTCACTCTCAACTCTGTGCCTTTTCTCTGTTGCACCACCTCACATACCCTTCTTCCTACTCCCTCTTATTCACGTCTCATTCAGCTTTCACCACCCACCTCAGATTTCTCAGAGAGCTTGTTCCTGAATACTGCCATTTTGATGATCTTTGCTTTATAGATAGCGTATCTCAAAGTGTGTGCCCAGGGGCTTTGGAGGATGTTATTATAGAAGCTATAATGCAACTGAGGTGTCCCTCAGGAATGTTAGGCTAGGTAAAGTTAGTCTGGTGTCTTCTCTGCAGGACTTCTCAGAGCCTCGAATATGCGACTGTGGTTTGGGAAACTTAAGAGAAATGCTTAACAAGCAGCATTTTCTAAACACGTCACCACAGTATGCATAATGTACTCTTTTTCCCACAGAGGATCTTGCTTTGATGTGGAGGAAGTAGGCCCTGAAGGACAGATGACTTTAGAAAAGCTTCATAGTCCAGCCAACTTGGGTTCCAATTCCAGAACTTATCTCTTTGAGCCTATCCTTTCATCTGTAAAATTGAGATAGTGGCCCTTACATTGGACAGCTGTTGCAAGATTTACGTGAGATGACATGAGAAGTGCCTAGCCCGGAGTGAGGTATACAGTAGGGGCTCAATAAGTGTGTAATTTCTCCTCCTCCTTTTGCCTTTGCTAGTGGACTTTTACAATCTGAATCAAGAATGAACTGTACAAAACAGGATGTGTTGCACGTACTTGGCATATGAGAGTGAAGCCACAGTCAGGTGCACAGGGTTGGAGGAGTAAGAGCTCGTAAGTGACCAGTGCAGTCCAAGCAGGCTTCCTGGAGGAGGCGAGTCTTTGCTGGGTCAGATTCCAAAGATTAGTTCTCCAACAAAATCCTGGGATGGGGGAGGTGGGGAGATTTGAGAACTGCATCTCTCTGTGAGCAAGCTATGGCAAGAATCCTTCTCTTTATTTTCCTTTTCCACCCTGGAGGCCTACTTCCCCACCAAATCCAGCTGATGCAGCACTTGCCTTCCCCTCCCACAGCCTGAACTTAGCCAACATCTCAAGTTCGCAAGGTGTGAACCTCAGAGTAGGGCCCTCCTGGCTTGTGAAAATTCGCTTAGCAAAGCCTCTCTGGCTGCCTTCTGTGCTAGTGCCCTCTGGAAGCTCTAGGCAAACAGGTCACCAGACCCAAACAATCTGGGATGCTGCCTTGGGGCCTACTTACCCTAACCTTGTCCATAGGTTGAGGGGGAAGAGATAGTTTTGTAGATTTTCTCTCTGAGACTCTTTATCACCTCCTGCTCCCTGGCCCCCAGCAACCAACCATTTCAGGAAACCTCACTTTGAACCAGGCACATCTGCTCCAAGGTCCTTTAATCTCTGTAATATACCTAAAACAAGCATTAAAATTCCCATTTTATAGATGAGAAAACAAAGGCTCAGTTAGCTTGAAAACAAGCCTGTTTGGTCCAAAGTCCAAGTTTTCTCCACTGATGCTATGAAGCCCTGGATTTCCCTTAGTGCCTTTTCTAGTTAATCTGGCATGTCACCACCTCCAGAAAGCCTTCCTAGTCATCACTCAAGGCCATGCTCATATCCCCTTCTCCTGAGTGTCTGCAATTGGAACCACATTGCGCACTTTCCTTTAATCCATATTTCTGGGCAGAAAAGGACTGAGTTAATGTTCTGCCACTGTATCCTAGTGCTTGGAACAGCACACATATTAATCTTCATGGAGAGAAGGAATAAAGAGGTATGATTTTTGAGACTACATGGACATATCATGTACTTTGCATCCCTGTCAGTCCTGAGTCACTCAGTATCTTTCACACTGTCCACAATTCTTCACCCTCCTCTTACACCACACATGGGTGTTTCCGGGCTGGGCTCACAGGTACTCACTGACTCGACTTTGTAACACGTCACCTGGTTTACCCTCCTGCACATCGGTTTGCTTCTCAGGTTTCGTCAAGGCCTCCAAATATTCATGAGCAGACCCCTGTGGCTAGACCCACTCAGGAGGGGCCCCGTAAGATCTCGGCTCCAATTCTCTACTCATGAACTAGCTGCAGTTCAGCATGCCCGCCTCAGACCCACCACCGGCCAAAACTCCCTTCAGTGATTAGCGGAGGTGGCAGGGAAATTATGAAAACCATGTGACAGGTAAATGGCTGTTTCTGCAACTTTCTTAAGTTTCAAAGGGATAACAGAATGCTTTGCTCCAGCATGTGGGCTGGGAATTCAGGCTTTGCAAGTGCTTTCCAGAACACACAGGGAAGAGCAGACCTACCAGGATTCTGCGTTTCCCTTTAGTGGAGTACAGCTGGGCCTCTCTGCCTGAGGGACTGAGCCTGTTCATAGAATGGGCTTCATGCAAACACGATGGCTTTGTTCCCCTGTGTGAAGATGAGACATGCAAGTGAGTTCTGAGTAGAAAGAGCTTCTTCTCTCAAACCCCAGGCTATTGTAACTTTAAAATTTATCTCAAATCTGTCTCTTTTGGATTTTTTTTTTTAAGATGGAATTTCACTCTTGTCACCCAGGCTGGAGTGCAGTGCGATCTCGGTTCACTGCAACCTCCACCTTCCAGTTTCAGGCGATTCTCCTGCCTCAGCCTCCCAAGTAGCTGGGATTACAGGCACATGCTACCATGCCTGGCTAATTTTTTTTAGTAGAGACAGGGTTTCACCATGTTGGCCAGGCTGGTCTCGAACTCCTAACATTGTGATCCCCCTGCCTTGGCCTCCCAAAGTGCTGGGATTAGAGGCGTGAGCCACCACGCCTGGCCAATCTGACTCTTCACCATTCACATCACTACCTCCCAGGTCCAAGCCACTGTTGTCTCTTGCCTAGTCTGCTGCAGTGGGCTCCTAACTGGCCTCCCTGCTTCCAGCCTTTCCTACTACAAACCATTCTCTACGCAGCAGCCATGGCATCTTCTTGCCATTATAAATCAGATCATGTCCCTCCTATGCTTAAAACCCTCAAACAGATCACTCAAGCCCAGGAGTTGGAGGCTGCAGTGAGCTATTGTCGTGGTACTGCACTTTAGCCTGGGCAACAGAGCAAGATTTTGTCCCTAAAAAAAAAAAAAAAAAAAAAAAAAAAAACTCTCAAATAGCTTCCAATTACAATCTTTACCATGTCTTAAATCACCACTCTTGCCTGTCTTCCTATTGCCACATCTTCCACTCTGTCTTGTTCTCCATGATCCAGCCACAGTAGCCACTTTCCTGTTCCTTGAACAATCTAACCTTAGTCTGTCACTTTTGTCTTTGTACTCCCCTGGAAGGCTTCTTCCAGATCCTCTCAGGGCTGGCTGCTTTCATAATTCAAGCTCAAATATCACTTCTTGGAGAGGTCTTCACTGACCATTCTACAGAGTAGCCTCTGTTATATCTGCTATTCTATCGTTTTCACACTAATCATCTCTATACCAAGAAATTTTGTGTATTTGCTTCCGTATTTCTTTTCTGGTGTCTCCAGCTACAATCGAAGCTCAGTGATGGCAGAGATGATGTTGACTCTCTTTGCTGATATATCCCCAGTGCCTCTAGCACTCCTGGTGCTGAACACTTGATAGATAAATATCTTTGAATGATTGCATGGAGTGGCATCTCAGCATACAAAACTTTATGGGAGAAGGCCTTTGTGGGCTTTCTGGGTGAGCCATAAATGATGGGTAGGATTTGCATAGGCGGAGAGAATCAGAGCAGGTATCCCAGGAAGCAGGCTTGGCAGGGAGCGTGAGTTGAAGGATTGGAAGGAGAGAAGAGTACAAAAGAGAGCACCGCAGCAGCAGGGAGGCTGAGTGCCCAGCAGAGACAGAGATAAAGTTAGTTCTGCACCTAGGCCAGAGGCAGGGGTGGGGGACACAGGTGGTGGGGAAGGGGCAGGCTCTGGATGCCCTTGAAGGCCAGACAGGAAAGCTCCTTGTACCTTTTCCCTCTGCCCCCTGCCCACCTCTGCACGGTTTCCAAATCCATTCCCTGCATCTTTCTTTTTTGTAGGCATATGGTATTATTTCCAATTGAAAATGTAGATGGGAGTCACAGGAATGTATAGAGTCACATAATAAATGGAAATGAAGCTCACCTCTGCTTAGGCTGAGCAATGTACTTGCCAATAAGGGGTCCTTGCCAATACGGCTCACATAGAGAAGCCAGGGCAGGATTTGTCTGGATGGGTAGGAATAGCAAGTCATAGAATCTTTGCCCACAAATGGGCTTAAATGGAATCCAGCTACAGAATCCTTGAGTCACACACTTTCAGAACACAGTGCTCTACAGACTCGCAGAGGCCATCTGGTCCAACCTCCTATGCCCTTTGGCCTCTTGTCCAAAAGGCCATCAGTTGCTCCTGGCACACCTCCAGTGATGGAAAGCTCCCTGCTCATGTCACCGAATGGCCCTGACTCTCAGAAAGCCTTCCTTTTCTTCATATGGAAATGGATCTAGTTTCCCTAGAATTCTTCTCCCCAGACTTCTCTCTGTTTCTGGGGCTGCCCACTCTGCCCCCAGGCAGCATGGTGGACATATAATGGCAGCTGTCACATCCTCCAGGGCTTTCTGGCCAGACCCACACTCTGGGCCTTCCACTGCCTCCTCAGTGTGGCTTCTGGGCCCTCCCCATGCTGAGCACCTCCTCCAGGCTTGCCCTCCTCATCATCACTCTGCTTCCATTACTTTGAGGAACATCTTCAAAGCAGGGTGCCAGGTACCCCTGGAGGCAACTCCTACTTCGAGACCACACACATCATTGCTGGTGGGAATATACCATAGTACAGCTGCTGTGAAAAACAGTATGGCAGTTACTCAAAAACTTAAACATAGACCCAGCAATTCCGCTTTTTAGTATGTACTCCAAAGAATTAAAAGCAAGGACTCAGACACGTATTTACCAATGCTCATTGCAGTGTTATTCACAATAGTCAAAGAGTTGAAACAACCCAAATATTCATCAATGGGTAAATGGGTAAATTAATATGTGTATATACATACAATGGAATATTATTCAGCCTTAAAAAGGAAGAAAATCTATCATGTGCTACTACATGGATGAACCTTGAAAACATTATGCTAAATTAGCTAGACACAAAAGGACAAATATTGTGTGATTTCACTGTTATGAGGTACCTACAATAGGCAAATTCATGGAGACAAAAAGTAGAATAGTGGTATGTGTGTGTTGGGGGTTAGTGAACAGGGAGTTATTGTTTAATGGATACAGAGTTTCTGTTTGGAATGATGAAAATGTTCTGGAAATGGATAATGGTGATGGTTGCGCAACATTGTGAATTTTTTTTTTTTTTAAGAGACAGGATCTCACTCTGTCACCCAGGCTGGAGTGGAGTGGTGAGATCATAGCTCACTGTAGCTTCAAAATCCTGGGATCAAGTGATCCTCCCACCTTAGCCTCCTGCGTAGCTGGGACTACAGGCATGCACCACCGTGCCTTGCCTGGCTAATTTTTTTTTTAGTAGAGGTAGGGTCTTGTTATGTTGACAGGCTAGCCTTGGAACTCCTGAGCTCAAGCAATCCTCTTGCCTTAGCCTCCCAAAGTGTTGAGATTACAGATGGGAGCCCGCCTCGGCCTCCCAAAGTGCTGGGATTATAAATATGGTAAATTTTTAAAGATAGATTTACCTTAATAAAAACATTTTTTTTTTTTGAGACGGAGTCTTGCTCTGTCACCCAGGCTGAAGTGCAGTGGCGCGATCTCAGCTCACTGCAAACTCCACCTCCCGGGTTCACACCATTCTCCTGCCTCAGCCTCCTGAGTAGCTGGGACTACAAGCACCCACCCACGCCCGGCTAATTTTTTGTATTTTTAGTAGAGATGGGGTTTCACCATGTTAGCCAGGATGGTCTCGATCTCCTGACCTCATGATCCGCCCGCCTAAGCCTCCCAAAGTGCTGGGATTACAGGCGTGAGCCACCGCGCCTGGCCTAAAAACAATTTTTTTTAAAAGGCCACACATATCTACCCTCTGTTTCTTGCCAAACATCAGTCAAACACCAGGCATTCATAAGGTGCCTACTAAGTACAGAGCCTGTCTTAACACACTGTGGGCTGATGTGACTAGCAGTAGGGACTGCCCCTGTTTACACTCACAATAATAACCAAGCACTAGCTTAAGCAATTAACAAGCATTCCTTTATGTAATCCACACAGATTTCTCAAGTAACTATCATTGTACCAATTTGATAAATGGAACTGAGGCGAAGTAGCTTGCTTAAGATTACATAGATGAGCTCAGGATTTAAATGTGAATGTCTCATTCTAGAGGTTAGGTTTTTAATCATTATACTTGCCTATTTCTTGAAATAAACATGGGAAATGCTTAAGAGCAAACACACACACACACGCATGCACACACACATGCGCGCGCACACACACACCCCTGAGATGGTTCAATGGGTGAAATGTGTGCAAAGGTTTCTTATAAAAGGGAGTGGCCATAACCCCACGAGTGGACAACTCTTCTCTCTCATCGGCTGCTCTTTCCTCAGTGAGTATTTGTTGAATGGTGCCTGTTGAATGACCATGGGTGTGTCCTGAAATCAGATTTCCTGAAGGAGGTGGCCTTTCAGCTGGGTCCCTTGGTTTGGGGAGAAGAAAGGAAAGAGCAGCTCAACCTGGACTTTGTCTGGAAGCCTGGGCTGACCTCCAGGCTGGGCTTTCAGAAGCCTGTGTCCGTGTGCCCTCCTTCATCCCCAGGATTCCTTGTTGATGGAACCTACAGCATCATGGGCTGAGCTTGTCAGTTCCCTGCCCAGCTAGATGGGCATTGCTGGCAGTTAGGGCCCTGTCTAATCCTCTCTGTGCCCAATGCCCAGCTGGGGGCTGGCACAGAGTTGGTGCTCTGTAATTTCTCATGGAACAGAAGAACAAAGTGGGGGTTGGAGAAACTCTACAGAAGAGTTCAGCTATGAGGAGCTCTTGTTCAATTCTCCTTATTTCCCTATAATTAGAACAAATTCCCTGTTAGCTCAGTTTCCATTCCCAAAGATGGGAGGAATTCAGGAAACTTCTCCCAAGATGCCGAGCCCCATTCTCAGTCTGACTGTCTAGACATATGACCCCCAGGCTGCCCTTGGCATGATCTTGCGCAGAGCTGGTGGGGGCTGCAGCAGCAGCTGGGGCACATTACGTCTGGGGCTGGCAAGGCATCCGTTCTGGGCTGAGGAGTCCTCATCTTGGAGAAAAGCAGCCCTGACTAAATGGCTGAGGCACATACCTGGCTGGCAGTTGCTTGTGCACATGAAGGCTGGGCTACTGCTGCGATGCACAACCCCACGGGGCATAATTCACATAGAATACAGAGTGGACGGTGTTCCCTGGAGTTGTGTATTGCTGCCGTACCGGGCAGAAGCGAGGCTGCTGGGGACAAGCCTATCATTGGGGCCATCCCAGCTATATGTGAGCCTGATGTCCTCAGAGCTCCATTGCCTGCCCAGGATCCCTCTGTTCTGTGGCCTTGGATCTCCCACTGTTTGCACTGCATGTTACTTGGATTGAACTTCTCTTGCCTCCAAGTGAACAATCCAGAGTTATGAAGGAGTACAGGACAGACCAGAATCCAGACCTCAATGATCCACTTCTTAGCTGTGTGACCCTGGAAAAATTACTTGGCCTCTTGGAGTTTCAATCTTCTTAGTAAATTGCAGATAATAGAACCTACCTTCAGAGTTCTTAGAAGTATTAAATGAAATAATATTAATAAAGTGCTTCGAACAGTGCCTGGCACATAATAAGTTTTATATAAATGTTGGTTAAATGAATGCAAATTTATGTAAGTAAGTCAAGTTCAATCCTAGAACTTGGGAGGTGGTAGAAAAATGATTGCGGGATAAGTGAATAAATGAAACCTGGATCTGCATTCTAAGCTTACCAGGAACATGTGATGTGGCTTTGGGTAAGTCCTGTGCCCTCTCTGTGACTTCCTTACCCATTTGTACAACTGGAGTCTGTGACAAAATAATCCTGAAAGTCTCTTCCAGTTTGAAATGCTACAACACAAAAGTTTGTAACACTAGATCCACCATCCTCCTTCAGTAAGCTCTAGTCTTGATCTAGTTCATTCCCAGCTACCCTCTGATGCACAGGCCTGCAGCCTAGAAGATCTGGGCCTTCTGTGCTGCATAACTCAGGCCCTATGCACATGACTGGGCCAGGGACTATAATGACAGATCAGTTCTGGAAAACAATAAGGCCAGCAGAGTGCTCCAGAAGGTCTACCACTGAAGTGGCCTCAGGGGAGAATTGAGAGAAAAGGGCAGTGGAAAGCTGGCATTGGAGGTTTCTTGATCCTGGGGAATTTAGAGCCACTGCAAAGTGAATTATTCAAAAATAGGAATTTGCTTCTCCTCCCAGCCTCAATAGACTGCCTCTGCAGAGAGAGAGGTTTTGGCTTAATTTGGCCAAGCTCACAGTTGAACACATTCCTCTTTTGGAACTAGTCTGGTTGGTGGATGGAGGGCTCAGAACTAGTCTGATAGGGGGATGGAGGTGCTATGGGAGAAATTAGAAGATGGTCTCTTCAGGTGTCCCCTACACGGACATAGAATGTGCCAAATAAATGTGGAGGGGGTATCCTTGATCATCATATGGCGTTTGTGGCTTAGTAGGCCTCAGAGTTGTCTTGTGTGGTCCTTTTAGATGGAGAAACTGAATCCCATGGAGGAAAAAGACCAGCTCAAGGTCATTCTGGAGCAAACTAAGTTTATGTCAGAGCCAAGGCTAAGATCTGGGTCTCCTGACCCTAAAGTTCACTGATTCCTACTTCTTTAGACATGCAGCTTCTGCACCAGCCACAATCAGCATAAACTAGTGCAATGAACAATTTTACATGCTGATATTTATTCAATACTCACTTACTAAGCCTTTGCATGTGCAGGTTGTGAACCAGGCATAGTCATGGACAAGGGTAATGCTTGAGATGGGACAGAGATGAACCAGCTGCTTGACCTCCAGCTGCTTAGGCAAGAACATTAGCAGCCTGAGAATAGATGCTTTCAAAGGAAAGAGCAGGGGGAGGGATGCACATCTGGCTAGAAGGGGGAGGGGGCAGAGGGCTGGGAATTGGAAAGCCTCTCTTGTTTTCTATTTTCTCATTCTCATTTGTCTTATATCCTCTCCTTGTGTAAAAGAGGGATTAAGTCTCTCTCATTAGCCTGGGAGCTCCCTCTAACTGGCTATCTGATTCAGCCTCTCCTCTGCCAACCTCCAGCATGTCCTCCCATTGAGTCTCCAGCCTCCAGCATGCCCTCCCATTGAGAACCAAGTTTCAGCATGCCCTCCCATTGAGAACCAACCTCCAGCATGCCCTCCCATTGAGTCTCAGCCTCCAGCATGTCCTCCCACTGAGTCTCCAACTTCTAGCCTATCCTCCCATTGAGTCTCCAGGCTCCAGCATGTCCTCCCACTGAGTCTTCAACCTCTAGCATATCCTCCCATTGAGTCTCCAGCCTCCAGCATGCCCACCCATTGAGTCTCCAACCTCTACCATGTCCTCCCATTGAGTGTCCAGCCTGTAGCATGCCTTCTCATTGAGTCTCCAAGGTTTAGCATGAGCTTCTATTGAGCCTCTAGCCTCCAGCATGCCTCCCCATTGAGCTTCTAGCCTCCAGCATGCCCTCCCATGCAGTCTCCAATAGATGGCCTCCCATTCAGTCCCCAACAGCAGGACTTCTCAATGAGTGGCCCTCTGGCTTTCCCCAGCCCAGATCCTGCTTGGCTCAAGCCACATCATATCCCACCTGATGTGTTACTGAGCTCCTCGTCTCCAGCCCCCACCAGTCTTGTGATTCCTGCTTACTGGTTCTAGAGTGGCTTTTCTGAAGCCAAACAATCTTTAGGAACTGAGTTTTGTAGGAATCTGACATTGCTTCCAATTCTCCTCAGAGCTGTTCTGGGACATGTACAGCCAGAGAGGGTCTGTGCGGCCCCAGAGGTCAGAGTTAAGACCAGTGGGAGGAGCACAGGGGGCAGGTTTCAGCTCTGAGGGAGGTAGCACAACTACCAGCCAGAGAGTCTACTGTTGTAACAGACTGCTCTGGGGCAGAGAAGATAGGGTAGTAGTGGTTTCCCCCATCAGTAGAGGTGTGTGAGCAGGAGTTTGAGACCTCTTTTCTTCCTCCAACATTGTAGAGGATTCTTAGGCATCAAATACAGGTGTCGAATTCCAAACCAGGACCCAAGATTGTAAACACTCCACTGCACTGTCTCTATTTCCATGTCTGCATCCCTTCTTGGGCTGGGAGCAATTTGAGAGCCTTTGTGGTTGGAAATAAGCATGTGGGTCTGATTCATCTCCAGAGCCTAGCACTTGCTAGGTTCAGTAAGCACTTGCTGAGTGAATGAATAATGTGTAAGCTTCTGAGATTCCGGAATTACTGATCCCGGCCTCTGCAGCTGAGGAATGGCAGGGACTTGGTGTGGAAAAAAGGCTCCCCTCTGACTGCCAGTCTCTGAGAGCTCCCTACTTCAAAGGGCTTGTAGAGAAGAAGGGCTTTCTGGAGTAAGTGAGATCCTGCCCCAACCCTCCCCTCCCCTTTCCACATACACACCAAATGTGCACATGAAAATCTAGCTTTCTTATCTGCCTAGGCTCAGATTTGGCACCCTGGGGCTTAAAAGGCTAAGGGGAGGGAACTCACAATCCATCCAGATGTCCTTAAAGGCCTCCAGCTGTGGACCATAGGACATTGCTCCTTCTGAGGTGTCAGTTCCAACTTCTACCTGCATGGAGGTGTGAGGCCCTGCAGAATGGGAATGGAAGAGGCTGCCTGGAAATAGGAAAGGCAGAGAATATCAACGAGGGCAGCAGAACTGGCTGGAAGGATTCCAGGAGAGGGAGAATGAAAGGGGACAAATAAGGCAGAGGTTCTCACTTTTGGAGGGGAATTCTCTAAAGAGGACAGAGTCCTTAATTCACGTGTGATGAGTGAATGACTGGAGATGGATGGTTGAGTGGATGACTGGAATGAATGGCGGTCCATTCAAGGACTTCTTGAAAGTTTTCTTAGGCTCTGTGCAAAGAGTCACACCCAACGTCTGTCCCCAACGAGATCACAGTAAACAGATGGATGAGACCACAGTTGTAATTCAACATGGGGACAGACCTTGAAAGATGGAAAGGGTGTGGCTACAGGCTGAGGACAAGGTTGAGCCAAATTCTCAAAGAGAGTTCAGGGTCACTTCCATAGGATTTGAGAAGCTCTGAACATTTCATGAACCACTTTGAGGTGAAATTCAAAATGGCCAAATATCTTGGTTGGTGTTAAGTTTATGCCTTCTTAAATTGGGCTTTGGTATGGGTAAGATATAGTATTAGGATAAATAGCTAATGCGTGCGGGGCTTAATACCTAGGTGATGGGTTGATGGGTGCAGCAAACCACCATGGAACACGTTTACCTGTGAAACAAACCTGCATGTTGTACACATGTATCCTGGAACTTAAAATAAGATTAAAAAAAAGATACAGTAGGCATAAAAATTCATGAAAAACTTATGGAAGAAAATTAAAAATAGAGAAAACCATATTCTTAATGTAATTTGTTTGAGTGTGAATTGAAAACTTAAATGGGAAGTGTACTCTCTGTACATTGTTTCATTTAATACACTTCATATGAGAATTATTACACATACTTTTCATATAGGAATGCTTGAGTTCAGGGAGGTTAAATAACTTGTTCACAGTTCCACAGCCAAAGGGGCAGAACTGAGATCTGGTGCTTCAGTTCTGACTTGGAAGCCTGCTAATCTGTATTATACCACAGGGATCTTAAGATCCATCTCAGCAGAAGGACTCCCGAGTACAACTCCTGGAATTCCTGAGCCCACAGGAACAGAGCTTGGAAGCTTTGAGTCTGAACAAAGACCTGGAGGCAGGAGAACCAGGGGTGAGCTTGTTGGAGTAGTTACTCTTCATCATGACAGAGGAGAGTGTTTGCTTAAGGGAGGGGAGGGAGCTGACGCTAAGAGGGGGATTTGGGCCTGTGCACTGGGGGCTTTGAACATGAGACCAAGAGCTGCTCACACTTTGCAATGCCCCTAGTATAGAGTTAACATCAAATAGCTATTTGTTGGAAATACTTGCAAGCCAAGAAAATGCAAAAA